>NC_000017.11:60000-360000 GCF_000001405.40 Homo sapiens | reverse complement strand
GCTAACTGTATTCTGAATTCTTTGAGCAAAGTTGTCTCATTCTGCGTTGGTATTTCCTGTCTGTCATTTATTCATCTATCCATTTATTCCTCTATCTTGTTCCATAAATGAATTGAGGGTGCTTACAAGAATATATGTATATCTCTCTATATATTTTATTTATATAAGAAATATAAAGGCTGGGTGCAGTGGCTCGTGCCTGTAATCCCAGCACTTTGGGAAGCTGAGGCAAGAGGATTGCCTGAGCCCAGGAGTTCAAGACCAGCGTAGGCAACATAGTGAGACCCTGTCTCTGAAAAAAAAAAAAGGGAGAAGAAATATAAAAAATAAATATAAAAAGACATGTTAATGGCTGGGCATGGTGGCTCGTGCCTGTAATCCCAGCACTTTGTGGGGGGCAGGGCAGGCAGATCGCTTCAGTCCAGGAGTTTCAGCCAAGCCTGGGCAACATAGTGAGACCCTGTCTCTATTTTTTAAAGTAAGATATATTCATAATATATCTATATATCTAAAAGATACATTCATAGAAAAAAAGTAAAGTAGGTATTACATACCAGACCTATATGTAGATATTTTATATTTATATATGTATGTATGTCTGTTTATATATGTCTATACATATATGTGTGTATGTATATGGACATGTAACTAAATAGAGATCAAAAAAATAAGATCAGGAAAGACATAGATGTAGATTAGCTAGAAGGTTGAAAGCAGGGGGAGAGTTAGACCCCCTATTCAGGCCATCGAGCTGTATATACTTTGCTGTGTTTGAACCACACATTTAGCTCTGAGCTAATGAGCAGTCAAAGCAGGAAAAAAAAATCAGTGACGTGGTTCACGTGGCCCATAAGGAAAGGGCACCAGATACTGAATGCTCGTCCAGGCAATTAGACCTGAAGGAGATTTCTTGCCTGAGTGGTCATTTGCGGAGCCCTGGGTGACAAGGAAAATACGTGGCAAATGTGCCTCTCTGTCTTCTGCCGTCCCCTGGCAGACGCCACCAGTCGATCAGGGCTCTTTCCCACCGAGCCCAGGGGCGGCCTCGCTGCGCTTCCATGCGTGGTGCTCCGGGGCTGGAGTCTGCAGGCGAGACAAAACCCGCTTGCTGTCCAGCCCGAGGGCCGCTGGTGGTGTCAGGGAGGCCATGAGGGGTTCTGAGCGGAGAGCCCCTTGAGTCCTGGTAAGCGCCTCTGCGAGGGTGACACAGGTGGGCCCTGTAGCAGGCGTGTGGGCTGGGAAACGCGTCTGGGTGCCAGTCGGAGTGACCCACAGGGTGATGAGGGTGGGGAAGTTGTGTCTGGAGCGACACGGGGCACGCGCTTGGGATTTCTGGCTTGTTAGCCACTCATTTGTTCCACGCATGTTTAGCAAACACCGATTTTGTGTCTGGAAAGCGTGCCCGACTCACTCCGCTCACACCTCTGGCCTCAGAGTCTCCTCCCCCAGCTCCTCTGTCCGCACGGACACTCGCCTCTCACATCACCTACACCTTTCTATCCCAGCCTATATCGCCGCTTATCCTGACGTGTTTACTAATGTTTATTTGCTTCGTGTTTTGTTTTTGTTGTTTCTCTCCAAGATGGGAGTTCCAGGGTGGCAGGGACAGTGTCTGTCTTGCTCATCATTGTGTCCCCAGTCCTAGCATGGGGTCTGGCACATAGTAGGTGCTCAATTAGTATTTGTGGAATGAATGAATAAAAGAATAAAAAGGTTACAGAGATGAGCCCAGTAGAAGATAAGCACATAAACAAATACAGCATAAGCTCAGTACGAAGGAGAGGGACAAGTAAATAGTTAAAGGACTTCGGGGTGGGAGAGGCTCCTTCCAGGAGGATGAGGAGGTCCAGAAAGGCCTCCTGGTGGAGGACATTTGCTGGGTCCAGAAGGATGAGGTGGAGGGAGGGGCACCTGGGGCCCTGGGGATAGCAGGAGCAAAGGCAGAGGCAGACCTGGAGGGGAGAAAAACCAGATTTTACTTGGGGTGCTCCTAGGGCGGTGGCGGGGAGGAGCAGCCACCCAGGAAGGGTGGATCTGAGGCAGCTGCGGGAGCTCTGCACAGCAGGCTGACTGGGCAGGAGGCGGAGAAGCAGATACGAGTGGAGTGCAGGGGGAGAGGGGCCTTAGGCAGGCAAGGCAGGAAAGAGAAGAGCTAGGGGAACTGGGCAGGCCCAAGTGTGGCCCGGGGGTGGTGGAGGCAATACCCGGGGAGAATGCACAGCCTTTACTCCCTGACTGCGTTTATATTCTGCCTCTCCCGTGCCTGTTGGTCCTTGGGGACGGCCCTCCGGCAGGTTCTGGCCTCAGGACCCCGCACCAGCCCCGGCCGTGCCAGCTGCCCTCCCACTGGCCTGGCCCAGCTCTCCAGAGAGGCTTCATGCAGCCAGTTCCCCAGGGAACACCGTTGCCCACACGTTGCTAATGTTAAAACATGAATTTATTGCATCTGTAGCATCTTACCTTGAGCACGGCTTCTTTCAATGCTTTTATTTTGCAATTATAGGTTTATTTTCTTCCTTTCCTCTCTCTTGAGCTTTTTAAGGTGTTTTCTGTCACTCAGCTGGAGACTTTAAATTTCCTATTTATATTAATTATCAAATTATTTCATATATGAGTCATTCAGCTCAGCCCTTTTTGGCTCCTTCTTGCAACTCTTACTTGTGGATTTATTGGGCAGTTCAGCGCCTACTTTCATGGGCAGACTCAACTGGCGAGATTTTAACTGGAGGGTGAGAGATGTCCTGGCCACGGGGCCCTGTTGCTCACAGTCCCTGGATCAGAGGATGGTGCCGGATGGGCAGGTGCTGAGGATGCACATACCGCCCTCGGGTTAGCACCGAAGGTTCTTGTGTCAGACGTGAGGCTTCCTTCCTGGGTTCTTTCTGGCTGCGCTAGTCCAGAAGACCAGCAAACCCGAGATGGTCTGAGGTGGACGATGGAGCCTGAATGGAGAGCCTGGGGCGTGAGCCAGGGTCTGGGATACCCTGGGACAGAGTTAGATGCCCCTGCAGACGTGGATGAGCGGCTGAAGACTAAGGGAGCAGGTCACACGTGGTGACAGACAGGAGAGGCTGCTGTGCCATCCAGGGGCTGGGGAAGGAGCCCCCGTGGAGAGGCTCCATTTCGGCCACGTGGCTGCTGCAGACAACCGGGAGTCAGCGTCGGCACAAACACGGGTGCCTCGAAAGAGAGCAGTGCCGGCCTGGTGTCTCCGGGCCCAGCTGCCACTGGCACAGGCCTCCGAAGGGGCAGGAGCAGGAGCAGGAGCAGAAAGCGCACATCAGGGCTCATGCTGTGCCTGTGAAGATGTCGGGCACGTCCGTTAGTGTGTGTGGTGCGCGGTCGCCTGTGAAGACGACTGTTAGTGTGTGTGGTGCGTGGTCGCCTGTGAAGACGACTGTTAGTATGTGTGGTCTACGGTCGCCTGTGAAGACGACTGTTAGTATCTGTGGTGCGCGGTCGCCTGTGAAGACGACTGTTAGTATGTGTGGTCTATGGTCGCCTGTGAAGACGACTGTTAGTATCTGTGGTGCGCGGTCGCCTGTGAAGACGACTGTTAGTAAGTGTGGTGCGCGGTCGCCTGTGAAGACGACTGTTAGTAAGTGTGGTGCGCGGTCGCCTGTGAAGACGTCTGTTAGTAAGTGTGGTGCGCGGTCGCCTGTGAAGACGACTGTTAGTAAGTGTGGTGCGCGGTCGCCTGTGAAGACGACTGTTAGTAAGTGTGGTGCGCGGTCGCCTGTGAAGACGACTGTTAGTGTGGTGCGCGGTCGCCTGTGAAGACGACTGTTAGTAAGTGTGGTGCGCGGTCGCCTGTGAAGACGACTGTTAGTAAGTGTGGTGCGCGGTCGCCTGTGAAGACGTCTGTTAGTAAGTGTGGTGCGCGGTCGCCTGTGAAGACGACTGTTAGTATGTGTGGTGCGCGGTCGCCTGTGAAGACGACTGTTAGTATGTGTGGTGCGCGGTCGCCTGTGAAGACGACTGTTAGCAAGTGTGGTGCGCGGTCGTCTGTGAAGACGACTGTTAGCAAGTGTGGTGCGCGGTCGCCTGTGAAGACGACTGTTAGCAAGTGTGGTGCGCGGTCGCCTGTGAAGACGACTGTTAGCAAGTGTGGTGCGCGGTCGCCTGTGAAGACGACTGTTAGTATGTGTGGTGCACGGTCGCCTGTGAAGATGTCTTTTAGTAAGTGTGGTGCACGGTCGCCTGTGAAGACGACTGTTAGTATGTGTGGTGCACGGTCGCCTGTGAAGACGACTGTTAGTAAGTGTGGTGCGCGGTCGCCTGTGAAGACGACTGTTAGTAAGTGTGGTGCGCGGTCGCCTGTGAAGATGACTGTTAGTAAGTGTGGTGCACGGTCACACCTTCCCACACAGTGCAGGTGACTTACTCAGGGCTCTGGATGGCAAATGACAAGGACCCAATTCAAACTAGCATAAGCAAAAAGGCAGCTCTGTGGGCCTGGCACCTGGGGATCAAAACAGTCGTTCAGGCACGGCTGGATCCAGCCATTGACCATGGGTATGAGGTGACTCACCTTCATCTCTCAGCTCTGTTTAGCTGCACCGGCAGACAGGCCGTTTCAAGGGGGAGCCAGGTGGCTACTGGCCATCGTGAGCTAGTGCCGTGCTTACCGTCCCAGACAGTGGGTTTATTGCACAGGAACTCTGGCAAGACCCCAGGAGGACTCAGTATGGCTGGGTCTGGGTCACATGCCCAGCCCTGAGCCAATTACCCTGCCTTGGGGGTGGGGCTATTCTAATTGGTCATCCTCATCACATTCACCCAGGAAGAAGGGGAAGGAGGGGCTGTTTCTCTTGCCCAGGAAGACTGGGCGTGACTACTTTGACCTGAAGAGTTATTCTCAAAAAGGAAAGGAATGCTGGGTAGACAAAATATATGCCCATTGCAGAAGGCCAGCAGGGGCCCCTGGCCTTCGCTTTGCTAAAGGTGGCAGGTGCACAGCTGTCCGGACCCTGGAGCTCAGTGTGAGGAGTGTAAAGGTGTAGAAGGTGCCGTCTGTGCAGCAGTGTGGCGGCGTTCTGCCTTTCTCAGCTGAATGGAAGACAAACACTCAGGCCTCTTCACACCTTCGTGACTGGTCCCCCCTGGACCTTTGCGCAGAGCTGGCCTTTCCATGAAGCAAACTCTGGGCACATGTGGAAACCAGCCTCTTGCTGCCATGCCTGCCCCAGGGACTGACCAGGGTCGGCTCCAGTCACTGACATAGTTTATCACATCTCTTTGGCCTCTGGTCTCTGGATCCACACCTCTGGCTCTGACGTCTGCATCGAGCCCCTGTCCCTGCTGGGTTCAAGTCTCTTTTCCAGAAGCTTCACTTGGCTCGAGGCTCCACTTGATTTGGTGTCATTTGCGTTTCTGAGCTTGGTCCTCCCGACCTGTGGTCCTGCCAGGGGAAGAGCAGCGTGGCCTGGCTGGACCCTGGCAAAGGAGGCTTCTCTTCTGCATTTCTTCTACACGGAGTGCATGAGCAGGACAAAGACCAGCTGATTCCTGCAGGCCTGGGGCTGTGGTGTGCGGGTCTCCCACAGGCCTTGGTATGTGTGTGGTGTGTGGTCCCGCACACTCAGAGATGGCTTCCAGCACATTCCACACTTTCTTTCTTTCTTTCTTTTTTTTTTGAGTCGGAGTCTCGCTCTGTTGCCCAGGCTGGAGTGCAGTGGCGCGATCTCGGCTCACTGCAAGCTCCGCCTTCCGGGTTCAAGCGATTCTCCTGCCTCAGCCTCCCGAGTAGTTGGGACGACAGTTGCCCACGACCATGTCTGGCCAAGCCTCAGCCTTCCCAAGTGCTAGGGTTACAGGCGTGAGCCACTATGCCTGGCCTACCCATGAATTTTATTTTATTTTTTAAATTTTAAGGCGAGGTCTCACTCTGTCACCTAGGCTGGAGTACGGTGGCTAGATCATGGCTCACAGCAGCCTCAAACTCCTAGACTCCAGCCACCCTCCCACCTCAGCCTCCTGAATGGCTGGGGCTACAGACATTTGCCACCACACCTGGCTAATTTTTGTATTTTCAGTAGAGATGGGTTTTTACTATGTTGGCCAGGCTGGTCTCGAACTCCTGACCTTAGGTGATCCACCCGCCTCGGCCTCTGGAGTAGCTGGGGTTACAGGAGTGAGCCACCGTGCCAGTCCTCCTTCCACCCTTTCATATAACCAGCAGCGCATATCAGCACTTCTCAACATCTTTACTGCAGGACCTTTTCTTCAAATGAAGTCTTACCTGGAAGCCTGACAGATGACGAGGAAAAAGCTGAGTTGCTCTGGGTTGGGCTGTAATAACCCCCTTGTTCCCAGCCCCCTGCTTCTGCTTGCACGGTCCTGAAGAGGGGCTCCACACCCCTGGCTCCTTGGAACCCAGTTTGTTGGGTTATAATAACCGGCCTTGTTCCCAGCCCCCTGCTTCGCCTGTACAGTCCTGAAGAGGGTCTCCACACCCCTGGCTCCTTGGAACCCAGTTTGAGAGCCTCTTGGCAATTATATCCATCTGTCTGTCTCTCTTGTGGTAGCACCTGCTGCTGCTCCCCATGGGGAAAGGTTGCTGATGGTGTTTATTTTTTTTTTAAGCATGAAAACATTTTCTTTTTTCTATCAGTAGCTTGTTTGCACTATGAAAAGGTCAACAGAGAGATCCTTGTCATCTTCCTTCTCCCTGCAGGAGGGTGTCAGGGTGTAAGTGCTCCCTCGCTGTGCAGGGGTTCATTTCATTCATTTCATTACCCTTGCCCTCCTCGAGGTACCTCCGGGAAGCTGTTCCATTTACACATCTGTCAAGTTCTCTGTGCGTCAATTTGCCTTGCTCCTGAAGAGCCACACCCAAAAGGGGCCCCACTCCAGGCAGCGGGGCTTCAGGAAGCGATGAGATGCTGACGCAGGCCCCGTGCACCACCACTGCTGCCTGTAAGGGCTGTTTTGGATACAGAAAATGTGCCCTTTCTAACCCAAAAAATGCTTGAAATGTGTAAAAGTGGCCAGACTAACAGTCCCAAAGAGGGCTGCCCTCTAAGAGGAAGCGTCCCAAATCTGTTCAGTTTTAGAGACTACGTGACTGGGGTACGTGGTGGGGCCTTACCAGACATCCACGAGGAGAATCCAGGCCTTGGTTTGGCTCCAGCTGGGCCTGCCTGGTGGCTGCCACTTATTGACTTAAGTCCCAGTGATTCAGCTCCTCATCTGGAACACCTCGGGTCACCCCCGACAACGGTGGTGGGAGGGAGAGCGGCCTCCTCCTCCCTGGTGGGGCCTGTCTGGGTGAAGCCCCTCTGTTCCCGGTAGGTGTTTCGGGGTCTCATGGCTCCAAGGACATTGGAAGATGCCTCTGTTTTCCTGGAGTCAGGGGCCCAGTTCATGCAGGGGTTTTCACAGAACTTTGCTAACTTCCGGGGAAAAGGTTTGTGTCTTTGCTGGGAGAGCGTCTGGTTAATCGTTGACTGGAAACTTGCTTTTCCAGGCTGCCCCAGGTCCTGCTGCTTCTAAAGAAGAGGCAGCCGGGGCTGGAGAACAGCCTCGTGCCGCAGGTCCTGCTGCTTCTAAAGAAGAGGCAGCCGGGGCTGGAGAACAGCCTCATGCCCCGCTGGTGCCTCCGTTGCTCTTTCTGTGTGGTCCTTTGAAACACCCCAGTGGACAGAGATGGATTTGGGGGAGTGGGGCAGAGGGGTTGTGCGCTAGCAGCAGATGGGCCTGGGGTCAGGCAGAGAATGGGGGCCACGCATCGGAGCAGACCAGAGCGTGCTGTTGGAGAGCTGTTTGTATTGCGTGTTATGCTGCGTGCAAGACTGGCTCAGGGGCTGCAGCAGGCTCTGTGCTCCCTACCCTGGGATACTCACATTTGGTGACAAGTCCCCAGATAACTGTGAGATGGGGCCGAAAAACCCAGGGGCCACAAAGAAAGCAGAACATAAAGTGCCAAGGCCACGCGTCTTAGAGCAGGAGGGGATTTTTGAAGATTTTGGAAGGCCGCGTGGCCAGTTGACTTGGTCAGGAGCAGTTGAAGTTGTCAGGATGTAAGCACGGCCTGTACGCACATGCAGGGGCCCGTTTCGGGACCCTTGTCCCTCGAGGTGCTGTTCCATTTACAACCTGTATATAGGTTTACCTCGTCAGGCACATGGACAAGCATTTAAAAATGTTTTCCTGATGATTTATTTTCATGTGTATTAGAGCATAACTTGTTTTTTTTCATCTGCCTTCTATTTGTGGCATATGGCATGGTTTTTCTATTTATGGTGGAGATATACAGTTTCCTTTGAAAATAAATTTGTTCAAGTAAAAGAGTGGGTTGATTTAAAGGGAAATATTAAGTAAAGAATCGTACGGGAGCCACGTGGGGATGGCTGGTGGCGTGTGGAGGCCTGTGCTTTGGAAATTGCATGCTGGAGGAATTCAGAGACAAGAAAAAGAGAGGCTCATGGAAGAGACAGGCGGGGTGCAGGAGGAGTGAGACTCAGCTAGGTGGAGATGGGAGGTGGGTCTGTACTTACAGGTCCAGACATGTGGGTACGATTCTTGGTGTAATCTATTTTGGTTGCAGCAGGTGAGTCCTGTAGGGAACAGAGGGTAGGTGTGGGACTATATTGTGGAGGACCGTCAGTCTCAGGGTGTGGCCTCTGAACTTTTCAGGAGGCAGTGGGAGCTATTGAGGGTGCTTGAGGAGGGGAGTGTTTCTTGACAGTCCTTGAAGAGTCTCGTTTATGTGTAGTGGATACCAGGACTGGAGGCAGATGACCAGTTAAGGGCCCAGGTAAAGAGGGTTTAAGAAGCCAAACTAGGGCCATAGCCAAGGACAAGCAACCCAGCCACCCAGGACATCTCTTACTGGCTTGGGGGGCAGCCTAGAGACGTTGGAGAGAGGTAGGTCGGAGGTGGACAAGCTGAGCCTTGGCCCTCTGTGGGGAGGCCGTGGGTGATGGGCAGGGGTACAGTTCAGAAGTTGTACATGGAGTCCTAGAAGGGGGGAGCATCTTCTCCTGGCTGGGCTGGGAGGAGATGCTAAGAGCTACTCAGTGACCTCTTCCTGGAGTCTCCTGGCCTATCATGGAATGTTCTGGAATGTTGTCGGGGAAGTGGGTGCGGCCAGCTGAAGGAAGCTCCTCTCTGGGCCAGAGTTCAGACAGGAGGAGGAAGCCTGCTGTTTCCTGCCCTATGGTTTGGCCCAGATGGCCTTGGCTGACAGCCCAGGCCAAGATTTCATCCATCATCAGGGCCTGCGGTCAGAGGGTCACAGTTTTTTTAATTCCCATTTCATCCTTTTAGTGCAGAGAAGTTCACCAGCATTCAGGGACCAGCTTGGTTTAAAAAACGGGTTTGTTTTGTTTTGTTTTGTGAGGGCCTGCTAGGTACCAGATACTGTGTTTGGAACTTTTTTTTCTTTTTTTGAGATGGGGTCTTGCTCTGTCACCAGCTAGAGTGCACTGGTGCGATCTCGGCTCACTGCAACCTCCGCCTCCTCGGTTCAAGCGATTCCCCTGCCTCAGCCTCCTGAGTAGCTGGGATTACAGGCATGCACCACCATGCCCAGCTAATTTTTGTATTTTTAGTGGAGATGGTGTTTCACCCATGTTGGCCAGGCTGGTCTTGATCTCTTGACCTCATGATCTGCCCACCTCGGCCTCCCAAAGTGCTTGGATTACAAGTGCGTGCCACCACGTCCAGATAATTTTTGTATTTTTAGTAGAGATGAGGTTTAACTATGTTGGCCAGGCTGGTCTCAATGTTGTGATCCGTCTGCCTCAGCCTCCCAAAGTGCTAGGATTACAGGCGTGAGCCACCGCGCCCAGCCTGGAACTTTTACTCTGTTACCACAATTCACTCTGGAAAAAACCTGTTGAGGAATGCATTACTTATTACCTCTGTTGTACAGAGGAAGAAATGGAGTGTAGGGAAATGTAACAAGCCCCAAATTAAACCGCTGGTTAGCTGTAGAGTCCAATTGCAAACCTACACCTCTGAAAGGGAGATCGCATCTGCAGTAGTGAGACTGTGGACACACTATTTAACTTGGAGGAATCTAATTGGCCTCTGTGCTCCTCTGTGTGGGTGTGTGCTGTCCCTGTGGTGTGCTGGGCACAGCAGTAATATCAGGGTGCTGATGGCCCTCGATGGGATTGCAGTGGAGATTGTGAGTGATGATATAGATAAGGTGTTACAGAAATGTCAGCTGCTGCTGCTATTACTACATAAAACTAGAGTTGCATAATCCTGGACTCGATTTTACTGGAAGACATTTTTGGAAGGTTATGTCTTAAGGTGGAGGAGAAGCATTATTTTAATTAAATTGAATTAATTAGTTAATTTTTAACATTTATTTTTATTAAAAAGTTTTTTTATAGAGATGGGGTCTTGCTACATTGCCCAGGTTGGTCTCGAACTCCTGGCCTCAAGCAATCCTCCCACCTTGGCCTCCCAAAGTGTTGGGATTACAGGCATGGTCCACTGTGCCCAGTCATTTTAATTTTTGAAATAATCAATATGTGGTGGGATAGAACGTGCATTTAACCTTAGAGCCGTTTTGAGTTTGAGCTGGTAATTTCTGGGCACGCTCCTGGCCCCTGGATGTTGGGAGATGTGGGTGAAATGGGGAGGGTGTGTTCACTTTCCTCTCTTCTCAGCCTGACTTCAGTGAAAGCTCAAGGTGCACTTGGCTGTTTCTACAGCTTCGGAGTTCCCAGCTCTGCCCAAGTTGGTGCCAGCGAGCTGTGACCTCAGGGCAGTCACTAACCTGCCCAGGCGAGTTTCCCTCCTGCCCAATTACCCTAGTTCTCTGAGTGAGTTTCCTCTTCCTTTGTGGCACTTCTGGGAGGACCATTCTCTCCCTGGAATGCCGCCTTCTGCCTGCCAAGTCCCTCCTTTTCCCTCTGAGCCCTGCACCACATTCTTCTCTTTGAAGCCCTCCAGGACTGCCACAGAGCAAGATCTTCACTGCGCCTTCTCTTCACTCCCAGTGTTCTTTGCATGGCCTCAGCATTTATTGGAGCCGCTGTCTGATTCATTTTGGATTCATCTCGTGCACTGTGCAATATGCAGTGGCTCTTCAGAGCCAGCACAATGGAGGTGACCCTTCTCCCCGTGCACCTTCCAGAGATTAACACGTAAACAAAGAAATAAACACAGATTCCAACTGTGATGCATGTGGTGAAGAAAGAACTGGGGCCCAGTATTTGTTGACCTTTCAGTGTTCTGCACTCCCAAGGGAGGGCCACGTGGTGGGGATGGAACACAGGCATGGACAGTACGTACCTTCCTCCTTTAGCAAACAGGGATGATGGGCGCCTGTGATTAGTCCACACAAAAGCATTCGGGAGGGTATAACACTCAAATGTAATATTAGTGGCGTGGCAAGATTCTTCCGCATTGATGACCATTAGTGTGCTATTTTTGTTTTCTCTATGAAGAAGAAAATTAAAATTTTTTTCATTGCATTTGGTAGCACTTTACTTTTTTTTTTTTTTCTTGAACAGTGTTAGGTTTACAGAAAAAATTGAACAAAAAGTACAGAGTTCCCGTCTAACCTCTTACCTCTTTCAATTTCCCATGATTAACATCTTGCTTTGGTGAGGTACATTTGTTACAATAAATGTGGTAATACTGATACATTATTATTAACTGAAACGTGTAGTGTACACTTAGGGTTGGATCTTGGAGGTGTAGGTAGTGTGGACTTCAACCAATGTGTAAGGACATGTGGGGAGAATAATGGCTTTGCTGCCTTCAAAATCCCCTGCAATCCATGTCCTCATCCTTCCTGTTCCACGCCCAAATCCCTGGTCTTTTTACTGTCTCCATAGTTTGGCCTTTTCCAGAATGTCATAGATGTAGTTGGAACCCTGCAGTAAGTAGCCCTTTCAGACTGGTTTCCTTCCCTTTGCCAGCTCTGTTTTTTTTTTTTTTTTTAACTGCTCCTTGCAGAGAAGGGTTGCCCCATAGGCAGGGTGCCCAGAGTAGCCTCATTTTTCTTTTAATTAATTTAATTTTTTTTTTTTTGGTAGAGATGGGATTTCACTATTTTGCTCAGGCTGGCCTTGAACTCCTAGCCTCAAGTAATCCTTCCACCTCGGTCTCCTAAAATGCTGGGATTACAGGCATGAGCCATCCTGCCCAGCCTTACTAGCTCATTTTTTTTATCACTGAATTCTGTTCCATCGTATGAATATATGGTACCATATTTTGTTTATTCACCTGATGAAGGACATCTTGGTTGTGTCCAAGTTTTTGCAATTATGAATAAATATTTAGTCAACATGAGTGTGCCGGTTCTTGAATAGAGATAACTGTTCAGTTTATTTGCATAAATGTTCAGTTCATTTGCATATACCAAGGAATGTGATTGCTGGATCCTTTGGTAAGAGTATAGTCAACTTTGTAACAAACTACCTTCCAAAGTGGCTGGGCTGGTTTTTTTTTTGAACAGAGTCTTGCTCTGTCACCCAGGCTGGAGTGTGGTTGTACAGTCACGGCTCCCTGCCACCCTGAGCTCTGGGGCTCAAGCCATCCTCCCATCTCAGCCTCTCGAGGAGCTGGGACTGTGGGCATGTGCCCTCACGCCTGGCTAAACATGTTTTTATTTTTCATAGATACAAAGTCCCACTGTGCTACCCAGGTTGGCTGTACTGTTTTGCAGTGCTTGAGGGTTCCCTGTTGAAAATTTTTTATTTTTCATAGATACAGAGTCCCACTGTGCTGCCCAGGTTGGCTTTATTTTTATTTATTTATTTATTTTTTTAAAATCTGGGACGGAGTCTCGCTCTGTTGCCTAGGCTGGAGCACAGTGGCATGATCCTGGCTCACTGCAACCTCTGCCTCCCGGGTTCACGCCATTCTCCTGCCTCAGCCTCCTGAATAGCTGGGACTACAGGTGCCTGCCACCATGCCTGGCTAATTTTTTGTATTTTTAGTAGAGACGGGGTTTCACCATGTTAGCCAGGATGGTCTCGATCTCCTGACCTCGTGATCCTCCCGCCTCGGCCTCCCAAAGTGCTGGGATTACAGGCGTGAGCCACCGCGCCTGGCCGGCTGGGCCATTTTACAGTGTTTGAGGTTCCTGTTGCCGCACATCCTCACTAGCATTTGGTGTTGTCAGTGTTTTGGATCTGGGCTGTTCTAACAGGTGTGTAGTAGTATCTTGTTGTTTTAATTTGCAATTCCCTAATTACATATCATGTTGGACATCTTTTCATTGGCTTGTTTGCCATTTGTATATCTTCAGTGAAGTGTCTGTTGTTTGTTTTCTTATATTTTACAAAATAGTGTTTTTCTATTTATAATCTTATTTATTGTCTCTGACTTATCTGAAAGGAGAAGGAAAAAAGATTATGTGCGTACATGGGATGACTGATGATATGGTTTGGCTGTGTCCCCACCCAAATCTCATCTTGCATTCCCACCTGTTGTGGGAGAGACCCGGTGGAGGTCATTGAATCATGGGGGCGGGTCTTTCCCGTGCTGTTCTCATGAGAGTGAATAAGTCTCACGAGAGCTGATGGTTCTGTAAGGGGGAGTTTTCCTGCACAAGCTCTCTCTTTGCCTGCTGCCGTTTATGTAAGACGTGACTTGCTCCTCCTTGCCTTCCACCATGATTGTGAGGCTTCCCCAGCCACGTGGAACTGTAAGTCCATTAAACCTCTTTCTTTTGTAAATTGCCCAGTCTTGGGTATGCCTTATCAGCAGCGTGAAAACGGACTAACACAACTGGGACGGGAAAAGGCCCCAAACACACATAGTTCTGTCTAGCAAAGAGTACTATGAAGTGTTGAGAAGTTGGACTATGCTTGTGGTTAAGAGCTTATGCTTGGAGTTCAAATCCTGGGCCTTTGTCGCTTACCAGCTGTCATTTACCTCTCTGAGCCTCAGTTTGCTCACCTGTACAATGGGGTTGTTAAAACCTGCCTCATAGGGTTACTTTGAAAGATAAAGGAGATGATTCCATAAGCACTTGGAACTAAACCTTGCAAATGGTAAGCCCTCAATGGTGGTTCTCCTAATTGATCATTGACAGACAAACCTTTCACCTCCCCCATGTGACATTTTGTGTTTCCCTTATGTCCTGGTCTTCGAGACTCAGAGCCCACTGGCATCCCATTTGTCCTTACAGTGCAAAGTCGGGGTGTGTGTGCAGGTGGGGAGCAGGCATGCCCCAGCAGGGTGTGCGGGCAGATGGGGCAGTTGGGGAGCACGCTTGCCTCAGCAGGGTGTGCATGCAGATGGGGAGCACGCGTGCCCCAGCAGGGTGTGCACGCAGATGGGGAGCACGCGTGCCCCAGTAGGGTATGCACGCAGATGGGGAGCACGCGTGCCCCAGCAGGGTGTGCGCGCAGATGGGGAGCACGCGTGCCCCAGCAGGGTGTGCGTGCAGATGGGGAGCACGCGTGCCCCAGCAGGCACCCACTTCTCAGCCTCAGGGCACTGCTCCTAGCCTCCTCTCACTTGCCCCAGGACTCAGTTCTCTAGCCAGTCCTGGGTGGCTGTTTCTGTTTCTCCAAGCCTGGCTATACAGGCGTAGAAACCCCAGGGATTCCCCCTTCCAGCTTCTCTGAGGATGAACCCCCCGGTGGTTTTGTTTGAGGAAGTTCCTGCTAATGGCAATGAGAAGTTAGAGAGGTGGGAAAGTGACCAGGCAGATGGAGTCCTCACAGCAGTGGCTGTAGACTTGCCAGCTACTGCCACCTTTGCAGATGGGATTTAGGGTGTTCTGTTTGTTTGTTTGCCTTTGAGACAGGGTCTCACTCTGTAGCCCAGCCTGGAGTGCAGTGGCACGATCATGGCTCACTGCAGGCTTAACCTCCCCAGGCTCAGGTGACCCTCCTACCTCAGCCTCCCAAGTAGCTGGGATTACAGGTGTGTGTCACTGAGCCCAGCTAATTTTTTCTGTGTGTGTGTGTGTTTTCAGAGACAAGGTTTCACCATGTTGCCCAGGCTGGATTCAAACTCCTGGGCTCAATCGATCCTCCCGCCTTGGCCTCCCAAAATGCTGGGATTACAGGCCAGGATGGTTTTTGATTTGGCCTCACCAACGGGCCTCCTGCCTCTCTCAGCAAGGCCAGGTGGCCTTTCCCCTCATGCTGATTCCTCTTCCCAGTATATACACTTTCTATTCATCAGGTCTCCTGCCCAGATATGAGCCCCTCTGGGCATTTCCCCCAATACAGAAGAGGATGATGATGAGAATAGTGATGACTGATGGTGACAATGTCTGATGGAGGTGAATATGATGATGTAACAGTGATTGTGATGATAGTGATGATGGTGATGGTGATTGACAATGATGGTGATGATTATAGTGATGGTGGTAACTGAGATGACAGTGATGGTGGTGATGATGACTGATGGAGGTGAACATGGTGATGATGTAACAGTGATTGTGATGATAGTGATGATGGTGATGCTGATTGACAATGATGGTGATGATGAGGGCGATGATAGTGGTGTTGGTGATGATGATGGTGATCATGATGATGGTGATGATGATAGTGATGATGGTGGTGGTGACACAGATGACAGTGATGGTGATGATGATGTGGGTGATGGTCATGATAGTGGTGATGATGTCTGATGGTGGTGATGGTGATGATGATGTGGGTGATGATGGTGATGATGTCTGATGGTGGTGATGGTTATGATAGTGGTGTTGGTGATGATGATGGTAATAATGATGACGGTGATGGTGATGGTGATGATTATAGTGATGGTGGTGGTAACCGAGATGACAGTGATGGTGGTGATGGTGACTGATGGAGGTGAATATGATGATGATGTAACAGTGATGGTGATGATAGTGATGATGGTGATGATGATGAGGGTGATTATAGTGGTGTTGGTGATCATGATGGTAAAAATGATGATGGTGATGATGACAATGTCTGATGGTGATGATGACTGGAGGTGAATATGATGGTGACAATGATGGTGATAGTGATGACGATGATGACAGTGGTGACGATGATGATGGTGATGATGGGGGTGATGATAGTGATGATGGTGGTGATGACAGAGATGACAGTGATGGTGATGGTAATGATGATGACTGATGGTGATGATGGTGAATATTATGATGATGATGGTGATGATGAGGATGGCCATGATGGCCCTACCCTGAGAATGCACACTGTGACAGGCTTTGTGCTGGTTGTGTTACCTACACCACCTCTATCAGGTTTTCTCAACTCCAGTGCTTTGGCGTTTAGGCTGGATAACTCTGTCATGGGGGCTGTTTTGTGCCTCAGGGATGTTTAGCAGCATTCCTGGCCTCTACCCACTGGATGGATAGTAGTCAATAGCACCCGCAACTATGTCTCCAGATATTTCCAAATGTCTCTTGGGGGACAAAATCACTCCGATTCAGAACCACCGGTTGAATTTATTCTTCCCAATAGCCCCAGGAGGCAGCTACTCATTTATAGATGATGCACCCAAGCCTTAGAGAAATGAAGGAAGTTGCCCAAGGTCACCAAGCTCATAATTCGCAGCCAGAATGCAAACCTCAGATACGCGACCCTGAGCCCAGACCTGTAACCACTGCCCTTTGTCACCTGTCAGAAGAAGAGAATTCATCAGCCTGCTGGCAGGGCTACCTGGAGTGCGTGACAGGGTTGAGCGCCTGCTTTGTCAGTCCCAGCATCCCTTGCCAGATTCATTTGGAGCTAATAAAAGCAGTGGCTCTGCCCATTTTCTGACTTGGTTTGAACTCAGAGAGCTGAATGTGTTTACGTAGAGACTGACTCCACAGCCCTCAGTCCTGTGCCACGATAGGGAAGTCCTGCATCTTCTGCTTCCCTGAGGCAGCCATGTCACCTGGTGTGTCGCCTGTGGACACCTGTGGGGAGCAGGAACAGGCATGGATGTGTTTTTTTGCAAGTGGGACCTTGCAAGGTCATTGTCTGTGTCCTCCTAATGTTGTGAACCTGGTTTCTACAGGTTGAATGCCCAAAATACCTACTTGTAATTTTACTTTTATAATAATTTATTATGAATAATTAAAAACATGCAGCAAAGTGGAACAAATGTTATAGTGAAACTTACATGCCTGACATTTGGATTCCATCACTAACAATTTCCTTGATCTGTCGTGGTGTTTCTTGTTTTTGGAACCCAGATTAGCATCATGTCTGGCTGGTTGGTCAATGAGACTCTATAAATTCTCTATGAGGAGAATAAATTAATAACATATTAATTTGGGATAGATGGTCTTCATTCACCAGAGTAATGGGGGATGTCATGGATGACCTTCTAATCACCATCACCAATCATCACCACATACAGAAACCCTATTCCCTTTTGCTGTCCCCCTTCCCTGACCCCAACAAGCCCTAGGCAACCACTAATCTACTTTCTGTCTCTATAAATTTGTCTATTCTGAACATTTTACATAAATGGGATCATATATGTGGTTTTTTGTGACTGGCTTCTTTTAACAGATTTTCAAGGTTTGTCTGTGTTGTAGCATGAATCGATACTTCATTCCTTTTTATAGCCAAATAATATCCTTTTGTGTGGATACACCATATTTTGTTTGTCCTTTTCCCAGTTGATGGACATTTGAGTTGTTTCCCCCTTTGGCTATTGTGAATGGTGCTGCTATGAGCATTGGTGTACAGGTTTTAATTTGAACACTTGCTTTCAATTCTTTTGGGTCTATACCTGGGAGCGAAATTGTTGGGTCAGATGATAATTGTGTGTTAACTTGTTGAGGAACTAAACTGTCTTCCATAGTGGCTGCACCATCTCCATTCCCACCAACAAGATACAAGTGTTCCAGTTTCTCCACATCCTCACGAACACTTGTTATTTTTCATATTTTTTAGTGTAGCCATCCTAGTGGATGTGAAGTGGTATCTCATGGTGGTTTTGATTTGTATTTTCCTGATGGTTAACAATATTGAGTCTTTTTTCATGTGATTTTTGGGCATTTGCGTATCTTCTTTGGGGAAATGTCTTTTCAAATCCTTTGCCCATGTTTAAATGGAATTGTCATTTTGTTGTTGAGTTGTGAGAATTATTTATATAGTGTAGATACTAGACCCTTATGAGATATATGGTTTGCAAATATCTTCTCCCATTCTATGGGCTGTCTTTTCACCTTCTCGATAGTGTCCTTTGATGGACAAAGTTGTAAATTATGACAGATTTACAAATTACGATAAAGTCAGCCAGGCACAGTGGTGTATGCCTGTCATCTCAGCTATCTGGGGGGCCGAGGTGGGAGGACAACTTGAGCCCAGGAGTTTGAGATGAACCTAAACAGCACGGCATTACCCCGTCTCAAAAAAATTATGATAAAAAATCCAATTTGTCTCTTTTTTCTTTTGGTGTGTATGGTGTCATCTAAGAAATCATTGCCAAATCTTAGATGACACCAAAATGTAGATGACACCTATTTTTTGGTGTCCTCTAAGAAATCACTGCCAAATCTGAAGTCATGAAAATTTACCCTGACATTCCTTATACGAATTTCATAGTTTTAGCTCTTGCATTAGGTTTTGATCCGTTTGAGTTAAATTTTGCAATGGTGTGATGTCAGGGTCCACGTCATCCTTCTGCAGGTGGCTCTGCACTTGTCCCAGCAGATGTTGTTGGAAGGACTGTTCTTTCTCCGTCGTATGGTCTCGGCATCCTTGTTGAAAGTCAGTTGACCACGGATGTATGGGTTTATTTCTGGGCTCTCAGTTCTATTCCAGTGCCACAGTTTTCAGTACCATATGGGCAGGAGGCATCCTGCTCTGAGGGAGTGTTTGGTCCAGTAGGAGAGGTCAGACACGTTCACCAGAAACTGCGAAGTTCTGGGAAGAGGTAAAAACAGTGTGCTTATGAGGACGAGGCAGCGATTGCTTCAGCCCTGGGCAGTAAGTGTGGATGTGGGGAGACCTGGGCAGGGGCAGTGAGTGTGGATGTGGGGAGGCCTGGGAGGGGGCAGTGAGTGTGGATGTGGGGAGACCTGGGCAGGGGCAGTGAGTGTGGATGTGGGGAGGCCTGGGAGGGGGCAGTGAGTGTGGATGTGGGGAGGCCTGGGTGGGGGGCAGTGAGTGTGGATGTGGGGAGGCCTGGGAGGGGGCAGTGAGTGTGGATGTGGGGAGGCCTGGGTGGGGGGCAGTGAGTGTGGATGTGGGGAGGCCTGGGTGGGGGGCAGTGAGTGTGGATGTGGGGAGGCCTGGGAGGGGGGCAGTGAGTGTGGATGTGGGGAGGCCTGGGTGGGGGGCAGTGAGTGTGGATGTGGGGAGGCCTGGGTGGGAGGCAGTGAGTGTGGATGTGGGGAGGCCTGGGTGGGGGGCAGTGAGTGTGGATGTGGGGAGGCCTGGGCCCAGGGCAGTGAGTGTGGACGTGGGGAGGCCTGGGTGGGGGGCAGTGAGTGTGGATGTGGGGAGGCCTGGGAGGGGGGCAGTGAGTGTGGATGTGGGGAGGCCTGGGTGGGGGGCAGTGAGTGTGGATGTGGGGAGGCCTGGGTGGGGGGCAGTGAGTGTGGACGTGGGGAGGCCTGGGTGGGGGGCAGTGAGTGTGGACGTGGGGAGGCCTGGGTGGGGGGCAGTGAGTGTGGATGTGGGGAGGCCTGGGTGGGGGGCAGTGAGTATGGATGTGGGGAGGCCTGAGCCCGGGGCAGTGAGTGTGGATGTGGGGAGGCCTGAGCCCAGGGCAGTGAGTGTGGATGTGGGGAGGCCTGGGCCTGGGCATGAGGTATGACACCAGGTGTGTGTTTGTCTGGAGACAAATTTGGCAAGGCACGGTGGAGTCTGTGGATGGCCATGAACTCCCAGCTGAGGACCCTGGGCTTGATTTTGAGGTGTTTGGGTGGAGCGGGGCCTTTGGAGAGCCTGTCTGATGGCAGGATTGGCCGGGTCTGAGCTGGGGAGCCTGGAGCCAGGGGGACCCCTTAGGACTATGGGGTGACTGAGGAGGTCTGGGTGACACCTGGTTCAGGCAGTGGGTCTGGTGGGGAGCAGGGGCTGTCTTTGAAAATGCCCCAGGGCTCAGACACCAGCTCCTTTGTGCCTCTGCTCTGAGGGCCTAGGCTGGGACAACAGTGGCACTGAGGGCTGGTGACTGAGGTCCCACAGGTCCCAGCCCCTGCCTGCTCCGGGAAACAGCCAGCCCGTCTCCTCTGCAATCCCCTTCAGGCTGCCCCGGCCCAGTTCTTCTCAGAACTCCCGTTTGGCCAATTACTGCGCGACTTACAGTTTCTGGGAACTCTGTGCTCCCCGCTGCTGGGTGTGTGGCAGGTGCTCGGAGAATACCCGGCTCATTGCTTTCGTTAGGCACCTGTAGGCACCGCACCTGCAACCCGACGCCTTGGGAGGAGGAGGGGGATAGAAAGCACCTGGGCTCAGCCCAGCTCCGTTGGGCCAAACTGGGCACCTGGTGCCAGCTTATGGGGCCTTGGGCACGTGGCTGCCCCTCTCGAGCTGGTTTCTTCTTTTCTGAAAGGAGTGATGATCACGTCGTCCTCTGGGGCTTGTGATGATTCCAGTTGGTCAGCCAGTGGCGGGCACCTGGCAGGTGGGCAGCACCCATGGAGGCGGCTTCTTCCTCTCCCAGTTTGGTAGTGCAGGGTCAGGCTGGGCACGTGTAGGGATGTTTGTTAACTTGGGGGCCCCTCCTAGAGGCCCTGAAAACTCCTAGCTAAGTGCCAGTGGTTCTGTCTGACCCTTCCCCCTGCCTGTCTTCTCTGTAGCAAGCCATGTTCTGGGGTGGCCCCCACTGTTGCCTGAGCCCTCCGCTGGCCCTCTTATGGGCATTCTCACTTATTTGGGGTCTTAGCCTCTGCCAGGAGAATGGGTAGTGTGCAGAGAACCGGACAGCTTGTTCCCAGGCAGGGCAGTGCCTAACCCTGGAGTTGCAACAGAGAAACGCCTGTTTGTGTTTCTGTGAGCAAGAGGAGACAGCTGGGCCCACAGATAGCAGGCGAGGTCAGCCGGGGATGGCCTTGGCTGCTGGCTGTAAGCAAACCCTGGCTCTGGTGAGGTGAGGGGAGGAAGGTTGGAGAAGTACCTGGCAGGACCCGCGGAGAGCCACCTGGGAGCTGGAGTCTGGGCTGGGCCGTGCAGAAGCTGCTGGCGGAGGCAGGGGTGTGGGACGCTGCCCCCCGGGGCCTGGAGCACCGCCCTCAGCACACCTGAGGACTGGGCCTTTTCCAAGCGGGTGAGGAGGGTTGAGGCTTCTTTTTCCCTAGAAGCTTCTCTGCTTCATGGAGAGGTTTCTCTTGGGCTCCTTCAACAAGCAGTTCCCAGGTGGGAGCCGAAATCAGGTTTCCTCTGCAAAGATTCTGCCTGCCTGGGACTTTCCAGACCCACATACATCACGTAAATGGAAGCAGGCCTGCGTTTCTGCATTAAAAGACAAATAGCATGAATGCTCGATACTGCCCGTCCCAAGCCAGGTGCCCGGCAGCCTGGGAGCACTTGGGCATTTTCTGGGCAGAGAGTGCTCAGGGGCCACAGGTACCTACGTATTATTCTGGTCACGTTTGCAGTAAGTTTGAATTTCATTTTCTCTTCTCTCTTTCTCTCTCTCTCTGTGTGGTTACCCTGTAAATTTTTTTTTTTTTTTTGAGACAGGGTCTTGCTCTGTTACCCAGCTGGAGGGCAGTGGTGCAATCATGGCTCACTGCAGCCTCCGTCTCCTGGGCTCAAGTGATCCTTCTCAGCCTCCTGAGTATCTGAGACTACAGGTATGTGCCACCATGCCCAGCTAAGTTTTAAATTTTTTGTAGAGACAGGGTCTTGCTCTGTTGCCCAGGCTGGTCTCGAACTCCTGAGCTCAAACGATCCTCCTGCCTTGGCTTCCCAAAGTGCTGGGGTTACAGGTGTGAGCCACCACGCCCAGCCTGGTTTCCCTGCTGTCACCACCTTCAGCTCTGTGACTGCCTTGATACAGCAGTTCCACCTACACTGTTTCAGGCCTTTCAGAAAAGACAAAAGCAAGCTATGCCTCTGGGGACACGTAGGCAGAGCTGTGGCTGTTAAAATCTGAGGGCTGGCACTTGAGATGGGGGAGAAGTAGGTTATTTCACATCTCATTTGCATTGGAGGCTTTGCAGAGTGTTTCTGCCTGGGAATGAGAACAGCGTCAGATGAAGAGACGAGCAGGGATTTGGGGTCCACTGGAGCGGGAGTTGCCAGTCATTAAAGATGCCCAAGGATTTACTTTCCAAGGTTAAAAAAGACCCACAGGATTAAGTGAAACCTCCTACGTGTGCCCCATGAGGGGCCTTGCCGGGGTACAAAAAAAACCCCTGCCCAGCCCTCGAGCAGCGAGACTGAGCGGCTGGGCACGGGCCTGGTGCCTCGTCAGCACCCAGCGTGTGTGTGTTGAATGAACGAGGCCAAGGAAACTGAGAGGTGCCGCTGTTGGTCCTGCCGAGGACAGGAGCAGACGCTTAGCTCTGTGACCAAGTTGGGGTGCCTCCTGGACGGGGTCCTGGGTGGCATGTCCAGGATTGCTGCTCCTCAAAGCACACAGGCAAGAAAGGCTGCAGGAGTCTTAGCAGGGGCTGGAGGGTCCGTAGAGAGCCCGTGTGTGGCAGAGGGAAAGAGGCAGGTTAAGGAGGCCAGCGAGGCTGAGCCTTATGCCGTGAGGCGGTTTTTAAGATAAAATTTTGTTGGCAGGCTGGGTGTCGTGGCGTACTCCCATAGTCCCAGCTACTTGGGAGGCTGAGGCAGGAGGATCATTTGAGCCCAGGAGTTTGAGACCAGCCTGGACAACAGAGCAAGACCCTGTCTTTACCAAAAAATTAAAAAATTAGCCAGGCGTGTAGTTCTAGCGACTTGGGAGGCTGATGCGAGGATCACGGGAGCCGAGGAGTTGGAGGCTGCAGTGAACTGTGACTGTGCCACTGCACTCCAGCCTGGGCAACGGAGCAAGACCCTGTCTCAAAAAAAAAAATTATTGGTGCGTAACCGATGTACGTAGTTCCAGTGAGTGGCAAACTCTTGACGGTTAAATTAGTCCCCTGAAGGGGTACTGGACCCACCATGTCTGGGCATCGGGGTAACAGGTAAATGCCCCCGAGGATGCGGGCGGAATGAAATGCTGACGGGAGGGCGGTGGGCTCAAGCCGAATGGGAGCCTGATGGGAGGAGCTGGAGAATTCCCAGGGGAGGTGGTGCTGGGCCACCCCCAGGTGGAGGAGGTAGACAGCGTGAACCAAAGGCGTTCCAGGTGAGAGGGTGCCGGAGACAAGGCTGGGCGGCTGCAATGCCTCAAGGTCCTGGTGGCTGGAGCACCAGTTTTGCAGAGGGGTGGCTGGCAGAATGCAAGGGTGGTTTGTGCCAGATCATGGACGGCCTTGAGGGCAGCTAGGGCTTGTTTCCTTAGTAGTGGGGAGCCACCGAAGGTTTCTGAGCAGGGGAATCACACGGCCTGACCTGGGCTGTAAGGATGGTCTCTCTGGCTGTACGTGAAGAGGGGCAACGGGGAGCCCCAGCAGGTTCCAAGGCAGATGAGGAAGATTTGCCACGGTCTGGGCAAGAGAGGAGGAGCATCGGAGCTGGGAGGAGGGGGAGCCGCCCCGAGCAGGCAGACCTGGCAGGGTGCCCGGGGGCGGTGGAGTTTGAGGGAGGTTTGTCAGGCACTGGTTTCCCCGGGGCTCCTGCTTCAACTCTGGAATCCACTCGAGCCCGCTTGGTGCATAGTCAGCCTGCAACGCTTCCGAGTGAGTGGTTCTTTGGGCGTTTAGACAGGCCTTTGAGGCTCCCTCTCTGAGTCTTTAATCCTCCCAGCGCCGCCTGACAGGTGGAGGAAATGTTGACGTCTGGGCTCACCTTATCTTGCTGCCCTCCTCGTGTTTCCCGTGTCATAGTAACAGAGCAGATGTCAGAGCTGTTGCTAAGGGTCCCCTCGGATATTAATACCTTGTGTTGGACGAAGGGCTCCCACACAGTGTCTTCGAGGCCTCGGGAAGCACCGGCTCGGTGGCAAGTATTCTTTTATGTTTGTCCCAGCTTCTTTTCCCTCCTCTAAACCCCATCTCCTCCCTGTCGCCCTGGCCTAGGCACAGCGCCCAGTGGGATGGCACACTCTGCAGCAGCAAATGTGCAGCCGTTCTCCCTCCACGCCGGGGGCAGACGTGACTAACAGATCACAGCATGCTTTCCTACGGAGGCTGGAGGCAGCCTCCAGCCCCTTTTCAACCCAGCCCTCTGGGCGCCAGCTCAGATTTAGCACTTGGGATGAAGCCTCTCTTCCAGCCCTGCAGGCGCCACCTGCGAAGCCTCCAGGCCCTCTCCACGGGGTACTTCCTCTGGCACCTGGGAGGGGAGGGGAGTGGGTTTTGCTTGCCTCTTGTGTCTCCTGTTTGCCTCCCTCGTCTGGTCTTTTGGCCTTTCCACCACAAGTGGAAAATCAAACTGAATAGTTCTGGACATTGAGGTCAGGGTTGGGATTTTATCAGCCAGATGCCATTTTTATCCGTTATATATTGCTGGGGTAACACTGCATGACAAGCATACCTGTCCAAACGTGGGGGCTCACGACCACCATTTATTACCCCTCCTCAGTCTACGGGCCGGCCGGGCGGTTCTGCCACTCTTGGCCGGGCCGTGCATTTCATTCTAAGCATCGTGATGCAGCGGCTCAGAGGGCACCAGCCACCCCTGGTGTGGAAAATGCACTTGAGCCCTCTCTCTGTGGCCGACACCAACTGGCGTCCTGCAGCGCTGGTGTTGGCCTTCGCACGTGGGTGTCCTAGGCACAGCGACTTCCCCCAGCCCCTCCGTCCGCCGCCTCCTTCCCACTGTTCACCCTGCATCATTTCCTTTATTCTCACCATAGAGATAGTCTCACCCGGACACCTGCACCCTCATACCCGGGCCCCCTTTGTCACAGTCGCTCGGGGGTCACAGTGTGGCTGTGCTCTTGGGAATGCGTCCCCAGCCAAGCATATCTGCTGGTCTCAGGAGCTCGGGTATGCTGCCCACGCTCACCGTGGGTCGGACCCTGTGGCTGGATGAAAGCGCGCTCGTTCGTGCCACACCCTAGGAGTCTGAAGCCTCAGTTATATCAGTGAACGTGTCCCTGAAACAAGATCGAAGAGGTGAAAATGCCAGGGTGTAAGGTGGGGAGCGATCACAGCCCTGGAAGAAGGAGGAGCCGCACTTGCTGGGGTGGTTGCCTTGTCCCTGTCCCTGTCCCTCCGCAGTGGATGGGCTGGCCCTGGGGGAAGGCGTGGGGAGAAGGAGCCGCACTTGCTGGGGGTGGTTGCCTTGTCCCTGTCCTTGTCCCTGTCCCTCCACAGTGGATGGGCTGGCCCTGGGGGAAGGCGTGGGGAGAAGGAGCCGCACTTGCTGGGGGTGGTTGCCTTGTCCCTGTCCTTGTCCCTGTCCCTCCACAGTGGACGGGCTGGCCCTGGGGGAAGGCGTGGGGAGAAGGAGCTGCACTGGGTGGGGTGGTTGCCTTGTCCCTGTCCTTGTCCCTGTCCCTCCACAGTGGATGGGCTGGCCCTGGGGGAAGGCGTGGGGAGAAGGAGCTGCACTGGGTGGGGTGGTTGCCTTGTCCCTGTCCTTGTTCCTGTCCCTCCGCAGTGGATGGGCTGGCCCTCGGAGAAGGCGTGGGGAGAAGGAGCTGCACTTGCTGGGGTGGTTGCCTTGTCCCTGTCCCCCCGCAGTGGACGGGCTAGAGACTCCGTGGGTGTTTGCCGGGCTTCTCTGAGGCAGGTTGTTTTGCCTCCGGATATGTTTTTCAAAGTCTGATACGTGTTAGAGACAGACAGCTGCGGGCGGCTGTTGTTTTTCTCACTGTGCTGTGGCTGCTGAGAGTTTTGGAAGGTCAGGGTCGAGCCGCGGTTCTCCTGGAGTGATGACTATGCGCACTGCTTCCTAGCCTGTACGGGGATGAGCTCCCAAGGCCCGTTTACGGGACCCTGTAGTCGGGGCGGGGAACAGTCGGCTGGAGGGGTGTCATGTGACCGGCCCCAGCCACTGGTCACTCAGGGCTCTCAAGCCAGTGCTGGCTTTACCAGCTTCTGAGCCCACAAATGCTGTTAAGGAGATAGAAGCCTTCTTTTAAGTAGATGCAACTGTTTGCAAAGAAGAGGCCCTTTATTTTATTTTATTTATTTATTTTTTTGCGAATAGAGGATCGTCTGCCTTATTGAAACCATCTAATTGGAGATCCGCAGATTAGGCTACCAAGACACAGCTGCCTCCAGCAGAATTTGTGTAGTGGACACTTGTACGTGCACTTTGGAGACAGCAAGCATGAGGCCTGCAGCTGACAGCTTTGAGTGGCTGTGAACCTGACTATGGAAAAGGTATCTCAAAAAATACACTGAAAAAATGCACTTCATTTCCCTTTTGGGAACTTATCCTAAGGCAGTCGTCAGAGATTTATCTGCCAGGATGTCCATTTCAGTGCTGCATATAATCGAGCAAAATTGGAAACAATCCATGTGCTCCCAAACAGGAAGATGGTAAAACGTATTGTATTCAGAATACTAAGTTATAGTTTAAAATCATATTTTTAAAGAACTTTAATACTGTGGGAAAGCACAAGGTGGTTTAAAAAACCAGCAAGCAGCATATATAGTAAGAACCCAATTTTATTTAGAAACCAGCAAGCAGCGTATGCAGTAAGAACCCAATTTTATTACAATTTGTACATAAATGCCCAGGAAAAGTTGGAAGGTGCTACATTAAGGTGTTAAGAGTCGCCATGGGGGTGGCTGATGTGAGAATTTAAGGTGTTTTCTCTTTAGGATAAAATATCCTACCGCCCCCAGGAGTGACCACGTGAGGCTGCATAATGGCCGTCTCTGTGTCTGCAGTGATGTCTGCAGTGACGAACGCCCGGGGTGGTGAGCTCTAATGGCCTTCTCTGTGTCTGCAGTGATGTCTGCAGTGACGAACGCCCGGGGTGGTGAGCTCTAATGGCCGTCTCTGTGTCTGCAGTGATGTCTGCAGTGACGAACGCCCGGGGTGGTGAGCTCTCGACTTTAGAGAGAGAATTGCATCCTCCTGGAAGAAGGGGTTGTTTTTACCGATCTGTCTCAGGAAGTTGCCTGGGGCTGATGAGCCTCTGTCCCCTAGGAATTTTTCGGGAAATTATCACCGGCAACTCCTGTTCCGTTCCCTGTACCCCTCGGGTCCTCCTAGTCCCTGTACTGCGGGGTTTTACAAGGGTTCCGGAACATCTGCCTGCTGGGCCGGCCAGCCCGAGTGCTGCCTCTGCTCAGCGTGTGTCGCCCGGCGGGGTCGAGGTGGCACCAGGAGGTCTCAGCTTCCCAGAGGAGGCTCCTGGGGGCACCAGCCCCTCAGCAAGGAGCGAGCTCAGCCGTCAGGTGGAGCTGCCTTGAGGCCGACTACCCCGTGGGGAATCTTGAGGGACAAACGGCCTGTGAGTCAGCAAGTCGCAGAGCCTGGTTAGAGTCCAGCTGTCTGCTCTGAGCATGTCTGGGCTGTTTTCTGAATTCTTCCTTGTCTGGGAAAGCCACATCTCTCTGATGAAATACAGTTGAATTAAATGGATATTCCCTGAGCACCTACTTTGCAGCAGGCTCTGTGTGGGCATCAGGAAGGGAGGGAAGGAGGAGGATGTAGGGACCCTCTAGGGCACCCAAGGTCCAGCAGGGAAGGAGAAATGGAAATTTCATGTCGATAGAACTGAACACTTCTGGGCGGGCTCCTGGGTGGATGCCCACCCTCTCCACGAGGGGCTTGCCTTCCCCATCAGCAGCCTTGACCTATGTGCTCATTGAATATGCTCCTGTACACACACACGCGCACACACACACGCTCCTCCTTCCCCAGCCTCTTACCTGTCCCAGCTGGTAGGACCTCAGAGACAGACCTGGCCCTGGGGATCACGTCTCTAGTTTACGGAGGAAGTGGCCAGAGCTCCACCAGCCCTGTCCACAGAACCTCCTGTGTCTGCTCCCCGCAGAGCTCCACCAGCCCTGTCCACAAAATCTCCTCCGTCTTCTCCCCGCAGAGGTCCATCAACCATGTCCACAAAACCTCCTGCCTCTGCTCCCCCCAGAGCTCCACCAGCCCTGTCCACAGAACCTCCTGCCTCTGCTCCCCAGGCCAATTCCATCCTCCCTCCTGAATTTGGGGGTTTGCCTTCCCTGCTTTTCCACTCACCTTCTATAAGGCCCTATTTTGTTCCCTCATCAGTTTAATTTTTGTCCAGGACAAATGGTCATACCTGAGTACAAGGGCGCAGTCTGTGTTTAATGCACAGGGCACTGCTCTCTGGAGTTTTCAGGACCCTGCTTTTAAGAGAGAAGGGTCAGACTTTCTGCCCTCTGAGCCCAAGAGGTGAGTGCTGAGTGGTGGCGAGCATAGTTTACCCACTGGTGAAGGGGGTGCCGGGCATGGGGGTCGGCTGATGAGGCCCTCCTTGCTGCCGAGTCAGGGAGCCTCTGCATGCTGACGAGGTTTGGAGAATCGAAACTGGCTCCGTGGGCAGTTTCCTAAAATGTGCCTCCTCGAGTTGCCCTTCCTCTCCCACCATCTGTCCCGAGGTTGCTCCGTGCGAGTGAAGGACAGCTGTGCCTTCTGAGGTGCCAGCCACGGCCAGGGTGGGGGTGCACAGCCGTCCCAGAGCCGGGGCCTGAATTCTCCTGGGTCCTCATGTCCGACCTTTGCTCAGGGCCACCCCTGTGAACGTGGTCAGCCACAGACTTGCCATCAGTGATGAACCTGCCCTGGCGCTGCCCGTGGCCCCAGCTCTGGAGGCGACATCCTTCCGTCTCCCTTGATCTCTGCAGCATTTGGCTCTTTCCGTCTCCCTTCATCTCTGCAGCATTTGGCTCTGTGGCTCTTCTGCCCTGAAGCTACAGCAGTGAGAGGGGTGGGGACATGTAGGAAGCAGTTCTCGCGGCCTCCTCCTCTCTGTCCTGTGGACTGGGCTGGGGAGGGCTCAGTTCCCACCTCCCACGTGGGAGCAGCCAGCAGCCTGCCTGCTGGCTGCCTGCCTCCCTTGCCTCCCTCGCTTGCCTCCCTCGCCTCCCTCATGTAACTCAGCAGGGTCCAAATCAGGCATTGAAATTGCAGGAGGCGGTTGCTCCGGCCTGTCTCAAGCTCTGTTGGGTGCCGATGGGGAAACTGAGGCTCAGGAAGACAGTTGACTTGTTCCTGGACTTCTAGTAAGTTTACATAAAAGCCAAAATTTCACAGATCTTTTTTTTTTTTTTGAGATTATGTCTCGCTCTGTCACCCAGGCTGGAGTGTAGTGGCGCGATCTCAGCTCACTGCAACCTCCACCCCCCAGGTTCAAGCGATTATCCTGCCTCGGCCTCCCGAATAGCTGGGATTACAGGTGCGCGCCATCACGCCTGGCTAATTTTTGCATTTTTAGTGGAGACGGGGTTTCTCCATGTTGCCCAGGCTGGTCTCAAACTCCTGAGCTCAAGGGATCCACCCACCTGAGTCTCCCGAAGTGCTGAGATTACAGGCGTGAGCCACCCCGTGTGGGCTGTAGTATATTTTAGTGTTTACTTTGAAAAGAATAATGCTTTGTACACCCATGTGGAGCAGTGTGACTGCACAAGATAACTGAAGTTTTTAAAAAGCAAAGCAAACCATAGTGCTCTAAAGGCTGGGATGGGGCACTGATTTAAAGTTGTTTGAGGACGGTATCATTTTTGACCTGTCTTTCCTTGCTTGTCCATTAGCCTCATCTGGGAGAAGATTGAGCCTCCATCTGAGGAGGTCCTGGGTGATCTGGGCCCGGCCATGGGATTTCCACGCTTGGCTGTTTGGGGTCTGGGGCTGCCCAGGTCTCTTTGCTGAGGCAGCTCACTGGGGAGGGTCAGGTCTGATCTGGAAGAGCAGGTGCCTGGACATGTGCATGGGGTAGAGCGACCAGTGTGGTTAAGGTTGTGGCCTGGACCCTGTGTGGTCAGGCGGAGGCGGTCTGCATGTTACCTCTGCTGGTCATCATAGAAATGGGTGGCACTGGCCGAGAAAAGCAGTTCTCCAAGCTGGGCCCAGGCCTCTCTGGGGGTCCCCCAACACCCTCCGGAGATCCACAGGTCAAAAGTGTTTCCATAAGAATAGTCATAGGACTCTGGGTTTTATCCTGTCACAAATGTACAGAAAAGGAGAAGTTCATTGATGTGGTTTCAGATGCCACATTTGAACTAATCTTTAAGAAATTACCATCTGTTGAGTTTGGGTGCAATATCAAAGAAAAATATTTACAATTTCTGGAAAGTAAAAAAAGTCCTCCTCTTTTCAGCCATCATACGTATTTGTGAGGGTCTGGATGTCCTTCAAGGACTTCAGCGAAACAACCTGCCACAAATGCGTGAATGAAAAATCAGATATGAAGGTCCAGCTGTTTTTTGTGAAGTCAAACATTAAAAAGAGTTGTAAAAATGTAAAACAGTGTCATTTGTCTAATTGCTTTGTAAGTGTAGTTTTTCATAAAATATGTAAATTATGTGAACGTCTAATGGGTTTATTATTTTTAATGAATTAACAACATTTTAAAGATTTTCTCAGTTTTAATTTCTAGTGTGGTAACTAGCAATGGTCATAGCCCATGTATTTTGGAGTTCTCAAGAATATATGTATATCTATATATTTTTTGAGACGGAGTTTCGCTCTTTTTGCCCAGGCTGGAGTGCAATGGCTTGATCTCGGCTCACTGCAACCTCCACCTCCAGGGTTCAAGCAATTCTCCTGCCTCAGCCTCCTCAGTAGCTGGGATTACAGGCACTCGCCACCACACCCAGCTAATTTTTTTTGTATTTTTAGTAGAGGCGGGGTTTCACCATATTGGCCAGGCTGGTCTTGAACTCCTGACCTCAAGCAATCCTCCTGCCTTGGCCTCCCAAAGTGCTGGGATTACAGGCCTCAGCCACCATGTCTGGCCTGTGAATGAGTTATAATTCATTTTTTTTTTCATGGTCTGTGTTTGTGCTGAAGTTGTAATTCACATGCCATAAAATTCACACTTTTAAAGGGTGCGATTCAGTGGTTTTAGTGTATTCTTGAAATGTGTGACCATCACCACTGTCTAATCCAGAACATTTTTACGACCCCAAAAAGAAGTCCTGAACCCACTGGGAGTCTGTTCCCCTCTTCCTGCAACCCCTGACAACCACTCCTCACCTTCCGTCTCTCTAGATTTGCTTATTCTGGACACACTGTATAAACGGAATCATACAATACGTGGTCTTTTATGACTGGCTTTTCTTACTTAGGATGTTTTAAAGATTCATCCATGTTGTAGCTGGTATTAGCACTTCATTCCTTTTTACGGCCAAATAATAATCCATTGTAAATCATACTCCATTGTAAATAATAATAATCCATTGTAAATAATAATCCATTGTAAATCATAATCCATTGTAAATAATAATCATCGTATGGATATAGCACATTTTCCTCATTCATCAGTTGATGGATATTTTCGTTGTTTCTGCTTTTGGCGGTCATGAATAGTGCTGCTAAGAACGTTTGTGTACAGGTTTTGGTGAGGACGTATGTTTTGGGTACTCTTGGGTGTGTAACTAGGAGTAGAGTTTCTGGGTCATATGGTAAGTCTGTGTTCAACATTTTGAGGAAGTGTCAAACGGATTTCGAACCTGGATCTTTTTTAAGAGTGTAAAGGGGCCCTGGGTTTGAGAACCACTGGCCTAGCTGGGATTAGACCAGGAGAGTGTGGATGGCTCAGGAGAGCCCCTCCTCCTTGCTCTGGGATTCAGATACCCTCGGCCTCATCCCACACTCCCTTCAGAATGCACGCGTGGCATCCTCAGACCACCAAAGACAATCCTGTCCTGGGAGGCAGGGAGAAAGCCGGCACACTAGACAGTGCACAGGTGAAGCCCTCAGGGGGTCCTGGAGCAGGGCCACCTCCCTGGGGGATCCCCAGGTGCCATTTTCATGGCAGTGTCTATGGACGGCTCCCCTTGGCATGGTGCTGGGTGGCAATCCTGGCTGTAGCTGCCACCCCCTGCCCTCTTGCCTGCCCTCGAGGGCATTGTGATCATCGGTGTGAGTCTGTTGGGAAGGAGAGCCAGGTCCCCAGGTTTGGGAAAGGAGTAGGGTTTCCCAGCCTGTCTGGCCATCACCCCCCAGCCCAGCCCCTCCTGCTGGGTGACGTGCTCAGTTCGGCCCCTGCTGTACTGGGAGGGGGCAGGGAGCAGATGGCCTCCAGGGTTGAGTTGAAAACTGCTAAGGGTGAGCCTCCTCTCTCCTTTCTGACTCTAACCTTTTGATGCCCTGCCAGTCATGTTCACTCTTGTCACTCGGCCACATGATCCACCTGGTCACCCTCCTAGAATCATGAGCCTTCTGAAGAGGAGCCTTGAGGGAAGAGTGTTTTGCTGGAGAGATGGTTCCCACAGTGAGATTCCAGGCATCAGTGGGGATCGTGCATGGAGATGGTGTGGAGGGGCCTGAGGGCACAGAGAACCTGTCTGCCATCTGTACCCCAGCCAATGATGCACACTCTTTCGTCTTCCCTCCTTCATCTCAGATGTGACTCCCCACCCCCAGCCGGGTGCTCCGAGCCATGGCCGACACCATCTTCGGCAGCGGGAATGATCAGTGGGTTTGCCCCAATGACCGGCAGCTTGCCCTTCGAGCCAAGTGAGTACCTCTGGGGCCCCCCAGGCCGTCCCTTCCTTCTGCCTCCCTGCTCCTCTCCTGTCTTCAGCAAGATTCATTCCCAGGGGCCCAGAAAGAGATGTTTGGAGAGAGGTGCCTGTCGGATGCATGCCACACTCCAGGCCCTGGACACAGCCATTCACTCATTTAACTACCATGCAGAATTTATCCCCATTTCCCTGATGAGCAAAGTGAGGCTGAGCTCCTTGCCCACATCACTTAACTTGTGGGTGGCAGGGCTGCAACCCACACCTGGGTCCAGCTGACTCCTTAGCCTGTGTGTCCTTTCTATCAACAGGCTGTAAGGGACCCACACCACCTCGTGTGCCTTCTCTCCTGTCACTGAGCTGTAGGACTGCAAGTCCCTTAAGACAGGGAGATTTTGATCTCTGGATGCCCAGTCATAGCCCAGTGCTTGGCACTGTCAGACGGGGGAACAAAAGTCTGTTGCAGTGGACGAGGCGCTGCCCCTGAGGCTGAAGCACAACCAGCCCCAAGCTGCCCCAGGGCCTTCTCTGTGCTCTCCTGAGAATCTCGCTAGTTCCTTGCTTCCAGTTTCTTCCCTTGGGGGTCCTGGCTTTCTTTTTTCTTGTCGCCCAGGCTGGAGTGCAATGGCACGATCTTAGCTCACTGCAGCCTCTGCCTCCCTGGTTTAAGCAATTCTCCTGCCTCCCGAGTAGCTGGGATTACAGGTGCCCACTACCACAATGGGCTAATTTTTGTATTTTTAGTAGAGACGGGGGTTTTACCATGTTGGCCAGGCTGGTCTCGAACTCCTGACCTCAAGTGATCCACCCGCCTTGGTCTCCCAAAGTGCTGGGATTACAGGCGTGAGCCACCGCGCCTGGCCCTGGTTTTCCTGCTGTCCCTCAGCCTAGTGACCTCTCAGCTCTGGGTAGGTCAGGCCATCTCCACCGACTGTGCACTGTGGCTGGAGATGGGGGTTCTCAGATGCCTTGCCTGCCTTCCAGTCCCTCGCTGTCCCTCAGAGGGGCTGGGCGTCTCTGGCATGTGATAAGTCCAAAAGGGCCCCTTCATCCTTCAACCCATGCCAATTACGGGAGCAAGCATTTCCCAAGTGGGACCAAATTAAAAAAAATTGCAATTAGATGTTATGAGCCTGCAGGGGACAGAGCTGAAACATCAAAGGGGGATGGAAAGATTAATTCGAAACGCCCCAGGAGAGCGGAGTCATGCGTGATTTGCAGGAATCTGCACCACAGTTAACTGGTCCCCTTCGCCAGGAGGGCTCGGCTCCTTCATGCGGCCCCCGCAGTGGGTGAGGTCGGTCCGTCTCCCTCTCTGTCCTCTGACGCCAGGCAGATGAAGTGTCCTCCCGGGCAGGGTAGGAGTTTCCAAGGAGAGCTCCGCCACTGTGCTCTCGACAGGGCCCAGCAGGACTCCTGACCCTCCAGGGTTCCCTTCAGCTCTCCCTGACCTTCTCTCTCTCTCAGCAGCAGCCAAATGCTGTCGTAGCCCCTTTGGAAGAGAGAATGCTTTTATCCCCTCCCCTGGGGTGCACTGCCTTGTAGTACCTGGCACAGTCTCTGGAAAGGAGAGGCGTACTAAACTCCAGCCGCAGAGCTGGGAGCTGTGTCCCGTGGGACCCTCAGGGATATCTGGGCTGCAGCTCGGGGCTCCCCTCAGTCCTCCAGCTGCCACCAGATGTTTTCTAAACCCCTACTATGTGCCAGGCACTGACTGCACAGCAGTGAACAGGACCAACACAGTCCCTGGTCTTAAAGCACAGGTGGGCAGAGGTGAGCATTATTTGAATAGTTACCCAGGTAAGTTGCTTTGACGGTGATAACAGGCGGTGGGGACGTGGGTGAAGGTGTGACTTACTCTGGGGATCAGGAGGGGCTGAGAGTGTGCTGCCTACACTGGGACCCAGAAGATGGGCCAATGTTAGATGGGAGTAGGGGGGAAGCGCTTCCAGGCAGAAGGAACAGCATGTGCAAAGGCCCTGAGGTAGAAGGAACAGGGCATGTGGAGGCCCTGGCCGGAGGTCAGTGTGTTGTGAGTGCAAAATGTGAAGGGTGGACAGTGTGGAAGGAAGATGGAGAGGTAGGCAGGGGCCAGGGGCAGGGCCTGGTCCTCCAGAGACTCATGTTCCGGAGGGGAGATGGAGGGTTTCATGTTGTCTCGTAATAATGTGTCAGCCCAATGAAGGACGTATACCCAGGCCTTCCAGGAACTCTGAGAGTAGATTCTTTACCTGTTTTGGAGGGGATCAAGGAAAAGCCTCCAGGTGAAGGTCATGTGTAAAGAAGTCTTTAAAAAGAATAGGCCGGTCGCGGTGGCTCACGCCTGTAATCCCAGCACTTTGGGAGGCTGAGGCGGGCGGATCACCTGAGGCCAGGAGTTCTCAAGACCAGCCTGACCAACGCGGTGAAACCCTGTCTCTCCTAAAAATACAAAAATTAGCCGGTCGTGTTGGCACACACCTGTAATCCCAGCACTTTGGGAGGCTGAGGCAGGTGGATCATAGGTCAGGCATTTGAGACCAGCCTGGCCAACATAGTGAAACCCTGTCTCTACTAAAAATACAAAAAATTAGCCGGGTGTAGTGGCACATGCCTGTGATCCCAGCTGCTCAGGAGGCTGAGGCAGGAGAATTGCTTGCACCTGGGAGGCGGATGTTGCAGTGAGCTGAGATTGTGCCATTGCACTCCAGCCTGGGCGACAGACCGAGACTCTGTCTCAAAATAGACATAGATAGATAGATAGATAGATAGGTACATAGCTAGCTAGCTAGATAGATAGAAAGATAGAAAGAAAGAATAGGAGTGAGAGGTGGACAGAAGGTTTAGGGAGAGAGACAGGGGCCCCAGGTGAAGGGTGCAGCATGAGCAAAGGCCTGGGGACTGCACGAAGCCTAGAACACAAGGGAGCCACTGGTGAGCTGAGAGACGAGGGCGCCGTGCGGGGAACGTGCAGGGGAAGGACAGGTGGGGCTCCCAGACGTGCAGGTTCTTCCTGGAGGTTGCAGCCCATCGATGTCAGGTGCCCTCAAGTCGGCCTCCGTCAGCTGCATGGAGGGGACATTGCAAGGGGGTGGGCAGCATGCTCAGTGGAGCTATGGCCGCAGGCGGGCATCAGGGCCTGGCCTGGCAGCAGGTGAGATGAGAGGACGTGGATGACTGGGGCCCGGAGGCGGAGCAGGTGGAGGCAGGAACGTGGGTGCGGAGGCGGCCCTGGGGGAGACTGAAATGCTCCCAAGCAGGGCTGTCAGCAGCTGCTGGATACGAACTCGGCAGGTCAGGGCTCAGGCCTTGAGTCAGCGGTGGAGGCCAACCCGAGATTCCTGCTAGCTAGCTACGTTCCGCACCTCGTTTCCTCTGAGAAATGGGGCGGGGTGCCTCAGGGTCCGGGCCTGCCTCGCCGCGTGGCTGAGGGTCTGGGCCTTACAGGGCGACTCTGAGGGTCTGGGCCTGCCTTGCAGGGTGACTGAGGGTCTAGGCCTGCCTTGTGGGATGACTGTGAGGGTCCAGGCCTGCCTCTCGGGGTGACTGAGGGTCTGGGCCCACCTCACCGGGTGACTGTAAGGGTCTGGGCCTGCCTTGGGGGGTGACTGAGGGTCCAGGCCTGCCTCGCAAGGTGACTGAGGGTCTGGACTGTCTCGCGGGGTGATGGAGGGTCCGGGCCTGCCTCGGGGTGACTGTGAGGGTCCGATGGAAGACATCTGTAGTGTCCTGTGCCATCACCAGCCCCAGAACAAGCTCGTGGGACCCGTGTCCATCAGGACAGGCAGTGGTGGCGGTGCTGATGCTTCTGTCCCTCCTTCTGTGTGTTCCTGGGACCCTTCCTTTCTCTACATTAGCTGGAGGGTGGAGGGAGTGGTGATTCCCTGAACCTGGGGGCCCTGGCTTCCAACTCCCTTCCCCTGGCCCGGGAACCACACGAAGTGTGTCCTGGCCCATCACTGACCCCTGGAGCCTCCGAAATGCTCAGATGGAACAAACCAGTAGGTAGGGGTTGTGGAGGGGATATTGCTTTTTGGGGCCTGAACCCCTGCATGTGTGCAGTTCATAGGAGCAAGGCAGGTAGTCCAGGCAGAGGCTGCCCACTCTACTGGCCTTGCCCCCCTTCCAGCCCTGCCCTGCTGCCCCGGTATTTTCCTTCCCCAGCACCGTGAGCACTGCTTGGAAAGCGTTGGTCTAGGGCATTGCAGTTTTTTTTTTTTTAAATTGGAAAAACCGGCAGTGTAGAAGTATGGATCCCTGAAACACCACACACCACCCATGCCCCCTGCCTTTCGTGTGTGATCTCCTCTGCCTGAACCCGCCTCCCTCCTTCCATGGGGAAGCACCTGTTCATCCTGCAAAAGCTCACACATGGTAAAGCCATGCCTGACAGCCCTCCCCATGATAATTACAGTTATCACTATTAACGACCATTTGCAGGCAATTGGGAATTTGCTATGTAAAAGCACCTTATCTACCCTGCCTCATTAATTCTCATGGCATCCCTTAAAGAGACAGATCAGAAAACCAAGGGTGAGAGCCTCATCCGAGGTCTCGCATCTGGGAAGGGACGGGACCAGAAGATAAGACTGTCCAGTGGACTCCAAACCCTAGATCTTCACATTCATCAGCCCCCAGCTCCCCCTGACAGAGAAAGGATATGCGTATTAGCTTTCCAAACTCCTATTGTGTCGGCCACAGAGAACCGTTAGCTGCAACAGCCGGGACCAGGCAGGACATGAGACCACCGGGGCCCATCTTGTGTCAGGGGGCCCCCAGGAAAGGGTCCGCCTCCCTCAGCCTGCTGCCCTAGGTCCTGCCTCCAGGACTCTTGCCTTCTGACACTTCCCTAAAGAAAGCGAGCCTTTCCAGAGCCTCATCCCCTCCCTGCTGGGTAATTCTCTTATTTATCCACTTCCTGACCCCACCTGCACGTCCCACCAAGCAGCCTGTCCCGGGCACCTAAGAGGCCAGGCGTCCCAGCGGGTACTTGGTAATGCGTAGAATGAAAACGCCTTAGACCTGTTAGTTAAATAGGTATCTGTGTCATTGATTGGCATCTGCCACCCCCACCATATTGTAGTTCTTCAGGGTGCAGTGGCTTTTCCCGTCTCGTTCATCTCTGCACACAGCAATGTCACAGGCACGGAATGTCTCAGGGAAGCTGGCACCCACCCAGGGCAGGGGCTCCGGGGTTTGATCTGCTGCTGCCACTCTCTCCCTGTCCAGAAAAATAGAAGGAGTTTGAGTCCTTCCCCCGCCCCATTTGCAGCCTCAGGAGGCGTCAGTCCCGCAGCCCAGTGGAGCAGAGACAGCTCAACCTCCGGACCCAGTCCCAGCCCTGCCTCGCCGTTGCCCGCCCTCACCTGCCCTCACCACGGCTCCTCTTCTGTAACTCGCTTCCCCCCCGCCTCGAACCTGCTAGTTTTCAAAGTGTTCATATCAACGCTGTGTCTTCACCCTAATTACATGGCTTTCCTGTCCCCTGGTGAACTCCGTCTCACTACCTTACGGAGCTCCGAGCTCCCTTTTTCTTCTCTTGATAATCTCTCATGCTCCTCCCTTGACACCTCTCGTGCTGTGACCTTGGCCTTCTCTGTGTACGTGAGCGTCACATTCTGTGTTTCTGGCTCCCGGGCTAAGGTGGTGCTGCCGTCTTTGCCAAGGCCCAGGAGCTGGCGGATGGCAGGGCTGGCGCTTGGAGCCTGTGTCTGCCCCGTCTCTGTTGCCCGCGTGCCTTGCCCCCTGCACACGGCACCTGGGCCGTCTCTGTTGCCCATGTGCCTTGTCCCCGGCACACAGCACCTGCCCCGTCTCTGTTGCCCGCAATCCCAACCCCGGCACACGGAACCTGGGCCGTCTCTGTTGCCACCTGGGCCGTCTCTGTTGCCACCTGGGCCATCTCTGTTGCCACCTGGGCCATCTCTGCTGCCCGCGCTCGTCGTCCCGGCACGCGGCACCTGGGCCGTCCACTGACTGTTCTCGGGGGGGCTTGGTGGATGTGGTAGGGGCTGCCGGAGTTTGCACCGGGGAGGCCTCCACGCCGTCTGTGCTGTTCCCTCTCGAGGCTGCAGACGGGCTGGTCCGTGCACACCTACCAGACGGAGAAGCAGAGGAGGAAGCAGCACCTCAGCCCGGCGGAGGTGGAGGCCATCCTGCAGGTCATCCAGAGGGCAGAGCGGCTCGACGTCCTGGAGCAGCAGAGAATCGGGTGAGGCGGGGCCGGGGCCAGCTCAGTGGGAGGACAGCAAGGGCTTTGGCGCAAGCGCAGGGGACTGGGAGGCCGGCACTCCGGGTCCTGGTTTTGCTATTTACCTCTGGGAGTGGGTGAGGAGGTCCCTGACTCCAGCCCTTGCTGAAGGGTGCTCTGTCTGAACTCTGGGAGTGTAACCCAGCCCGCTGAGGCCTCAGGACACCCCTCTGTGAGACGGGGCTGCTAGCTGAGCTGTGCGCCCCATGCTGAGGGCGTGAATGAGCCTGGTGAAGCCTCCCAGGAGCTGTTCGGCTGTGCACACCTGCAGGTCAGCTGTGGTTCAGCCAAGGGAGGGGTTCAGGTGGAGGCCAAGCCACAGGTCGCCCCTGAAAGGCTCCAGCAGGAGCCGCTCCCCGCCTGGCTCTACGTGCCTCTCCTGGCCTCCGCCTCCAGCGCCGACCACAGCTCAGTCTTCCAGCACTTCCATCGTGTCCAGTGTTTAATTACGAAAGCAATTCATATTTCCTAGAAAATCTGAAAAACACAGAAAAGCACAAGTAGGAAGACACAAATGCACTGGGCAGGAATTGATTTCATTCTGGCCTCCTATGTATCTTTGATCTTTCTTTTCCTTTTCTTTTTTTTTTGGGGGGGACAGGGTCTCACTCTGCAGTGTAGATTAGAATGCAGTGGTGCTATCACAGATCACTGCAGCCTCAACTTCCTGGGCTCAAGCGACCTCCCCACCTCAGCCTTAAGTAGCTAGGACCGTGCGTGGGCACCACCACACCCAGCTATTTTTTATTTTATTTTTTTTGTAGAGATGGGGTCTCACTATGTTACCCAGGCTGCTCTCGAACTTCTGGGCTCAAGCGATCCGCCTGCCTCAGCCTCACAAAGGGCTGGGATGTCAGGCATGAGCCACCCTGCCCGGCCTTATCTTTACAGTGGGAAAGACAGGCCAGATGGCATGGCTCATTCTTCAGCTGTGAGTCCACGTGTTCTCCGAGAGCCTTCGCTGGTCCCATGGAACATGCCCCTGTCCCTCAATGTCCCTCCCCCTCCCTCCCCTCAATGTCCCTCCCCCTCCCTCCCCTCAATGTCCCTCCCCCTCCCTCCCCTCAATGTCCCTCCCCCTCCCTCCCCTCAATGTCCCTCCCCCTCCCTCCCCTCAATGTCCCTCCCCCTCTCTCCCCTCAATGTCCCTCCCCCTCCCTCCCCTCAATGTCCCTCCCCCTCCCTCCCCTCAATGTCCCTCCCCCTCCCTCCCCTCAATCTCCCTCCCCCTCCCTCCCCTCAGTCTCCCTCCCCCTCCCTCCCCTCAGTCTCCCTCCCCCTCCCTCCCCTCAGTCTCCCTCCCCCTCCCTCCCCTCAATCTCCCTCCCCCTCCCTCCCCCCACTATTTCCATTTCATAGCGCTGCTCTCTATCTGAAACCAGTTCGCTTGTTTTCTTGCTTATGAATTTTCTTCCTTATTGAAGGTAAGTTCCATGAGAACAGGGACCATGTCTGTCTCTGGCTTGTTTGCTACAGTATTCCCAGTGTCTGATGAATCATAGGTGCTCACTGAATAGTTGGTGAGTGAATGAAGGATTCGCTGTTATCCAGGGGAAGGGCGGGGCAAGGAACAATATCCCAGGTGAGGGGACAGCACATGTGGCATGGTACGGTTTCGGGCCTCAGTGCAACTGTGCCCAGGCAGGAAGCACAGTCCCTCTGACTCTGTGTCCTGTGCTGCAGGCGGCTGGTGGAGCGGCTGGAGACCATGAGGCGGAATGTGATGGGGAACGGCCTGTCCCAGTGTCTGCTCTGCGGGGAGGTGCTGGGCTTCCTGGGCAGCTCGTCGGTGTTCTGCAAAGACTGCAGGAAGGTAAGACCCTGCTCTGGCCCTGTCATTCTGGCTTCCCAGCCTGGACCAGCCCCGCTGCGCTGTGGCTTTGCATCCTGGCTCCCAGGAGTGTGTATGTCTGCGTTGGGCATGTGGTATCCTCTGCATCTTGGCAAGAAGCACTAAGACTTAAAAACCAAATGGACTGATGTCTAGGGCCAGCTCTGCGTCTCAGCTTGGAGGCATCTTCTAGCCCTTCTGGTAGATTCACACCCGAGCCACGAGACCCAGAGCTGGTGTTAGAAGTCAGGCTGTGAATCTAGCTCTTCTGCTATGACCTCAGAAAACTTGTTTAATATCTCACACCTGATGTTCCTTGTCTGTAATATGTGGTCGTGATACCATGTACCTCACCATGCTATGAGGATTAAATATTCTTCAACGCAAAACTCTTAAAACCTTGCCTGGTACATAGGCACTCAATAAATGTTATCATCTCCAGAATATATGAAGGCAACAAGGAAAAAATGTTTTTAGTTGTTATTAGTTAAATCCTATCTTCCTGAAGTCCAAGCAGTATGCTGGGATTACACTTTCTGTTCCATTGGTCCTGCTTCTCTTGATCCCTGGTTACTCAAAGAAGAATGATCTTTGCAGGGAGATCAAATTGATTTTCTTCTTATACTAAATTGTGCCACATATTAAATTGTTTCGCATTGAGTCTAGGACTTTTTAAATATAGCTTTTAGTTTTTCTGGAGTTTCGACTTGCCTTTCGTTTTCTTATTTCTGGGAGAATAATATGCCTTCTAATCCTCAAGATAGTTAGCATCTTAATTATACTATCATATGGAGGCTATTTTTTTTTTCCTGGCATAAACCCTTCTAGATTCTTACTCCTGCTCCTCCTAGGTTGGTAGCTGCACAGCTATTATAACGGGATTTCCCTTTGCTGCCCTCCTAGGTGAGAAACACTGATCTCAAGACACCATGTCTTCCTCTTTTTTGTTTTCACCTTAGTTTTGCTGGAACCCATCCTCAAGTAACTTCCATGTGCTAGTCATGCTTTTTTCCACCCCCAGAGACGGAGTCTTGCTCTGTCACCCAGGCTGGAGTGCAAATGGTGCAGTCTTGGCTCACTGCAACCTCTGCCTCCAGGTTCAAGTGATTCTCCTGCCTCAGCCTCCTGAGTAGCTGGGATTACAGGTGCATGCCACCACTACCGGCTAATTTTTGAATTTTAGTAGAGACAGGGTTTCACCATGTTGGCCAGGCTGGTCTTGAACTCCTGACCTCAGGTGATCCGCCTGCCTCGGCCTCCCAAACTGCTGGGATTACAGGCGTGAGCCACCGTGCCTGGCTGCTAGTCATGGTTTTAAGACTGGAGTTATTATACTGAAGAAGACAGAGAAGGAATTTTCTTGAGATGATATTGGGCAAGGGAACTAAAAAACAAGTAATGATCAAATAAACAAGATGATGTCAGGAAATAATAAACCCTGGGAAGAAACAACAGAGGGTGGAGGGTGGAGGATGGAGGATGGGGTGGGGTGGGGTGGGGTGTGAACTGTTGAGAGAACCGGGAAAGATGGAGAAGTCAAAAGAAATAAATGTGGATGTGGAACATGCAGGCCACTGGCAAACTTGAGGGCATTTTCAGGGGCATTCAAAAGCTGGATGAGAAAACCAAAGGTACAGTGAAGTTAACCTGCCCAATTAGTAAGCAGGAAAGCCAGGACTTCAGCTACCTCATTTCTTTTCCTGCTTTTGTCATATGTGGTAAGGGAAAACTGGGCTGAGGAAGGTGGATTAACTGGCCCAAAAATACTGGAGGGGAGATGGGGGCCTGGGTGTAAGACTGTGCGGGCTCCTCCTTCAGCCTTGCCAAGGCCCTGGACTACAGGTCAGTGGAGGTGGGGGCACAGGGACTTCAGGTCAATGGAGGTGGGGGCACAGGGACTACAGGTCAATGGAGGTGTGGAGCACAGAAACTACAGGTCAATGGAGGTGGGGGCACATGGACTACAGGTCAATGGAGGTGTGGAGCACAGAGACTACAAGTCAATGGACGTGGGGCCACAGGGACTACAGGTCAATGGAGGTGGGGGCACAGGGACTTCAGGTCAATGGAGGTGGGGCACATGGACTAAAGGTCAATGGAGGTGGGACAGAGAGACTACAGGTCAATGGAGGTGGGGCACAGGGACTGCAGGTCAATGGAGGTGGAGCACAGGCACTGCAGGTCAATGGAGGTGGAGTACAGGGACTACAGGTCAATGGAGGTGGAGCACAGGGACTAAAGGTCAATGGAGGTGGGGCACAGGGACTACACGTCAGTGGAGGTGGAGTCACAGGGACTACAGGTCACTGGAGGTGGAGCACAGAGACTACAGGTCAGTGGAGGTGGGGCACAGAGACTACAGGTCAGTGGAGGTGGAGCACAGAGACTACAGGTCAATGGAGGTGGGGTCACAGGGACTACAGGTCAATGGAGGTGGGTGTAGAGAGACTACAGGTCAATGGAGGTGGAGCACAGAGACTACAGGTCAGTGGAGGTGGAGCACAGGGACTACAGGTCAATGGAGGTGGAGCACAGGGACTACACATCACTGGAGGTGGAGTCACAGGGACTACAGGTCAATGGAGGTGGGGGCACAGGGACTACAGGTCAATGGAGGTGGGGGCACAGGGACTTCAGGTCAATGGAGGTGGGGCACATGGACTACAGGTCAATGGAGGTGGGGCACAGAGACTACAGGTCAATGGAGGTGGGGCACAGGGACTGCAGGTCAATGGAGGTGGAGCACAGGCACTGCAGGTCAATGGAGGTGGAGTACAGGGACTACAAGTCAATGGAAGTGGAGCACAGGGACTACAGGTCAATGGAGGTGGGGCACAGGGACTACATGTCAGTGGAGGTGGAGTCACAGGGACTACAGGTCACTGGAGGTGGAGCACAGAGACTACAGGTCAGTGGAGGTGGGGCACAGAGACTACAGGTCAGTGGAGGTGGAGCACAGAGACTACAGGTCAATGGAGGTGGGGTCACAGGGACTACAGGACAATGGAGGTGGGTGCAGAGAGACTACAGGTCAATGGAGGTGGAGCACAGAGACTACAGGTCAGTGGAGGTGGAGCACAGGGACTACAGGTCAATGGAGGTGGAGCACAGAGACTACGCATCACTGGAGATGGAGTCACAGGGACTACAGGTCAATGGAGGTGGGGGCACAGGGACTACAGGTCAATGGAGGTGGGGCACAGGAACTACAGGTCAGTGGAGGTGGAGCACAGGGACTACAGGTCAATGGAGGTGGAGCACAGGGACTGCAGGTCAATGGAGGTGGGTGCAGAGAGACTACAGGTCAATGGAGGTGGAGCACAGGGACTACACATCACTGGAGGTGGAGTCACAGGGACTACAGGTCAATGGAGGTGGGGGCACAGGGACTACAGGTCAATGGAGGTGGGGCACAGGGACTACACGTCAGTGGAGGTGGGGTCACAGGGACTACAGGTCAATGGAGGTGGGGGCACAGGGACTACACATCAGTGGAGGTGGAGTCACAGGGACTACAGGTCAATGGAGGTGGGGGCACAGGGACTACAGGTCAATGGAGGTGGGGGCACAGGGACTACAGGTCAATGGAGGTGGGGCACAGGGACTACAGGTCAATAGAGATGGGGTCACGGGGACTAAAGGTCAATGGATGTGGAGCACAGAGACTACGGGTCAATAGAGGTGGGGCACAAGGACTACAGGTCAATGGAGGTGGGGTCACAGGGACTACAGGTCAGTGGAGGTGGAGCACAGGGACTACAGGTCAGTGGAGGTGGAGTACAGGGACTAGAGTTCAGTGGAGGTGGAGCACAGGGACTACAGGTCAATGGAGGTGGGGCACAGGGACTACAGGTCAATGGAGGTGGGAGCACAGGGACTACAGGTCAATGGAGGTGGAGTCACAGGGACTACAGGTCAATGGAGGTGGGAGCACAGGGACTACAGGTCAATGGAGGTGAGGCACAGGGACTACAGGTCAATGGAGGTGGGGGCACAGGGACTACAGGTCAATGGAGGTGGGGCACAGGGACTACAGGTCAGTGGAAGTGGAGTCACAGGGACTACAGGTCAGTGGAGGTGGGGTCACAGGGACTACAGGTCACTGGAGGTGGGGGCACAGGGACTACAGGTCAATGGAGGTGGGGGCACAGGGACTACAGGTGAATGAAGGTGGGGGCACAGAGACTACAGGTGAATGGAGGTGGAGCACAGGGACTACAGGTGAATGGAGGTGGGGGCACAGGGACTACAGGTCAATGGAGGTGGAGCACAGAGACTACAGGTCAATGGAGGTGGGGTCACAGGGACTACAATTCAGTGGAGGTGGAGCACAGGGACTACAGTTCAGTGGAGGTGGAGTACAGGGACTACAGGTCAATGGAGGTGGAGCACAGAGACTACAGGTCAATGGAGGTGGGGCACAGGGACTACTGGTCAATGGAGGTGGAGCACAGAGACTACAGGTCAATGGAGGTGGGGCACAGGGACTACTGGTCAATGGAGGTGGAGCACAGAGACTACAGGTCAATGGAGGTGGGGCACAGGGACTACAGGTCAATGGAGGTGGAGCACAGAGACTACAGGTCAATGGACGTGGAGTACAGGGACTACAGGTCAATGGAGGTGGGGTCACAGAGACTACAGGTCAATGGAGGTGGAGCACAGAGACTACAGGTCAGTGGAGGTGGAGCACAGAGACTACAGGTCAATGGAGGTGGAGTCACAGAGACTACAGGTCAATGGAGGTGGAGTCACAGGGACTACAGGTCAATGGAGGTGGGGCACAGGGACTACAGGTCAGTGGAGGTGGAGCACAGAGACTGCCTGTCAGTGGAGGTGGGGCACAGAGACTACAGGTCAATGGAGGTGGAGTCACAGGGACTACAGGTCAATGGACGTGGAGTATAGGGACTACAGGTCAATGGAGGTGGGGGCATAGAGACTACAGGTCAATGGAGGTGGGGGCAGAGGGACTACATGTCAGTGGAGGTGGGGCACAGAGACTTGGGAATGGCCAACTTGCAGGACTCGGGCAGTGACTCCTGCCTGGGAGAACGGGAGCTGGCAGTGTGCTTCCTCCTCCTGTCTCTCAACCCCACAGCTGCTGTGAATATTCCAGGTATAGGGGCCTGTGGAGAGGCACAGAGCCTGGCCTGTGGTAAATATTCCAGCTATAGGGGACCATGAAGAGGCACAGATCCTGGCCCACTTCCCCTGGGACAGTCCAGGGCCTGTGCTGCAGAGGCCGCTGCTGGTGTGGCTGTGCAACGGTTAGTACAGGTGCTCCTTGGAGCCATGTCTTAGGCAACAGTGGCTGTCCTGGGGAAGGACCTCAGCTGGATGTGGGTCCCCACGCTACTCTGGAGCTGTGGGCTGGTCCGGGCGTTTCTGTTGCAGATGGTTCTTGGTGTTGAGCAGACTGAGGTCTCAGTCCTGGCTTGGGTGATGAGGCCGGGGAATCTTTGAGCTTCTGAGGCTTCTGAGGGGCTTGTTCCAGGATTGAGGTGGGAGGGGAGTGTATTAGGGGAGCACAGCTGGATGGTGGGCATTTGGGGGCTTTGGAGGGTTCACTCTTCCTTCTTGGAGAAGGTGGTGTCATTCGTTCATTCATCTTCATTCATTCTGTAAATAATAGCCCATTGTGTGCAAGCCCTGTTCTGGGTCCTGCCGACGCCGTGAACGAGATGGACACAGTCCACCCTGTTGTGGAGATGACTTTCCAGGGTCAGGGCATAGAGAAGACAAATGAATAAACATGAAGCAAGACTAGGTACACCGAGGACTCTGTTGAATTAACGCAGAGCACCTAGGGAGAGGCTTAGGGGGCCTCTCTGAGCTCAGGCCCAAACACAAGCAACAGCTGGCCCTGGGAAGATCTGGGTGGAACAGTGTTCCCGGCAGAGGGAACGGCAAGTTTCCCCTGGAACAGTCCTGAAGGCCCTGAGGCAGGAACGAGCTGGGCATGTTCAAGGGGCACATGGTGGCATCTGGGGCAGAGAGTGAGCGGCCGGATGGCCCATCACACAGCCTCGCCAGTCAAGGTCAGGAGCTGAGATTTCACTTAAGTTTAATGAGATGCCAGTGGAGTGTTTTGAGCAGGGGTGTGATCTGATCTGTGTTTTTAAGAGACGACCCTAGTGCTGGAGACAGGTGGTGATGGCCGTCACTGGGAGATGATAGGGATGGAGACAGGCAACGTAGGGACTGAGGCCATTTGCTGAGACAGAGCGTCAGCCTCTTCAGTGTATTCTAAGCAGATGGAGAGGAATTAGAGGGGGTGAAGGAGGGTTCTAGGAAGGAAAGAGCTCTCGACTTCAGGGGGCTGGAATGAGAGGTCGCTTGGTCCACCCTGAGCAGCAAGAGGGCAGCCGGTTCTCCTGGACTTGCCAGTGAGGACTGTCCCCACGCAGATGCCACGCAGTGCTGGGGGCTCCTGCCCAGATGGGAGGGACTCATCTGTACTTTCAGGAGTGCCTCCGTGTTCCTGCAAGCACCTGGCACGGCTAGCTTCCCTCCTCCCTGGCTGCAGGATTGTGAGGTGGTTGTGCACGGAGCTGCAGGACCAGACAGACTTGGGTTGAGGTCCCAGCTTGGCCACGGTGGCGCGGTCTCGTACAAGTCACTTAACCTCTCTGGGCCTCTGTTCTTTCATCTGTAAAATGGGGTCATTAAGCTTCTGTCATCGTTGATGGATGCAATAGTGCAGGAGAAGCCCTTAGCAGACTGCCTGGCCCATTGGCAGCGTGCAGTAAAGGATGCCTGTGATTGTTATGAAACCTCTTCAGGGTCCTGCCTGCTGAGGCCACACACGTGTTACCAACGATGGAGCAGATCCCCAGACATTTCAGAAGAGGCTGAGTGACTCCCCGTGTCATAGTCAGCTCAGACCGCCCTAATAAAGTGCCACAGACTGGGCACCTTCAGCCGTAGATATTTATTTTTCAGTTTGGAGGCACGAAATTCTGAGATCAAGGTGCTGGCTGATTCTGTGTCTGGTGAGGGCCCTGTTCATGGCTTGCAGACAGCTGCCTTCTCCGTGTGTCCTCGTGTGGCAGGAGGAGAGGGCTCTAGTCTCTCCTCCTCCTCTTGCTTTTCTGTGTTTTGACAGGGTCTCACTCTGTCACCCAGGCTGGAGTGCAGTGGCATGATCATTGTTCACTGCAGCCTTCAACTCCTGGGGTCCTGCAATCTTCCCACCCCAGCTTCCCGGGCAGCTGAGACTACAGATGTGTGCCACCACGCCTGTCTAATTTTTAATTTTTTGTAGAGACAGGGTATCGCTTTGTTGCCCGGGCTGGTCTCTAACTAGCCCTCAAGCAATCCTCCCACCTCCGCTTCCCAAAGCACTGGGATTACAGACGTGAGCCACAGCACCCGGCCTCTCCCTTTTCTTATAAAGACACTAGTCCTATCGGATTAGGGCCTCACCCTTGCACCCTCATTTTACCTTAATTACCTCCTAAAGACCTTCTCTCCAAATACAGTCACTCTGGGGGTCAGGGCTTCAACATAGGAATTTTGAAGGGACACAGTTCAGTCCATAGCACCCACATTCTCCTCGTTGGAATTCTTGTTTTCTTAAAATTGGAGCTCCCACAGCTAGTCCCATATTTTCTGTAATTTACATAAAAGCCTCTGGAAGCCTTTGTAGCTCTCCAGCACTGGATGTCCTGAGCCGGCAGGGAAACGCCTCAGTCTTTGTGCTCGTATAAATGTCTCGTTATAATTGTCTCGTTACTCGTATAAATGTCTTTCTTGATCGCTTCGCCCATTGTGAGCCAATCCTGGGTTGGGGGGATCCAAAAAGAGAGGTTTTCAGAATAATCGCTTCCCTCACGTCCTGACCGTCAAGATGGGCAGACAGTATTCTCTAGTGTGACGTGCACTGTGGTTGGGACTGGGGTTCCCAGGACTCAGAGCAGCCAGGAGGGCTGCCTGGAGGAGTGGGCCCCTGGAGGCTGGGCAGGTTTCTGAAAGGCTGAGGGCAGAGGGAAGGGCATCCGGGGAGGGGAAGACCACACAGGCTGAGGCCGGAAGCTGGAAACGGGCTGGGCAAGTGCTCAACTGTGAGGATGATGCCTGGGGAGCACAGAGGCGTGTGCTGAAGGAAAAAGGAACACAGGATGCAATGGCAGATTCGACTTAGGAACAGTGGACCGAGGAGGAGGGACGGGGCATGCTCCAGCTGCCTCCAAGGCTGAGATCCTGGGGACCTGAAAACAGAGGGCAGAGCTGAGATCTTTGGGACGCTGAGCTGTAGGGGACTTGTAAGAGGGTGGAGTCTTTCAGGGGACGAGCTGCATTTGAGCAGTGAATGGGCAGGTGTAGAGGAGTCTTTCAGGGGACGAGCTGCATTTGAGCAGTGAATGGGCAGGTGCAGGGGAGTCTTTCGGGAGATGAACTGCGTTTGAGCAGTGAATGGGCAGGTGTGGAGGGCCTGGGACTCCAGGGAGATGATCGCAGAGGCACTGCCCCCCTGGGGGCCCTGCTGTAGGGGGTGGTGGCCTAGAACCCGAGTCGCTGGAGAATCAGGGAGGCCCAGACATAGCCCCTGCGAAGCCCTTGCCCCTGCAGGGCTCTCTCGTGTCTGGGAGGAGAGACGATGCCATCCCTTCCTTATCCCACAAATATTTATCGCACACCGACTGGTGTCAGGAGCCATGCGGATCCCAGTGCTCCGGAGGGAGGCGTGAAACCATTAAGGGTAATTAATTACAGCTGGGAATGGGGTTAAGGCGGCAGCCCTGGGGGGCTGGAAGGGCTCTAACACGGTGTGAGGAATCGGGCCCTCCACTCTGGGACTGCCGGTTTCTGGGCCACCTCCCTGTTTATCTCCATCTCCACATTCCGCCTCCTCACCTTCTGCGGATGGCTGCAGCCTGGGGCCCTGGGAGGTGTGTGGGCTTGGGCAGGCTGGAGAAGGGATGCTGGGGAGATCCCTGCCGTGGGAAGCATCCAGGCCCAGGCATGGTTGGGGAGGACAGAGCCTCAGGTGCTCCTGGGCACACACACGCGCCCCCAGCAGGAGCCCTGGCAGCGTTCAGCAGCTACAAGCTAATGAGCTTGTGGGTGGAAGCCGAGATGCCGGTCCTCGGAGCTGCGTCCCCTCCGTAATTGGGCCTGCATGCCTCGACTGCCTGCCCTCATTATCTGAGGGCCTTGGTGGGAAGGGAGAGGGGCTGGCTGGTTAATTAGAGAGGACTGGTGCTCCTAATTGCTTGGGATCTGAGTCAGCCAGCTTTGAGTCTCACTGAGAGTCCAGCTAGCCATGGGGAGGCTGGGCAGGGCCACAGCAGAGCCCGCCTGAGCCTGGGATGCATTGTCACCATTTGAGGGAAGCAGTCGTTTTTTTTTTCTGGTCTCAGCCAAAGGTGTCCCACAGTGTGGGTGCAGGGGAGCCTGCCTATGAAACGATGACCTGAGTCTTCATGAAGGAAGACTGGGCAGTCTTATATTTTGCCCACGTCCCTTAGAGGAGGTCCAGCTCAGGCTGGGGGCAGGTATTACCCAGCCCAGCATGGAGGGAAGGGGCTGGGTCAGAACCTGACCTTTCCCCTAACCTGGCTTGAGCCCACTTTGCACCGAGGAGGGGATGTGTCCTGCTGAGAGTCATCCCGGACCCCTGGCAGGGGGGCTGGCAGGAGCCTGGGGCAGGGCAGGGGACATGCCGTATCCTGGACCCCCAGCAGGAGGCTGGCAGGAGCCTGGGGCAGGGCAGGGGACGTGCCATATCCCAGACCCCCAGCAGGGGGCTGGCAGGAGCCCTGGACGGGGGATGTGCCATATCCTGGACCCCCAGCAGGAGGCTGGCAGGAGCCTGGGGCAGGGCAGGGGACGTGCCATATCCCGGACCCCCAGCAGGGGGGCTGGCAGGAGCCCTGGGCAGGGCGGGGGACATGCCATATCCCGGACCCCCAGCAGGGGGGCTGGCAGGAGCCCTGGACAAGGGATGTGCCGTATCCCGGACCCCCAGCAGGGGGCTGGCAGGAGCCCTGGGCAGGGCGGGGTACATGCCATTTTCCTAAGGCTTCAGCTTCCCTCTCTGTTTGGTATCTGGGACTCGAGGCCAGGAAGCCATGGACAGAGCAGGAGGAGTGCTCCTTTTTTAAGAGACAAGGTCTAGCTCTGCCGCCCAGGCTGGAGTGCAGTGGCAAACAGGGCTCACTGCAGCCTCAAACTCCTGGGCTCAATCGATCCTCCCACCTCGGCCTCCCTAGGAGCTAGGACCACAGTCATGCACCACCTCGCCTGGAAAATTTTTTATTTTTTGTAGAGACAGGGTCTGCTATGTTGCCCAGGCTGGTCTCAAACTCCTGGCTCAAATGATCCTCCTGCCTCGGCCTCTCAAAGTGCTGGGATTACAGGCTTGAGCCACCACAGCCAGCCTCCATCACTGCTTTATTCCCAGCAGCCAGTCCTCCAGTCTTAGAGATGGTGGCGATTTGTGACCTGCCTGCAGCAGCTGCCTAGAGAGAGTCTGCTAACCTCTGAGAAGTATTCTCCTTCTGCCTTGGGAAGCTGTGGGGGTCCTGGCCCCATCCAGTTTACAGAGAGCTGCTCCTGGAGGTGGAGGCATTAGGGCTAGGAGAGAATTCAGGTGCTGATGGGGTCTCTGCTACTCAAAGTGTGGGCCGAGGACCTCACCTGGATGTTCATTAGAAATGCAGAATCTCAGGCCCCCACAGACCTCCCAAACTAGAAGCTGCAGTTTAACCAGGTGCCCTTTGCATAATGCTTTCAAGGTTCATCCATGATGTAGCATGTGTAGGAATTTCCATCCTTTTTAAGGCGAGGAAAATTTCACTGTATGTGCATACCCCACTTTGTGTATCCACTCACCTGTGATGGATATTTGGGTTGCTTCCATGTTGCAGCTATTGTGAACAATGCTGCAGTGGGCACGAGCGTGCAAACCCCTCTGCAACCCTGCCTTCGATTCTCTTGGGTCTATACCCAGCAGTGGAATTGCTGAATCATACGGCAGTTCTGTGTTTACCTGTTTGAGGAGCCTCCACCCTGCTTTCCGTGGCAGCTGCACCATTTCACATCCCCACAAGCATAAGGCTTAGGAGAAGTCAGTTTTTTGCAGAGCCTCCCTCCCAAATGGGTGTGCGGTGAAAGTCCTCCACGGCCCTGTCCCCTACTCCCTTTCCAAAGCTAATCCTCAGTGCCCGTCCATTGCTGGAGCTGTAGAAGCAGCAGCCTCCTTGAGCCATTTCATCTCAGTCGCCTGCAAATTGGCCTCACAATGTCCTTTCTCCTCTTGACCTAATTCAGACGTGGAAGACGAGTGTTTGCCCCTCATTACAAAGATGGATTTTTTCATTCAGCGACTGAAGCTTCCTAAATTCCCGGAAAAAGTCACTTAATTCTTCTGCCCCGAGGGGCCTGCTTCGGCTCTCTTGCATCTCCAAGGCTGTCTGGCAGGAATGGACTTGGCTGCAGTTGCTGGGATCGGAGGATTGGACCAGACACCGCACGGCATCTTGGAACATCTGCCTTGCTCAGAGTCTGGCAAGCGGAACATCTCCATTGAGGCCTCCTTTTCTCTTGCTGTCTTGAGGCCTGCGTGTGGCTTTTCTTCTTCCAAAGAAAGAAGGAGCAGCTATCTTGTGCGGTGCTGAGCCCCTTCCGTTCACCCCAGCACACTGCTGACCTTCAGCTCAGGGTCATCAGCACAAAGGCAGCCAATCGGCTGCAGAGACCCAGGGTGGGCTTGGGGAACCACACGGATCCCTGGCAAGGCCCAGAGCTTTCTGGACGGAGCTTTGCATGACCTGTCCCCTGGTCAGTTCCTGTGTGCACTCAGCTCACCTTCGTGCCAGGCCCCGGGGCTGAGGAGGTAGAGATGCCAGCCCCTGCCCTCCAGGAGCTCATAGTTGGTGTCAGCTATTGCAGTGCAGTGTGAGGAGTGCTGTAGAAGTAGAAGGCAGGGATGAGCGTGGGGCAGACCTGCTGTGGGGAGGACCTGCCGTGGGGAGGATCTGCCGTGGGGAGGACCTGCCGCGGGATGGACCTGCCGTGGGATGGACCTGCCGTAGGATGGACCTGCCGCGGGGAGGACCTGCCGTGGGGAGGACCTGCCGTGGGGAGGACCTGCCGTGGGATGGACCTGCCGCGGGATGGACCTGCCGTGGGATGGACCTGCCGTGGGGAGGACCTGCCGTGGGATGGACCTGCCGTGGGATGGACCTGCCGTGGGGAGGACCTGCCGCGGGGAGGATCTGCCGTGGGATGGGCCTGCCATGGGGAGGACCTGCCATGGGGAGGATCTGCTGTGGGACAGGCCTGCCATGGGATGGGCCTGCCGTGGGGAGGACCTGCCATGGGTGAGCTGCGGCACCTGGGGAGGTGGGGGAGGCCCCCGGGCTGCAGAGTGGAGCAGATGTGGCAGCCGGGCCTGGAGGGTGGGTGACCAGGTGCCAGGAGAGGGCACTTCAGGAGCAGGCACAGCTCGGCAGAGGCAGTGTGCCCAGGAAGTGTGGGGGCATCGGGCGCAGCTGGGAGTCTGGTTATGCTGGGGCATGAGAAGGAGAGGAAGAGAGGAAAAGGGAAGAAGAGGAGGTCAGAGGGGGGAGGAAAAGAGGCCCTGAGGGGTAAGAAGCAGGTGGGGAGGGAGGGAAGGAGAGAGACGTGAGGATCGGGAGGACTCTGTGTGCCGGGCGCAGGGGCTGGGCTTGTGTCCTGTAGGCAGCAGAGCCATCCAAGGGACTAAGCAGGGAAACGACAGTCTCATGGGCCCGTGGGGAGGTTAAGTCCAGATGCAGAGGATTCGTGGATACTAATTATCCAATTCGCCATAATGAAGGCCTGAATTAAGGCAGGAGCAGCCAAGATGGAGACTCTGAAGACAGGAGTTAGCCACGATAAAGCTGCCAGCGGTGGAGAGCTCACTCTAGGGGTACCAAGCACCCAGCTGATTAGCAAAACCACCTGGGAGGTCACGGTCTCCTCGTTGCAGGTGAAGAAACGGAGGCGAGGTGGAGGTTAGTCCCTTGCCAGGTCACACGGCGGGCCAGTGCTGGGTCTGATGGCCTTACCGGCTGGGTCTGATGGCCTTACCGGCCAGGCTGCGCACGTGCGTGGGGCCTGCGTGGAGGGCTGGTCTGGGGTGGGAGCAGATGTGGGGAAGGGGCTCGTGGGGCATGTTGGCGGTGGAGCTGGGGTTCCAGGGGGGCTGGGTATGTGTTCCAGGTAGTCCAGGCTGGATCCCAGGCTGTGGGTCAGAAAGGGGCTGGGGAAGTCGGGCGCAGTGGCTCACACCTGTAATCCTAGCACTTTGGGAGGCCAAGGTGAGAAGATTGCTTGAGACCAGGAGTCTGAGACCAGCCTGGGTAATGTAGTGAGACCTCATCTCTACTGAAAAAAAAAAAAAAATAGCTGGGCATGGTGGTGCCCAGTTACGTTTCCAACTACTTGGGAGGCTGAGGCTGAGGATTGCTTGAGCCTGGAAGGCTTGAGCCCCAGAGGCGGAGGCTGCAGTGAGTCAAGATTGTGCCACTGAACTCCAGCCTGGGTGACCTGTTTCAAAAAAAAGAAAGGAGGGAGGGAGGGAGGGAAGGAAGAAAGGGGCTGGGGAGGGAGGCTGGCAGCTCAGAGGCGGATGTCATGGGGCGATGTGAGTGATGTGAGGGATGACTGAGTGATGTGAGTAACCTGGGAGAGAATGTGGGCCCAGGTTGAGGAGAGGAGCCCACCAGGTGTGGGCGTGGTGGGAGAGTGGCCGGGAAGCTGTCTTCTTCCCTCGAACCTGCCTGAATGTCTGTGTGGAGACATTCCTGTGACCTAGTATCTCCACTCGGGTGTCCTGCTCTTGAGATGTTGGGGCTGGGACCACCGCTGGGCACCTGCCGTGTGTGTGGTCAGGTCACCCGATGTGGGAGGAATCCAGTGGAGAAGGAACCGACCTGTAACCTTGTGAAGCTGCCTGGTGGGACGTCAGGGGCTAGGAGGTTGGTGTGAGCTGGGCCTCCAGGGTGGAGTAGCCCTTCCCTCCCCAGCCCCCGCAGCTGCCAGGCAGGCACCACCCCACCCTCCCGGATTGTCCCTGTGGGGCCTCCGCAGTGTGGCAGGTGCAGGCTGAGGGCTGTTACGCGCCATCTCGACGTTGCCTCAGCTTGGCTTTGACCCTGAGTCCCAACTCGGCCGGTGCCTGGACACGAGGTTGTACCTCTGGCTGTTTCCAGAACGGATGACTCCTGCCACCTCCTGGGCTGTGCGCCTGGTGGTGCAGACGCCCCGGAGCCCACCCTAAGCACCCTGATGACCCTGTCCCCCTCTCGCCCTGTCCCCTCTCGCCCTGTCCCCCTCCCGCCCTGTCCCCCTCCCGCCCTGTCCCCCTCTCGCCCTGTCCCCCTCTCGCCCTGTCCCCCTCCCGCCCTGTCCCCCTCTCGCCCTGTCCCCTCTCGCCCTGTCCCCCTCCCGCCCTGTCCCCCTCTCGCCCTGTCCCCCTCTCGCCCTGTCCCCCTCTCGCCCTGTGCCTCTCTTGCACTCTGGCCCTAGGAGCTCGTGGCGCTGGACCGGGGGCTGGCCCCTATTTCTGTACCACTTGGTACAGAAACAGGTTTTAAATCATTTAAAAATGGTTTAAAAATGGTTTTATGTTTGTAAATGGCTCCGTGGGGCAGGGCGGGAGGGAACAAAAGAAGAAGAGTGTCACGTGGCATGAAAATTCAGTGAATGTGAATCTCGGCGTCCCTCAAGGTTTGCAGGAGTCCAGCCAGGCTCATTGGTTCTCCTGTGGCCTCCGGCTGGTTCGGGCCTGCCCTGGCCGGGTGGAATCGTCGTGACAGCCTAAAATCCCAGGCACCAGCTGCTCAGAGTGAGAAGGGGCCTGACTTCCTTCCCCTCTGGTTATGTTGTTGGTGGGGGTGGCCTGGGGTACCAGCCTCAGTGCCTCAGTTGTTTGAGCCTCAGCAGATTACAGACTTTAATGAGTTAGCTTCTCTTGGTCTTACTAGTTTCCTCTCGACGGAATTTTAAAAAGTAACTTACAGGACTGTGCAGAGGTTTAGAACGCTGGATTCTGCCTCCCTGCGTCCTCCCGGCCTGGGCTCATTCCCTCACCTCTGTCTGCTTCAGGTCTCTCACCTGGAAGTCGGGAATAATAATACCTATCTCGGGGGCGGTTGCAAGGATTGCAATGAGGAAAGTATGTGATAAACTCTTAAAACGGTGCCTGAGACACGGTCACTGCTCAATAATTATTAAAACCTCAGTACAGCCTCCCTCCCTGCCCCACTCTTTCCTGAGACACGGTCACTGCTCAATAATTATTAAAACCTCAGTACAGCCTCCCTCCCTCCCCATCTCTTTCCTGAAACACGGTCACTGCTCAATAATTATTAAAACCTCAGTACAGCCTCCCTCCCTCCCCATCTCTTTCCTGAGACACGGTCACTGCTCAATAATTATTAAAACCTCAGTACAGCCTCCCTCCCTCCCCATCTCTTTCCTGAGACACGGTCACTGCTCAATAATTATTAAAACCTCAGTACAGCCTCCCTCCCTCCCCATCTCTTTCCTGAGACACGGTCACTGCTCAATAATTATTAAAACCTCAGTACAGCCTCCCTCCCTCCCCATCTCTTTCCTGAGACACGGTCACTGCTCAATAATTATTAAAACCTCAGTACAGCCTCCCTCCCTCCCCACCTCTTTCCTGAGACACGGTCACTGCTCAATAATTATTAAAACCTCAGTACAGCCTCCCTCCCTCCCCATCTCTTTCCTGAGACACGGTCACTGCTCAATAATTATTAAAACCTCAGTACAGCCTCCCTCCCTCCCCATCTCTTTCCTGAAACACGGTCACTGCTCAATAATTATTAAAACCTCAGTACAGCCTCCCTCCCTCCCCATCTCTTTCCTGAAACACGGTCACTGCTCAATAATTATTAAAACCTCAGTACAGCCTTCCTCCCTGCCCCCCAACCTCTTTCTTATAACTGCTGGGTGATCTAATTCATTGCAAAGTTGTTAAATCTTTTTTTTTTTCGTGATTGTTTTTTTGAGACAGGGTCTCGCTGTGCTGCCCCGGCTGGAGTGCAGCGGTGTGATCTTAGCTCACGGCAGCCTCACCCCTCTGGGCTCCAGTGATCCTCCCACCTCAGCCTCCCGGGCAGCTGGGACTACAGGTGTGCGCCACCACTCCTGGCTAATTTCTCATTTTTTGTGGAGACTGGGCCTTGTTATGTTGCCCAGGCTGCCTCAGACTCCTCAGGCGATCCTCCTGCTCAGCCTCTGAAACTGCTGGGATGCAGGCATGAGCCGCCAACCTTAACGATACAGTTACGTTGTTAGTTCTTAACTTTGTAAACCTCAGACTTTATCTCCACCTCGAACCTTATAGAGAACTGCCAAGTTTATTGTCTGACTTGGATGCCTCATAGACATGACATATCAAGGATATTCCAACCCTAAAAAATAAGTCAAACACCAGAGGTGTGTGTGAAATGCGAAGCTCCCGCCCCTGACCTTCGGGGTCTGGGTGTTTGTCCTTCTCCCACCTTCTCTGTCTCTTCGCACTCACACAAATGTTCGCAGGGTGGATGCCTATGTACACTCCTTTTTTCATCTTCTTTTTCCACTTAATAAGATATCAAAAACATCGTCCCATGACTATACATGTAAATCGAATTCCAGTTTTAGGAGCTGTGTTGTATTCGGGGCTTTTTCACCCTTCCCTGTAGCTCCCCTTTTCCAGGCGGCTCACACACCTGCTGGGCAGGCCTGGGGTGAGTGTGGGTGGCAGCCGGGAGGGCCGGGCCTGGATCCACCCTCCCTCGACGGCGGGCGCCTCCCATCCTGTTTCCCGTTGAGCTTAGCCTCGTCCTGGGGTCCGAATCTCTCCTGGGGACACGGCCCTCTCTGCAGTGTGGCTCCGATGGCTTCCTCTCTCCTCCCCGCACCGCACACAGACACACCTGCCCACGTCTGAAATCCAGCTGAAGGCGTGGCTCAAGTTCATTCCCTGCAACGGCTCCTTGGACCTTGTGTAAATCGAAGGACGGACGTAGTGGGTGGGGCGGGGTGACTCCGTGGACCTGCCTGGCCTGCTACACCTGCGAGAGTCGGGAGACAGCTGTGCTCAGAACCTCCTGCGTGACCTCAGATGAAAATCTGTTTCCCTCTCTGGCCTTCCAGTGACAGGCAAAGGCTGGACGAGAGACTCTCTCGGGCCTGCCTGCGGTTTCCTCCCAGGCAGCTCGGGCTCAGTCCAGGCCTTGCAGCCTCGCAGTCCGCAGATGCCGCAGTGGCAGCAGCTGGGCTGGGAGCCGAAGCTCTCGCCTCTGTGCCTCTGGGACACAGCTCGATTGTGGTTATTTTAAAGCTGTGGCAGGTTTGCCGCCCAGTTCGCTTTGGCTCAGGCCGTAGTGAGTCTGTGCCCTCTGAGCGGGAGGAAGTCAGGGTGGGGGTGCTTCTGAGAGCCGCTGTGCCTGACATTTCCATGATGTCATGTGTCCCTCATGGCCCCCAGGAGATGGGCAGGCAAAAGGCAAGGCAGTGTTCATACTCGTTTTCCAGATGGAGACACTGACGCTCAGAGGGATGACTCCCTCTCGATGACACAGCCAGTGCCTTGCAATGACTCCTACGGCTCGGGTCAGAACTTTGCCTACAGGCCAGGCGTGGTCACAGCTCGGCTCAGGACTTTGCCTACAGGCCGGGCGCGGTGGGTCACACCTGTAATTCCAGGACTTTGGGAGGCCGAGGTAGGAGGATCACTGGAAGCCAGGAGTTTGAGACCAGCCCAGGCAATAAAGCGAGACCCTGTTTTAATAAAAAATGAAAAAAATTAGGTGGGCCTGGTTGTGCCCCTGCAGTCCCAGCTACTTGGGAGGCCAAGGCAGGAGGATCCCTTGAGCCCAGGAGTTTGAGACCAGCCCGGGCAACAAGGCAAAACCCCCTCTCTACAAAAAAATACAAAAATTAGCCAGGCACGGTGGTGCGCACCCATAATCTCAACTACTGGGGAGGCTGAGGTGGGAGGATTGCTTAAGCCTGGGAGGTTAAAGCTACAGTGAGCCGTGCTCCCGCCACTGCACTCTAGCCTAGGTGACAGCGTGAGACCCTGTCTCAAGAAAAAAAAGCCCAGAGAACTTTGCCTATGTACCTTTTAAGATGTAAAGAGATCTAAAGATGAGCAGGAGACCCCAAAGGAAGGTGATGTCTCGTCCCACTTTCGAATAAGGTGGCCGATGAAATGAGGTGGCCGACGGCTACGTGCCCACGATGCTGGGGAAGGGATTGCAGCCCCTATGGCGGAGCATCCAGAGTGAGAGGTAGCACCCAGCCCTGGGCCCCCCTGAGGCAGCGCCCCTACAGAGTGGGCCTGAGGCCTTGCCCTGGTCTGTCCCACCTTTGCATTGGCTAGACAATAGTTGGATACGTGGAGGAGTCACGGCCCAGCCTCACTGTGAGGCCAGCCCCTGCTAGAGTGGGTGAGAGATTCTGCAGGCCTAGGCTGTGGCAGCCCCTGCTAGAGTGGGTGAGAGCTTCTGCAGGTCTAGGCTGGGCCAGCCCCTGCTAGAGCGGGTGAGAGATTCTGCAGGCCTAGGCTGGGCCAGCCCCTGCTAGAGCGGGTAAGAGATTCTGCGGGCCTAGGCTGGGCCAGCCCCTGCTAGAGCGGGTGAGAGATTCTGCAGGCCTATGGGCCAGCCCCTGCTAGAGTGGGTGAGAGATTCTGCAGGTCTAGGCTGGGCCAGCCCCTGCTAGAGCGGGTGAGAGATTCTGCAGGTCTAGGCTGGGCCAGCCCCTTCTAGAGTGGGTGAGAGATTCTGCAGGTCTAGGCTGGGCCAGCCCCTGCTAGAGCGGGTGAGAGATTCTGCAGGCCTATGGGCCAGCCCCTGCTAGACCGGGTGAGAGATTCTGCAGGTCTAGGCTGGGCCAGCCCCTGCTAGAGCGGGTAAGAGATTCTGCAGGCCTAGGCTGGGCCAGCCCCTTCTAGAGTGGGTGAGAGATTCTGCAGGTCTAGGCTGGGCCAGCCCCTTCTAGAGTGGGTGAGAGATTCTGCAGGTCTAGGCTGGGCCAGCCCCTGCTAGAGCGGGTGAGAGATTCTGCAGGCCTATGGGCCAGCCCCTGCTAGACCGGGTGAGAGATTCTGCAGGTCTAGGCTGGGCCAGCCCCTGCTAGAGCGGGTAAGAGATTCTGCAGGCCTAGGCTGGGCCAGCCCCTTCTAGAGTGGGTGAGAGATTCTGCAGGCCTAGGCTGGGCCAGCCCCTTCTAGAGTGGGTGAGAGATTCTGCAGGCCTAGGCTGGGCCAGCCCCTGCTAGAGCGGGTGAGAGATTCTGCGGGCCTAGGCTGGGCCAGCCCCTGCTAGAGTGGGTGAGAGATTCTGCAGGCCTAGGCTGGGCCAGCCCCTTCTAGAGTGGGTGGGAGATTCTGCAGGCCTAGGCTGGGCCAGCCCCTGCTAGAGCGGGTGAGAGATTCTGCGGGCCTAGGCTGGGGTACCTGGGACACTGGTCAGGGCTGTCCTGCAGGGACTCCTTCTCCCCCGGGACACCTGCCCCCTAGGCTCAGTGGCCGTCTTCCCTGGGTCTGGTCAGTGTAGCCTCTGGCAGCAGGAAGAAGCATCGTTGGCAAATCCACTCAGCGGCCGTTGCCAAGCGCGGTAATTTTGTGCAGCCTCTCGTCCTCTGTTGTGGTAAATAACAGATAATGACATTTGCAGTCCGGCGCGGCCCCGTGCCGCACACCTCGTCGGCCGTGCCCTGCAAGCTGGCACACTTCGGGAGGCCTGCGATTCTTCACCGGCCTCCAGTCGCCCCTGTGCTTCCCGCTGGGACATTTCCCTGCAGCTGTTTGCTGTTCACGGACCTTAACTGGGGATGGACTTGGCCCGTCTTGTTCCCTGTGGGAGGACACGGGGGGCAGCTCTTCTGCTGATGGGGAAGCTGAGTGGAAAAGAGGGAGCGGGTTCATTTCCCCCAGGGTCCTTTTAGCCTGGGCCTCAACACTGAGAATCAGGCCCTCACCAGAGGCCCCTTTAGCCCTCTCCTTCCAGACTCTCCTCTTACCTTTGTCCTGCCTTCCGTGGGAGGGAGGGAGGGAGGGGTCTGCCCCAGGTTACAGATGGATAAACTGAGGCAGAGAAGGGTGAGACCCTTCTGCCCAGGAACCACATACAGGCTCAGACAGCAGCGGCATTCGGGCCCTGCAGGGAGTGAGGCCTGAGTACCTGGGTTGCCAACCCAGGGGAGGGGCTGCTGGGCCATTGCAGGGCCCCCACTGGGTTCCAGACTGTGGACGAGTCTCATTCGCTTTCCAGTGCATCCTCTACTCCTCTGCTTGTTCAAGTGCAGCTCCGATTAGGTCACTGTCCCCCTCCCTCCCCCCGAAGCCTTCAGTGGCTCCCTACTGCCAGCAGCATAAAGTCGAAAACACCCCCACGTGGTATCCGAGGCCCTCAGTTCATTCCCCGGCTGCAGCCTGCTGACTTGAGCAGCGTGAGTGAAATCCCCAGCTGGGATTTCTAAGGCCCAGGGCCAGGCCTGGCTCCCCCGGCCCCGACCTGCCGTCCCCCTCCTTGGAGCTCCGTTCTGTGCATAACCAGGGTCCCTAAGGGATCGCTAGTGTGCTGTTGCTGTTAGAATATTAAGAAATCCTACAATGTTTGTCTAGTCTGCTGTATTTTTCAGATAAAAGATAAGTTCCAATAACATGTATTTGCTGGCTGGGAGTTTTTTTTTTTTTTTGAGATAACATCTCCCTTTGTCACCCAGGCTGGAGCGCAGTGGCCTGATCTCGGCTCACTGCAACCTCCGCCTCCCGGGTTCAAGTGATTCTCCTGCCTCAGCCTCCCGAGTAGCTAGGGCTACAGGAGTGTGCCTCCATGCCTGGCTAATTTTTTTTTTTTTGTATTTTTAGTAGAGATGGGGTTTCGCTGTATTGACCAGGCTGGTCTCAAACTCCTGACCTCAAGTGATCTGCCCACTTCAGCCTCCCAAAATGCCAGGATTACAGGGGTGAGCCACCGTGCCCAGCCTGGCTTGGAGACTGTTGACTGTATCCCAGGCATGGGAACGAACACAGGGAAGGGAGAGGGTATTTTTACGGACTGACCTTTTAAGAGTTATGATAATCCTGGAACATCAGAGAGGCCGGTGCTCTACCCCTGAGATTGGGGTCGGGGGAGGGCTACTGAGGGGCCCCAGCACCCCACACTGAGCTGGTGGGGGCAGAGCTGGAGGACGTGGACGGTCTCCTGACTTTGGCTGGGTGGTCTGTGCTGACTCAGTTTCTGGTGGACCCTGGCACTGGGTCATGGAGGAGGAAATGTCAGGGTTCCTGAAGGATGTGTAGAAGTTTGCCAGGTGTGAGCCACAGGGCACGGAGGCAGAGAGGTGGCTAGAGGGTTGGGAGAGGACAGCAAAGTGTGGGGCTGGCGTGGTGGGCTTGGCAAGGCCGGTGGGGACAGGACTAGAGAGAGGTGGGGGCCAGGGAGGGAAGTTTGCATGTTCGTCCGTGTGTCATTTTCTTGCCTCTCTCCCCATCAGCTCGTGAAGCCTCCCTGTCCGCTGGCTAGTCCAGGGCCCGGGAGTAACGGGGACTTACAAGTGTTTGCGGAATGCCCTTGGCAACATCAGCCCTGACCTGTGACCAACCTTGCTCTTCACCAGATTCTAGGGAAGGGGATGGTGGAGAGAGGACCGAGGCTGCTGCCTCACCCTCCTGGGAGGTTTTAAGCCTTCCGGAAGCACAGGACTTCAGTGTCTTGGGCATCAGGCTCTGAAAATAGAGGAAAACACCAAGCAAAGTGGTTTTTCCTATTCTCTTACAGTTACTCAACACAGCACACTCCTGGGACCTCTGGTCACCAAGATGTGTGTGGATTTCTCCCACCCACGCCCGATCCGCAGCACATTCTCCAGTGGGCTGTGCTCAGTTCAGACGCTGTCTACCCGGAGGTAGCATCAGATCCCACAGGACGAGGGCTCGGTCCCAGGACTGTCCCCCGCCTCAGATGCCAGTCACACGTCCAGACCTCTGGAACTTCTGAGCAGCTGGCTGTGAATCGGGGTTCCCACAACCCATACTTTGGGTTCGATAATTTGCTAGAGTGGCTCACAGAACTCGCAGAGAAACACTTTGCTTATGTTGACTGGTTTATGACGAAGGATATTACAAAGTGCACAGATGAACAAGGCAGCCGCCAGATGGGAGAGGTGCCCTGGGTGGGGCATGTGGGGATAGGCGAGGGGCTGTTGGATCCCCTCTGGGGCCTCCCCTCAAGAACCTCCACGTGTTCAGCTATATCTGGAATCGCCCCAAGCCCCGACGTCTTGGGTTTTTGTGGAGTCTTCATCATGTTGGCTTGGAGAGGGTTGTGTTCCAGAGCTCCTGATGGAACTCTCCGCAGAGGGGTGGCTATGGATGCATGTTGATTTCCAGTCCTCACTCACCCCCTGGGGAAAATCGGTGTTACGGTTTGTCCTCACACAATGCCCCACGAGACCCAGCCTTGTCCCCTTGGATGCTTGAAGGGGATGATTCTGGAGACCCCCAAGAGGCCTCCTGAGCGGAGCTGGTGGGTTCCTTTTCCTTCTCCGGCAGGACGTTAGAGCAGCATTGATCCACGTTTCAAAACCCAGGCTCCCTTTTGATACACGTAGAACCCTTCCACACCCTTTTTTTCATATGTGACTTGAAGTTTCAAAACAATATTGTGTGTTTGAAAAAAGCGGGCGTGACGTTGAACAGCCCGTCTTTGGGCCCTGCGGGTTCTGACTGCCCCCACAGCCCCTCAGAGGTGAAGGTGCAACCGGTGGTGGCCATGGCGAGCCATCGGCGGAAACGAGCTCGTGAGGGACTCGCCTGGCCTCTGGGCTTGACATCCTGAATCTCATTACCAAGGTGGAGCTGGTCCAGGAGCTGCTCCTGGCTGTGTCCTCCAGCCCCGTGAGGACAGTTCCTCTGTCCCTCCCACACCGATGTGCATTCCCTCTGCCCGTTCATGTCTGCAGCTCCTCTGTCCCTCCCACACTGATGTGCATTCCCTCTGTCCATCCATTTCTGCAGCTCCTCTGTCCCTCCCACACTGATGTGCATTCCCTCTGTCCATCCATTTCTGCAGCTCCTCTGTCCCTCCCACACTGATGTGCATTCCCTCTGTCCATCCATTTCTGCAGCTCCTCTGTCCCTCCCACACTGATGTGCATTCCCTCTGTCCATCCATTTCTGCAGCTCCTCTGTCCCTCCCACACCGATGTGCATTCCCTCTGCCCGTTCATGTCTGCAGCTCCTCTGTCCCTCCCACACTGATGTGCATTCCCTCTGTCCATCCATTTCTGCAGCTCCTCTGTCCCTCCCACACTGATGTGTATTCCCTCTGCCCGTCCATTTCTGCAGCTCCTCTGTCCCTCCCACACTGAAGTGCATTCCCTCTGCCCGTCCATTTCTGCAGCTCCTCTGTCCCTCCCACACTGATGTGCATTCCCTCTGCTTTCCATTTCTGCAGCATCTGTGTCCCTCCCACACTGATGTGCATTCCCTCTGTCCATCCATTTCTGCAGCATCTCTGTCCCTCCCACACTGATGTGCATTCCCTCTGCTGTCCATTTCTGCAGCTCCTCTGTCCCTCCCACACTGATGTGCATTCCCTCTGCCCGTCCATTTCTGCAGCTCCTCTGTCCCTCCCACACTGATGTGCATTCCCTCTGCTTTCCATTTCTGCAGCATCTGTGTCCCTCCCACACTGATGTGCATTCCCTCTGTCCATCCATTTCTGCAGCATCTGTGTCCCTCCCACACTGATGTGCATTCCCTCTGCTGTCCATTTCTGCAGCTCCTCTGTCCCTCCCACACTGATGTGCATTCCCTCTGCCCATCCATTTCTGCAGCTCCTCTGTCCCTCCCACACTGATGTGCATTCCCTCTGCTTTCCATTTCTGCAGCATCTGTGTCCCTCCCACACTGATGTGCATTCCCTCTGTCCATCCATTTCTGCAGCTCCTCTGTCCCTCCCACACTGATGTGCATTCCCTCTGTCCATCCATTTCTGCAGCTCCTCTGTCCCTCCCACACTGATGTGCATTCCCTCTGCCCGTCCATTTCTGCAGCTCCTCTGTCCCTCCCACACTGATGTGCATTCCCTCTGCCCGTCCATTTCTGCAGCATCTCTGTCCCTCCCACACTGATGTGCATTCCCTCTGCTGTCCATTTCTGCAGCATCTGTGTCCCTCCCACACTGATGTGCATTCCCTCTGTCCATCCATTTCTGCAGCTCCTCTGTCCCTCCCACACTGATGTGCATTCCCTCTGTCCCTCCCACACTGATGTGCATTCCCTCTGCCCGTCCATTTCTGCAGCTCCTCTGTCCTTCCCACACTGATGTGCATTCCCTCTGCCCGTCCATTTCTGCAGCATCTCTGTCCCTCCCACACTGATGTGCATTCCCTCTGCTTTCCATTTCTACAGCATCTGTGTCCCTCCCACACTGATGTGCATTCCCTCTGTCCATCCATTTCTGCAGCATCTCTGTCCCTCCCACACTGATGTGCATTCCCTCTGCTGTCCATTTCTGCAGCATCTCTGTCCCTCCCACACTGATGTGCATTCCCTCTGTCCATCCATTTCTGCAGCTCCTCTGTCCCTCCCACACTGATGTGCATTCCCTCTGTCCCTCCCACACTGATGTGCATTCCCTCTGCCCGTCCATTTCTGCAGCTCTTCTGTCCTTCCCACACTGATGTGCATTCCCTCTGCCCGTCCATTTCTGCAGCATCTCTGTCCCTCCCACACTGTGTGCATTCCCTCTGCTGTCCATTTCTGCAGCATCTGTGTCCCTCCCACACTGATGTGCATTCCCTCTGTCCATCCATTTCTGCAGCTCCTCTGTCCCTCCCACACTGATGTGCATTCCCTCTGCCGTCCATTTCTGCACAGGTGTTCTTCAGTCCTGGTCAGACTTAATGCTGTGTCCACTCAGGTTGGCCTTTTTAAAATTCGAGTCTGGGTCTCACTCTGTCACCCAGGCTGCAGTGCTGTGGTGCAATCACAACTCACTGCAGCCTCGACCTTCTGAGCTCAAACGATTCTTCCAAGTAGCTGTGACTGCAGGTGTGCACCAGCATGCTCGGCTAATTTTTGTATTTTTTTTTTTGTAGAGACGGGGTCTTGCTATGTTGCCCAGGCTGGTCTTGATCACCTGGGCTCAAGTGGTCCATCCCATGCTGGCGTTTGTACGTCTCTTCATCCCATCAGCACTCCTCACACCTCACACCTCACACTGGGCTCGTACCTGGCACCACTGTGTCCTCCACAGATGCTGAATGAACTCAGGAACCCCTGGAGACCAAGCCCCACGTCCTGTGCTTTCCCCTTTGATTGAACATTATTAGATTTGCTGGGTTTTATTTTTATTTTATTTTTTTGAGACCGAGTCTTGCTCTGTCACCCAGGCTGTAATGCAGTGGTGCAATCTCAGCTCACTGCAACTTCCGACTTCTGGTTTCAAGCAGTTCTCCTACCTCAGCCACCAAGTAGCTGGGATTCCGGGTGAGTACCACCGCGCCCGGCTAATTTTTGTATTTTTAGTAGAGACGGGGTTTCGCCTTGTTGGCCAGGTTGGTGTTGAACTCCTGACCTCAGGCGATCCGCCCACCTCAGCCTCCCAAATTGCTGGGATTACAGGCGTGAGCCACCGCGCCCGACCAGATTTGCTGGTTTTTAAAAACCCTCCTCCCACCTTCTGATTTAGCCATCCCATCCACCCCTTGGCCGAAGCTCCTGTTGAGTGCACCGTGCTCCCATCACCGGTGCTGCACGGCCCTCAGCCCAGTTCTCGATGGCTCAAACCTCCTGTTTCCCGTGTCCTGCCGGAAAAGATGCAGAAACCTCTCTGGGACTGAGGGGATGCAGAGGTTAACCAGGACCGGGAAGGGGTTAACTGAGGCCCCTGGACCCCGCTGCCCCACCCCCGGAGCCCCGGCCCCCAGCCATCCTGGCGGCTTCATCTCGTCTGAATACCCCGATTTCCCTGAGACTGACACTCGCAGAGGCACGAGTGCAGAAATGATCCGAAGCCCCGTCCAAGTCATGATTTCTTATTATGTGCTCTGTGAATGTTAATAGTCAACAGCTGATGCTGTTGCCTTTTTTAACCCTCCTCTCCACTCGGGACGCAGTGGTAACTGCATGAGTGGCAGGCGGAGGGAGGAGGTGTTTGGTGTTTTGGAAGCCGAGCTTGAAAGCCACAGGAAATGATGGTGCTTGCTTTCAACTGGGAGAGGTGGCTGGGGGCTGGCACAGGCCTGAGGCTCGCAGGTGGTCCCCAGGCCATGTCAGAGGCTCTTCCGATGGAGGGGAAGGGCCTGCCGGAAGCCTTGGTAAAGAGAGGCGGCTCGGCCCTGAGTGGCTGGTTCCCCTGGGAGCCGCCAGCAGCCAGGATGGAGGACGTGGGGTGGGAAGTCCAGGGAGACTTGCCTTCCTCCTGAAATGTTTCTCCACTTGCCTCTGGCTTCTGTCTCAGACCCGGCAGCAGGTGGCTGGCATTAAGGCTGTGCCTCCTTGGGGCCTTCTGTGACTTGGTATTTGTGGGTAGTCGGGGTAAGGTCCAGGGCTCGGCGTGCTCCCAGCGCTGCTGGCCCCCGGGCTGTGTCCTAACGAATGGGAAGAGGGGCCTGGCTGTGCCCCTCCCACTTGAAGCTTGACCTCATCTGTCGTTCTGGAAGAGGAGAGGGCCCAGGGATCCAGCCTTGCCTTACCTCGGGGTGGGGAGGGTGAAGTTGGGTCCAGGCGGGAGGATGAGGGCCTGCAAGAGTGTGCTAGCCAGGCAGCCAGGCCCGGCTGGGGCAGCAGGAGCCCGGGACCGAGGCTCAGACTGAACAGGGTTCGCATCCCAGGTCCCCACGTCGAGCTGCTTAACCTCAAGTCTCAGATCCCTTGTGTAAAACAGGAACAGTCATACCCACCCCATAGGGCTGTTTTGAAAATTAAATGAGATTCTGCATAAAACAGCTAGCTTGGTGCCTAGTGTAAGCATAAGTACCCGAGAAAGTATATAAATATTTGTAATTATATACATCAATATCTGAACTGTCTATACGTTTAAAGTCATTTGGCAGCAGGGCCTGGGTTCCAGACAGCGTCTATAGCAACAGAGCTGTATCCAGCCTTTCCGCTGCTGGCCCACTGGGGCAGGTGATGCTTCTCCAAGCCTGGCGGATGGCACTTCAGGGGCTGAGCAGGGCTGAGCTTATGATCGGAGGGGCCGGTGACCCGGGGACACCATCTGGGACCCGCTGTGGGGGTGCACAGGCCTGATTACAATTGAGCCACAGTCAGCCACTGTGGCTGTCTCCTGCCTGTCTGCGTGGACACTTTCAGCTGCTTTAATCCATCCTGACCTGCAAAAATCCAGACCTGGTCAAAAAATGAAGTTGGGGCAAGTGACTTTCCAAAGCATTTAGCATAAGCTTCCTTTAAATAGGAATTCTGCTTATCCATTTAAAATAGATTTTGACTTTGCACAGTTTGATTTCCATTTGGGCTGATATCTTTCTAGATTGTCCTCTGTGTATATATAGACTCCTCCATAGATGTAGGCACATCTACATATTTACGTGGTGGAGCGCCCTGCTATGCAGACTGTTTCCAACGTGCTTTTTTTAACTTAACAGCTTATGGTGAATATTGCCCCACACAGCTTCGTTGTCATTTCGTCACTTTTCTATTTACATCATCATCGTCTTTGTTGCTGCAAAGCTCTCCCCTAAACCTAGTAAGATTTTCCCTTTTGAAGATTTGGTTTCTGGCATCAGGAGCACATTGTGTGGCATGAAACACACACGTGGAGGCTCTCATTATGCTGCTTTGTGCATGCACCGAGGCCATTCAGACGTAGCTATTTCTTATCCTATTTTATCGGGGCAGGGGGATGACCCCTCTGTAAGCACCGTCTGCAGCGCGGTTCCCAATGAGAAACCAGCTCACCTGCCGATTTCAACTCACTGGAACTCTCAGGAAAGTAATTTTCCAGATAAAAGATTGCTATTTTATTTTATTATTTTTTAAAATGAGATGGGGGGTGGGGGAGTCTCATTGTGTTGCCCAGGCTGGTCTTGAACTTCTGGCCTCAAGAAATCCCCCCACCTCGGCCTCCCAAAGCACTGGGATTGCAGGCAGGATCCACCGCACCTGGCCCTGAGTTTTGCTAATGGATAAACTACTCCGTTCAATGGGACACTCTTTGAGGACAAAGGGCCGTGTCTTGTTTGTTTTCGGCATTCTTAGAATAATGCCTTCCCTACAGTATAGAAAACATGTTTGTGAATTGAAGCTCCACACGTTTAAACCAGCCATCTTCAGTGTTCATCTCCACAGCACAGCGTACGTTTTCCAGGCCTCCTTGTACGCAACGTTTGAGGGCAGTTTCACCCGTTTCGGTCGAGTGAGGCTCATGAACAGCCCTCTCTGTGCCATGGATGGTCCAGGCCTCCTTGTACAGGACGTTTGAGCGCAGTTTCACCCTTTTCGGTCGAGTGAGGCTCATGAACAGCCCTCTCTGTGCCATGGATGGTGACGCTGTGAAGCTGTCCCGGCCCGTCCAGGAGTGTGAGGCTGCCAGTGACTGACTCCAGACCGCGGGTGCTGTGAGATGGCGGCGTCTGCTTTCAGAGCAGTTTCCTTCCCTCCCCCTACATTGGCACTAAGCCCCTTCCCGTCTTCTGATCTGCGGGAGCGTGGTGGAATTCCTCATCATGAAATGGATCGGTGAGGACTCAAAGGCCAGCCTGGGCATGAAGTACCTGAACTTTGGAGTGGCCCAGCAGAACCTTCTGTCGCATTGTGACTCTTGGGTGCCATCTGGGAAGGAGAAGGGGTGGGACGGGGAGTCGCAGGAAGCAGAAATGTCACTGAAGTGGCCCTGGATAAGAAGGACATTGAGGAAGGTGCCTGATCAGGCCTTGGGACGGGTCTGCACACATAGGCGGCCGCGGCACGCACCCCGGGGGAGGCAGGCAGGAGCCGTCATGGGAATGGTCTGGTAAACATCCCCGCTTCCCACCCTCAGTGAAGGATTCCCGGAGTCATTTCCCCTGTGGCCGGGCCAGCCTGGGTTTATGCTCCATACCCTGAGACTGAGGCCCACCTGGCCACCACCCCACCTCCTCGGACACTTGCCCGCTGTGTGGCTCTCCCTGGTTTGGCCTCCCACAATCCTGCTGGTCAGCATCACTCAATGTGGACGTGATTGGACCCTGCCTCGTGTCGCTGAGCGAGTGCCTTCACGCCTCCGTGCAGCTTGTCTTCCCGGCAGGTCGGCATGTTCCGGGAGGGAGCCTGTCTTGCTTTTTCAACTGTAATATCTTAAGTAGCTTCCATTTGTTCAATCCGTTCTTCTGCAAATAGTCACTGTGCCGGGCACAGGGAGCAGGAGGGTGAACAGAAATAGACGTGGCCTCTGCCCTTGGGAAGATGACGGCCCAGCAGGGGAAGTCACAGGAGCCCTGCAGCCACACAGCGGAGGGTAAAATCACAACCTTGACAGCGGAGAAGAGGCAGGAGCCCATTCTGGAGGCTCTCATTGTGGAAGGAGTGTTGCGGAAGTCTTCCTTGAAGATGTGGTGCTTTTGCTGAGGTCCGAGGGGTGTGTAGGTTAATGAAGAGACAGCGTGGCCACACAGAGGGGGCAACACGTGCAAAGGTCCTGTGGCAGAAGGACCAGGGGCTGACAAACGGCCCACACGGCTGGAGCTCAGAGGGTCGGGGCTGAGGAAGTAGAGCAGGAGGCAGGGCCGGCCCGAATGCCGTATGAAGTGAGGCGGTGGTCACCCCAGAGCAGCGGGAAGCCTCTGATGGCTTTTAAGTTGGGAGGGATGGGAGAGGTGACATGATTAGATTTGCCTCTTGAGAAAATCGGCCTGGCTGCCATGTCGGGAACCAGCTGGAGGACAGCGCGGTGGGGTAGAGAGATCTGCTGGGCGGCCTTGGTGTGGGCGTGGGCGGTGGCAGCAGAGATCAGGGACGGGGCTGAAGGGGAATTGAGAGGTTGGAGAGAGATTTGAGTTCTTGGAGATGGATTATCTGGGCAGGAAGGAGGGACGATGGGGGCCCAGGATGAGTGCTGGGTTGTGGCTTGTGTGACTGATGGATGCTGGCTGCCTTCACTGAGACAGGCATGGCTATAAAGGTCTGAGGTTGCCGCCTACCTAACCTTTTATGGTGCTGAGCACTTTCATGACCGTCTCCCTTGATCCCCTCATCTGCAACCTGGGGTGTGGGGGGGCCTGTTACCACCAACTTACAGATGAGGAAGTGAGGCTCAGAAGGCGAGTACCGAGTCCAAGTTCACCTCTAAACGGCACACCCTGCTCTCTCCTGCCCCAAAGCCTGTGTCCCGTGGGCAGGTCCCTGGGGAACCCCCTCCCCTGTGTTCTTGGGGGTAGAGAGAATATACATTTCTTTGCAAAAGAAGCACATGGAGGGACTGAGACAGGAGTGGGGAGAGAGGGTGCGAGGTCTGACGGCCGGGAGAGAGGGAGTGAGGTCTGACGGTGGAGAGAGAGGGAGTGAGGTCTGACGGTGGAGAGAGAGGGTGCGAGGTCTGACGGTGGAGAGAGGGTGCGAGGTCTGACGGTGGAGAGAGGGTGCGAGGTCTGACGGTGGAGAGAGGGTGCGAGGTCTGACGGTGGAGAGAGGGTGCGAGGTCTGACGGTGGAGAGAGAGGGTGCGAGGTCTGACGGTGGAGAGAGAGGGTGCGAGGTCTGACGGTGGAGAGAGAGGGTGCGAGGTCTGACGGTGGAGAGAGAGGGTGCGAGGTCTGACGGTGGAGAGAGAGGGTGCGAGGTCTGACGGTGGAGAGAGGGTGTGAGGTCTGACGGTGGAGAGAGAGGGTGCGAGGTCTGACGGTGGAGAGAGAGGGTGCGAGGTCTGACGGTGGAGAGAGAGGGTGCGAGGTCTGACGGTGGAGAGAGGGTGTGAGGTCTGACGGTGGAGAGAGGGTGCGAGGTCTGACGGTGGAGAGAGAGGGTGCGAGGTCTGACGGTGGAGAGAGGGTGTGAGGTCTGACGGTGGAGAGAGGGTGCGAGGTCTGACGGTGGAGAGAGGGAGTGAGGTCTGACGGTGGAGAGAGAGGGAGTGAGGTCTGACGGTGGAGAGAGGGTGTGAGGTCTGACGGTGGAGAGAGGGTGTGAGGTCTGACGGTGGAGAGAGGGTGTGAGGCCTGACGGTGGAGAGAGAGGGTGCGAGGTCTGACGGTGGAGAGAGGGTGCGAGGTCTGACGGTGGAGAGAGGGAGTGAGGTCTGACGGTGGAGAGAGGGAGTGAGGTCTGACGGTGGAGAGAGGGTGTGAGGTCTGACGGTGGAGAGAGAGGGTGCGAGGTCTGACGGTGGAGAGACGGAGTGAGGTCTGACGGTGGAGAGAGGGAGTGAGGTCTGACGGTGGAGAGAGGGTGTGAGGTCTGACGGTGGAGAGAGAGGGTGCGAGGTCTGACGGTGGAGAGAGGGTGGGAGGTCTGACGGTGGAGAGAGAGAGTGAGGTCTGACGGTGGAGAGAGAGTGTGAGCTCTGTCGGTGGAGAGAGAGTGTGAGGTCTGTCGGTGGAGAGAGGGAGTGAGGTCTGACGGTGGAGAGAGAGTGTGAGGTCTGACGGTGGAGAGAGAGCGTGCGAGGTCTGTCGGTGGAGAGAGAGTGCGAGGTCTGTCGGTGGAGAGAGAGGGTGCGAGGTCTGTCGGTGGAGAGAGAGGGTGCGAGGTCTGACGGTGGAGAGAGAGGGTGCGAGCTCTGACGGTGGAGAGAGAGGGTGCGAGGTCTGACGGTGGAGAGAGGGTGTGAGGTCTGACGGTGGAGAGAGGGTGTGAGGTCTGACGGTGGAGAGAGGGTGCGAGGTCTGACGGTGGAGAGAGGGTGCGAGGTCTGACGGTGGAGAGAGGGAGTGAGGTCTGACGGTGGAGAGAGAGGGAGTGAGGTCTGACGGTGGAGAGAGGGTGTGAGGTCTGACGGTGGAGAGAGGGTGTGAGGTCTGACGGTGGAGAGAGGGTGCGAGGTCTGACGGTGGAGAGAGGGAGTGAGGTCTGACGGTGGAGAGAGAGGGAGTGAGGTCTGACGGTGGAGAGAGGGTGTGAGGTCTGACGGTGGAGAGAGGGTGTGAGGTCTGACGGTGGAGAGAGGGTGTGAGGTCTGACGGTGGAGAGAGAGGGTGCGAGGTCTGTCGGTGGAGAGAGAGGGTGCGAGGTCTGACGGTGGAGAGAGAGGGTGCGAGGTCTGACGGTGGAGAGAGAGGGTGCGAGGTCTGACGGTGGAGAGAGGGTGTGAGGTCTGACGGTGGAGAGAGGGTGTGAGGTCTGACGGTGGAGAGAGGGTGCGAGGTCTGACGGTGGAGAGAGGGAGTGAGGTCTGACGGTGGAGAGAGAGGGAGTGAGGTCTGACGGTGGAGAGAGGGTGTGAGGTCTGACGGTGGAGAGAGGGTGTGAGGTCTGACGGTGGAGAGAGGGTGCGAGGTCTGACGGTGGAGAGAGAGGGTGCGAGGTCTGACGGTGGAGAGAGAGGGTGCGAGGTCTGAAAGCCTGGAGTTGTGTGGCTTCTGCCCTGGGTTAGGCCCAGAAGCTTCATCGTTTAACACCCGGACGCAGTTCCAGGCTGCAGGGTGCATGAGGCAGCCAAGCCCGGGAAGCCAGGACTCGCTTGCCCTGGGCAAATCCACTCCGAGGAAGCCCATCTCAGGCAGGGAAGTGAGTGGCCACCCCTGGGCCCCGGGACTGTCCTAGACACAGATCGTGAAGGGCTGTGTTTGCACCAAGGTGATGTAGAGGCTGGCTTGCTCGCTGTCGCATGGGTTTTCAAAAATACCACCTGTTTCGTTTTCTTTATTGGAACCTGGGAACAAAGACCGAGCCCATTGGAAGAGGCCCATGACTGCCTTATTGATCTGAGATTTACGAAAGCAGCAATTATGTGTTATTTGAGTGGGAGCGTGTCGTCTTTCCGTAGCCCTCGCCTCTTAGGAACGCCCCCTGCCCCCTGCCAGCCAGAGACACTGAAGCAGCAGGGGGATGGCTGAGGTGGAGAACTGACCCCAGGTGCCGCCAGCGTTGGTTGGTAGCGGGAAAACAGGCTGCCCGAGGCGCGATCTGGGGAGCAGGAAGCACCAGACCCTAAGGGGAAGGCAGAGGTTCGTGGGCCCAGCAGGGACAGCCCTTCACCCAACCTCTGGAGGGCGACTGGTCCACGCTGCTCCTGTCCCCAGATCCGTTGGCTCCGCGTCCTCGTGGTCTGTGAGTAGAGGACAGGACTCAGTTCCGTGGACACTCTCCTGGCTTCTCTCCCTGCCCCCACGGCACTGTTTCATCAGTGAGACACGTGCACATTTGTCCCTCAAACCCCCCCACAGGGCAGCCGAGCACCCCCCCAGCAGTGGCGGGGGGACATCGGAGCAAGTGTTGAGGGCATCCCGGGGTGCACAGTGGGGCCTGGGCCCCACCCTGTTCATCCGTGTCCTGTCACGCCAGGCCTGTGCCCCTCACGGGTGCTCAGCGGGTGATGGTAACGTGGATTAGTGAATCGCAGGGGAGGTGAGCGCTAGACGGGATGGGGGTGGAGATAGAGCCGCGCTGAGGGGCAGGCACATGAGTGCATCAGTCGGGTTGATTGGAAGCTGTAGGGGAGCAGGGGAGCAGGCTGTTGGCAGGTTGAGTGGGGAGACTGAGGGCAGGGTCCTCTGGCCGAGCGCCGTCCTGCAGAACCTCACGGTGAGGATGAAAATGTATTTCTCTGCTGTCCCTTGCGGTAGCCACCGGCCACGTGAGGCCACGGAGTACCTGAAATGGGGTCAGTGTGACCTCAGAGCTGTTTTTCATTTTATTCCATCACAATCAGTTTGCACTTAAATAGCCACCTGCAGCTGGTGGCTACCGTATTAGATCGTGTGGGACTAGAGGAAAACCACGCCGGGCTGCAGAACACGGTACGAGGGGCTGCACTAACCGCAGCTGGCATTTATCGAGTCGCTATTACGTGCTGGTTGCTTTTCCTGTGTCTCAGTTGATCCTCAAAACAACCCAAGGGTGTAAGTATTATCCCACTTTACAGCTGAGAACGTCTGAGGTTTAGAGAGGCTTTGGGTGACTTGCCCGGGAGCCCACCCAGGTCTGCCATCCCCAAACCTGTGCGCCGTGCCGTGCGGCCTCTGAAGGAGCCGAGAGTCACGTCTCAGGAACAGGATCTGGTGATAGCGCAGGATGGCGTGAGGTGCAGGCTCAGGGGGACCGAGGGCTCTAGACGACTCCAGGGCTGAGAGACACGACGATGCTCCCATTTCTAGGGCTCCCGAGTACAAAAGCAGAGAGAGGATCCCAGTCCTGGTCGGGCGCTGCTGTGGACTGAATGTTTATATCACCCCAAAATACCTACGTTGAAGCCGTCACGCAGATGTGATATTTGGAGATGGGGGCTTTGGGAGGGATCAGATGAGGTCCTGAGGGTGGGACCCTGGGGATGGGATTGGCGTCCTTATCAGAGGAGGAGGCCAGACCTCACTCTACTGTGGGAGGGTACAGCAAGAAGCTGCCGTCTGTACGCCAGGAAGAGCCCTCCCCAGAACCTGACCGTGTGGGCACCCCGACCGGGGCCGTCAGGCCTCTGCAGCTGTGATAAACATGCTTCTGTTGTTTCAGCCACTCAGTCTATGGTATTTTTGTTACAGCAGCCTAAGCTGACTACGATGGGGCAGAGGCTGTCCTCTCCCCCTTGGCTGTGTGCATAGGGGAAGGCGGCCCCCGGGGGAGAGGCCAGGCTGCGAGGGCACCTGTGGGGTGCAATGGAGAGGCTGCCGGGCCTCCTGCTGACAGCTGGAAACCTCTCCCCTCCCCACTGGGAGAGCATGGAGGGCAGGGCCAGACTGTCCAGCCTGGGCCGTTGCTCCTAGAGTCAGCATCAGGCCACACTCACGACCCCAGCAAAGCTTTGTCCCAGGGTCGGCCCCTGGCACCTTCTCTGCCCATTGTTTTGAGAGCCATCAGCCACGTCCCCAGGGACCCGCCTGAGCAGAAGCAGCTCTCTAGAGAGCCGTGCGCACCAGCCTGGCACCAGGGCAGGGGAGGGTGTGACCGACCCTCCTGAGGTCTGAACAAAAATTCTGCTTTACCGTGAACGAGCTGTGTGACCTCGGGCAGCCCGAGTCATCTCTGAGCCTTTGTTCCTTCATCTATATAGTGGGGATCATAACACCTGCCTCCTTCATACTCTGGCCCGGTCCGATAACTGCTCACTAACTGCGCTGTGGGTGTTTGATTCCCTCCTGTTCCCGCAGCATCGCCTCGTTCAGCAGCCTATGCAGGGCAGGGCACTCTGCATGTTTATAAGGTGAGCTGCCCTCAACCGATGCGTGTGTAGAGTGCAGAAGGGAGAGCTCACGTCTCTGAGGGCCACACTTGTTTCCACCTGTTACAGTGTACACAGGGATGGTGGGAATTCGCAAGGAAAACAGAGCTAAGTAGCATCAGTGCTTCCTCTCCCCTTTACCCAGAGAGGAGAGGCCCACGTTGTGGTTCTGGAGCCCACCTCATAGGCTGATGGGGGACCCTGTTGTAGAGGTGGGAACATTAGGAGCGAAGGGTGGAAGAGGTGGAGAGAGGCTGCTCTCTTGGGGAAGGGGAGAGTCACCAGTCTCTGTGAGGGATGGTGGCCTAGGGTTCCAGGGAGACAGGCTACTGGTCCTTGGAAGGGCTGAAGCCCAGCCTAGCAATGATCCCAAACCCAGGACTGGCACAGATATGACCACATGCTCCCACTCCCTCTCATGGGGTCATGAGAGCTTGGGAAGCAAGAAGGCCAGCAGTGAGGAGTGTGGACGGCGCTCAGGGGACCCTCTGCAGATCTGGGCCATCAAACACCCCAAGCCTAGGACCTTCATGAGAGCTGGAAAGGGGCCCCAAGTGTGGCTGAGGCTTGGGCAGATTTTCCTGCCAATCCAGAGGGACAGGAGCTTGGAGCAGATTGCATTTTCTTTGGATAAATAAAAGGTGACATTTCTCGTACCTGAGCATTGGATGGTAGCAAATCCGTCCCCCGCAGGAATGTATCATAGCTTCCGTCCCCCGTGAGTTTGCTCCCCCACCCCAGGGGCACTGAGCTCGGCCACCCGATCAGGCCAGTGACCTCCACACGCTCGACACGCTCGACGTGGAAGCCAAGTTGGTGACATTTTCCCTCTCCATGGAGAGACGTGCTCCTTGCTGAGTTGGCAGCCTGCAGAAAAGGCCAAGCAACAGATGCAACCTTCCCTCGGCGGGGGGCTGCAGAGAGCCCCCACCCACGCAGGGACCGGGTGGCTTCCGTGTGGCAGAAAGATGGATGAGCTGGGGCAACAGTCCTGAGGAGTCGCCAGCGATCGCTGAATCAGACTCTGCCTGGGTTAGCCTGGAGCCGGTCTCAGCCCCAACACATCCACCTCTGCCTCCCAGCTTGCTTCTTCTGGCCTTGTTGCTGTGCCTTCAGGGGAAGCAACGTAAGAACTGTCCTGCATCACATAATGACGTTTCGGCCAGCAAATGTCCCACACCATTATAATACCACATTCTTACTGTACCATTTCTATGATATATTTAGATACAGGAATACTTTCCGCTGTGTCACAGTTGCCTGCAGCCTTCGGTACAGTAACATGTCGTTCAGGTTTGTGGCCTAGCAGCCACAGAATACAGCAGCTAGCCTGGGTGTGCAGCCGGCTATACCATCTTGGTTTGCGTAAGTGTGCTCTATGTGCTGTTTGCACAATGATGCAATCACCTCACTGTGCCTTTTCTCAGGACATATTCTTGTTTTTAAGCAACAGTAATTGTATTTATAAGTTATGAGCTTAATCAACCTTGCTTAAAGCAAAGCCCCTTTCCAGTTCTCATGAAGCTCCCAGGCGTGGGGTCTTCGATGGCCCAGCACATCAGCAGACTGTAGGTTCTAGATTCTGGTTATTTCTGCGTCCAGAGAACATGATAAACTGTCTCTGGAGTCCGACCGGAATCCGTGGCTGCCATGTGAACCTGAGCATATCCTCAGACTCTGCCAAGCCCCGGGTTCCTCACCTATAACGTGGGCCCAAAGTTTACGTAACTGTCACGTTGTTACCAGCATTTCTCACGATTGTGTCTTCTGACCTGTCGGACACGCAGGCCAGTTTCGGGTTATACGCAAACGTATGTTTCTTTGTTGAATCGCATTATTTCCAGGCAGCACCGCCGTCGGCTGTGTGAAGGCCAGATCACGTGCTGTCGTGTTTGCCTGGACCCTCCCCTGGCATTGGGCGTCTGTGTTGTTTCCAGTTCTTTGCTATCAAACGTGACGCAGCTGTGAATGTCAGCAAGCTTTGCTGTGGTTCCAACAGAACCTAACTCTGGGGTGGGGGTTCCGTGGATGGGGCCATCCATTACGTCCAAAGCCAACTAAGGATTTTTAGATGAGCTGTGCCTCTGGGGTGATTGATTCCTTCTATCCTGAAGCAAGAGACGCTCCTTGGAAGATGCTAAGTGTCCCTTCGTTACAGTTGTCTGAGCCCCTCGGCGGAGGAGGAAGCGGCTGCAATCTTTACAACCCCATGTCCTCTCTCTTGTAGAAAGTCTGCACCAAATGTGGGATCGAGGCCTCCCCTGGCCAGAAGCGGCCCCTGTGGCTGTGTAAGATCTGCAGTGAGCAAAGAGAGGTAGGGCGTCCAGGGTGACGGTGGGGAGGGCTGAGTGGGCTGGATATGCCCTCAGATGGGGATGGGTGGACGGTCAGGGTGACGGTGGGGAGGGCTGGGCGGGCTGGATACGCTCTCAGATGGGGATGGGTGGACAGTCACTGGGAGGGGTTTCTCCAGAAGTCAAGGAAGAACTGACCACTCGGCGGAGAAAAGCACGGAGGGACAGCCTGTGGCCACTTCCCCTATGCAGGGGTGGCAGGTTCTACACGTGGGAGAGTCCGAGGTTTCGGTGGGAAGCCCCTCGCACTGTGAGTGTGAGAGCATGTGGTGTTTGTGGGGGCTGTTATTATGGTAACAGTAGTAGCTACCCAGGGTGAACGCTGACTGTGTGCCTGGCACTGCCATAAGTTCCTTGCATGTATGAATTCATTTCATCCCTGCACAACCCCAGTGGTGCTATTCTTATCCCCTTTTCCTGATGGGGAAATAAAGACACAAGAGGTTAAATAACCTGCAAGCACAGAGCCAGTTAGTGGGGGAGCTGGAAACCAAACTCAGCCGTTGTCTGCTGTCACGATGCCACCCAACGCCCCTTCTGCTGCTACAGTTCTATGGTTCTAGTTCCAACCCCATTTGAGGGAAGGAAGTCGAGGCTCAGCAAGGACTCTGGGGAGTAGCAGATGGGCAGGGACAGTCAGAACCTCCCTGTGCCAGGTCGGATTGGAGCCAAAACAGCAGGACGTGGCAGGTAGCTTCTGGGAAGTGCCCTGGGGAGGCAGGGCTGGGACAGAATGTGAGGGGCGAGGAGGCGTGCAGCTGGTCTTCCAGATCAGGATTTATTACTTTTTAAATCTTGCTTGTCACATCCGAGGATCCACAAAACACCTTCAATTCTGGAAAATTCTCAGCCATGATGTCTTTGAATATTGCTCCTCTGCCATTCCTTCTCTCCTCTCTGGAAATCCCGCTGGATACATTTCAGAGCTCCTCAACCATCCCCCACAGCTCCCAACTGCTCTTTCTTGTTTATTTCTTTATCTTTCTGTGGTCCTTTCTGGGTGAATTCTTCAGTACTGCCTTCCAAGTCACTAAGTCTTTCCTTGAGATCAATTCCCCATTGGTTTCGTGGGTTGTCTTTCTTAGGGTTAGTTTTCCTTGGAAGTTTTGGAATTTTGGTTTGTGCGCTCATCCTGTGTGATAATAGTCCGTTTCTCTCTGTTTCCCACCCGGCTCTTCTAGCTGAATAGTTTTGCAGCTGCCTCCCGCTGGGTCTGGGGTTGCCCAGTGCTGAGCCAGGCATCCTGGGTTTGTGGCGAGCTGCTCATCCATGGTGATACTGGGATTATTCCCAGACCCTCATCCCAGCCGTGACAGCTTGGCCAGGCCCTGCTGCTGCTGGGCTTGCTTTCCTCTGAGCTCATTTCCTTATGTATGTTATAGTCCCGGGGCAGGTCCCTGCTGTTTTCAGCCTCCTTTCCCAGGTGGAAAATCCCCTCAACAGCCTGATTTTAGTGACTCTGCTCTGGTCCCCCACCTCCCAAGGGTCACTTTTAGTCCCTGAACCCTGGAAGACCAATCTCCCAGCTGCCTCTGTCTGCTTCGGAGCCCAGAGCTCAGCAAGCGGCTGTGCCTTCACCCCTCAAAATGGCAAATACTTTGAATTTATGATCCATGGAGATATAGATCTTGTTTTTGCGCACATTTCCTTGCTGCTGTTGTTGTGAAAGTATTTTCCTCTATCACTTCCGTGTCTTTGGAACAGGAAAAGCTGCAGGCAGGGCCTCACAGTGTGTGCTAGCATTCTGTCTTGCTGGAAGTCCCTGACTCCTCATCCCCAGATGGAGTTAATAATGTCTGCTCCACAGTTGCTGCGAGAATTCAGTAAGACTGTTGAAGTGGGCAAAACCTCCAGCATAGATATTCCATAACTATCAGAGGCCTCCCTTCCTCTTCAGCCAGAAATCTCCCCTTTGAACCTGAGGTCCTTCTAATCTTCAGGGGACCCCTTTGACAATGCACATGTCCATGGAAGAGGAAATTCCTTAAAACATCGTCTGTGGGGAGACACTTTGTGGGATGAAAAGATGGTCACAGCTGAGCTGTGGGAGGGCAGAAGTGAGGGATCTTTGAAGGAAAAGAAAGTGAATGGAAGGAAAGACAAATTTAGCAAGTTTAATAATTTAGTTGAGGGTTTCCCCATCCCCCTCATGAGTCACCCTCACACTCCGTAACAGTCTTGAGCTACCACCAGCCTGTCTTAATCTCCAGAGGGCTCCAGTGCCCAGAAAAGTCCGAAATAGCTTAGGATGAATTTTCTTATCTTTCCTAAGGCAGAGAATATGAGGCTGTGCATTACGCTATTACTTTGCCCTTGAATTTTTAGAGGCTGATAAAACTTAGCCTCTAAAAGATCAAGGATATTCCCTCTCTGCAGCACCAGGCATATGGTGCACGGTTAGCAGGAATGGATGGGGCTGGGAACATGTTCATGGTATATGAGCCTGGGTACCTGTGGGTACCAGAACCATGTGCTGGATTTTTCTGCCTGCTTGTGGGGTGTGGGAAGGCTGGCGTAATTGGTTTCCTAATGCCCTTTCTTCTTAGAAAAATGTCTAATCATAATGAAGAGATAACTAACTAGAAAGGCCGTTTAAAATGTCAGATTTTAAGCTGGTTCTGAGTCTGTGATGAAAATTTGGAGTTATGTCTCCCCGCAAAAGCCAAATCCTAATGGAAGAACTTGGGTTTTCTGATGAAAACTCTTGGAGCATTCTGCCCAAGGCCTCTTATCTTCCTTTCCTTTCGTGCTTCACTTCCATCATCTCTGGCTGTAATTGTAAGTATTTTTTCTGGAGCGAGTTGAGTGCTGGTGAGATGTTCCTGGGGCTGTCAGGGTGGTGTTGCTGCCTGTGTTATGCCCTTTCACCAGGCGGCAGTGTGAGCCTCAGCCCATCTGCTTTGGGAGCCTGCAGTCAAATGCGTTTATTCATGTAGGCAGCTGACACATTTATTGAGCACCTCCTATGTGCCAGGCAAAATAGCTCTTCCAATGGGAGAGGGAGACCACAAACCCAGTAAATTCTGCAGTGTCACAGACGGTGATCAAGTCCTTAGGGCAAAGGGAGAAGGGGTGCTGGGGACACTGGGGCAGTTGCTGGTTTATATGGGGATAAGAGAGGGGCCCACCGACAAAATGACTTTTGAATGGAGATCTGAAGCATCTTCTGTGGCTATGTGGAGGGAAAGCATTCCAAGTAGGGGTGCAAAGCAGCAGGTGCAAAGGCCCCGAGGCAGATGTGTGTGCTTGGTAGATCTGAGGCACAGCGAGGAGACCAGTGTGACTTGAGTTAAGTTGGGGCTGGGGAGAGGTTGTCAGATGTATTAGTCTGTTCTCATGCTGCTAATAAACACATACCTGAGACTGGGTACTAAAGGGAAGAGGCTTGATGGACTCACGGTTCCACATGGCTGGGGAGGCCTCACAATCACGGCGGAAGGCGAAAGGCACGTCTTACATGGCGGCAGGCAAAGAAAGAATGAGACCAAGTGAAAGGAGTTTCTTCTTATAAAACCATCAGATCTCGTGAGACTCATTCACTATCACGAGAACAGTATGGAGGGAACCGCCCCCATGATTCAATTACCTCCCACTGGGTCCCTCCCACAACACTTGGGAATTATGGGAGCTGCAGTTCAAGATGAGATTTGGGTGGGGACACAGCCAAACTGTATCATCAGAGTTACGATAGAGTGGGTCAGACCATGTTGGTGCTTAGAGACCTTTGTAAGGACTTAGGGTTTCGGGGTTTTTTTTATTTGTTTTGTTTTTTTGAGACAGGATCTCACTGTGTCACCCAGGCTGTAGGGCAGTGCCACGATCTCAGCTCACTGCAACCTCTGCCTTCAGGGCTCAAACAACCCTCCCCCCTCAGCCTCCCGAATAGCTGGGACTACAGGCTGTACCACCACGCCCAGCTAATTTTTTGCATTTTTGTAGAGACGGGGTTTTGCCATGTTGCCCAGGCTGGTCTCAAACTCCTGAGCTCAAGCAAATCCACCTGCCCCAGTCTCCCAACGTGCTGAGATTACAGGCGTGAGCCACTACACCTGGCCAAGACTTTGGTTTTATATTCAGTAAAATGAGGCGCCCTTGGAGGGTCTTGAGTAAAGCGGAGACAGAATCCGATCTCCCCCTCTTTTAAAGGGTACTCTGTCTGCTGTGCTGAGGATAAACTGTAGACTATCTCAAAGCCAGTAGCATAGTATTTTATTTTTCTTATTTAATATTGCCCAGATATTTAAGTTCTTATCTGTTGTTACCTTTGGAAGTTTTCATTTTTTAACATCTACTCTCTACATTTTACTCTTTTCTGATTATAAAATTAATATGGATCATTGAGGAACATTTACAATTATAGACAAGCATAAATAAATAAACACCTTCCAAAAATCCAGAATCAGAGACAACCACTGTTAATATTTAGTATATTCCAACCATTTTTCTGTGTCTTTTTTCTTTATATTATTGAACCTGTGTTTTAAAATGAATATCTTAAGTCTTTTCCGGTGTAATCAAGAACTCTTTGTAAACATTCTGTCATATAGATATTCTCCTAATTGAGGACATTTAAATTGTTTTCATTTCTTTCTCTTATTACTGTGTGCATAGCTCTCTGTCTACATTTTAGATTCTATCCTTAGAATGGATTTCTAGGAGGAAAATCAATGATTATTTTCTTGTAGACTCTTGAGTTATTTTATTTTTCTAATAATTAGCTGGTCTGTAATTTTATGTAATTAAAAAAATAAGGGTGCATGGATGATACATTTTCTGAGTCCTTGGCTCTCTGAGAATTTTTGCCTTTATACAAAAAAGACCACTTTACAGATAATGCAATTAATCCTGATCTTTCCCACTCAAAATTCTGTGGATTCTACCCCTGTTGTCCACCAGCCACATTAAGAAAAGAGGGAGAAATGGAAAATATAACAGCTTGGAGAATTGGTACCCAGAAAATGAGAGCGAATAGTGAAATGGTGAAAGAGATGATAATGTGTTTTTTAAAAATTAATTAATTAAAAGATATAAGAGAGGCCAGGTACAGTGGCTCACACCTGTAATCCCGACATTTTGGGAAGCTGAGGCAGGAGGATTGCTTGAGCCTAGGAGTTTGAGACCAGCCTGGGAGATATGGCAAGACTTTTTCTCTGCAAAAAAATACAAAAATTAGCTGGGCATCGTGGTGAGCGCCTGCAGTCCCAGCTTCCTGGGAGGTTGAGGCGGGAGGATCACTTCTGCCCGGGGGGTGGAGGTGGCAGTGGGCTGAGATCGTGCCACTGCACTCCAGCCTTAGTGAGAAAGGCTCACTGAGGTCTTTAGAGCAAGGCCCTGTCTCTAAAATAAAACAAAAGATCTAAGAGAAGGAATAGAAACCAGGTTGAACAAACCAGACCTTTGAGAAAAGTACAAGCAAATTTGGAAAAGAACCCCAGGAACCATTTTCATCCCTAAAAATGAGAGATCTCACGAATGAATTTTAAAACTCGGTTGAACTATATTTTAGTCATTTCTTAGCACGGTGAACCTTGTCATTCCTATTAACAGCCACAGATGTTTCCTTATCATTTGCTTCTCATTGGTTATTTTAAATGTTTGATTCCTGATTGGTGCTCCCAACTGTCTCGTCCCCGATTTCCTCTGTACCAACTGTCCTGGAGACGAGGTTCTTGAGACCACACAGAACCGTGACATCCTCCTAATGAGCTGCTTGCCTTTGTAAACTGGCTGCTTAGCTCAGAGCTCCATTTCCCAGCTCTGGACTTTCCATTCCATTCCCGCTGTGGACTGGCACACTCTAGTCCCTCGCCTGGTTTTCTTGCTGGTGGATTAATAAACTGTGATGTGTGTTCAAGATTTAAATAAACAAAAAAGGGAATAAGCCTGGGCATGGTGGCTCACACCTGTAATCCCAGCACTTTGGGAGGCCAAGGTGGGCAGATTGCTTGAGCCCAGGAGCTTGAGACCAGCCTGGGCAACATGGTGAAACACCCTCTCTACAAAAAATCCCCACATTAGCCAGGTATAGTGGCACACGCCTGTAGCCTCAGCTATCAGGAGGCTGAGGTGGGAGGACTGCTTAAGCCCCAGAGGTCGAGGCTGCGGTGAACCGTAATTGCACCAATGTACTCCAGCCTGGGAGCTTATGGTTCCAAACTGTACTCAGAAACACTTGTGTGCAGTTTGAAGAATCATAATAAAAGAGGTACCCACTAATTACCACTGGAGTCGTTACCCCACTGCAGACGTCCCCATGCTTAGTTCTGCTTGTGTTTGAATGTGACATAAACAAGGTGGATCTGTGTGTATTTTTCTGTGCATTTCTTCTTTATTCGACATTGTGATCTTGAAATTCACCCATGTTGATGTGTGTAGCTGTATTCATTCCCATCACTGTGGTCTATATCCCATTGTAAAAAATACGTACCTATTTATCCATTCTACCATTGGTGATCATTTTGGTTACTCTCCTTTTTTTGTTTTTTGTTTTTTTTGCTGTTATGAATAATTGTGCTGTAAACATTCATGTCTCCTGGAGTACATGTTCATGTACAAGAGTTTCTGCAGATTTTAGGCCTGAGGGTTTCTCTTGGATTATGGGGTGTGTCCACATTCAACTCTATTGGGTAATTCCTGATCATTTTCCAGAGTGCCTGTATTAATACCAGCTCATGCTCCTATGAGCCTAGAACAGCATTCCAGCTACTCTGTTTTCTCCGTGACCACGTCTGCTCTTTCCCCTCCGGTGTAAGTTTCGATTCTGTTCTCCACTCTGGTTTCCCGGCAGTCCTCCATTATTTCCTTTATTTTGCTCCTTTTCTTCTTTTGGTTTTCTATTTTATTAGTAAGGCCCGTCTTTATGTTTCCTAGACACCAAACAATTGTCTAATTATGTTCCTGAGCCCTAGCATGCCACATTCACCTGCACTAAACACTTTGGAGGTTTTCCCCTCCCCGCTTCTGCAGCAGCCTAAGCCCCGCAGACCCAGGATTGACTCCAAGGCGTCTCCTCATAGCCCCTCCCTTGGTCTGGGATTGTGCCTGTGACCCTGCCCCATGCAGGAGGCACCTTTGACTCTCCTGCGACCTGGCCCGTCGGAACCAGGGAGGACGAGGGACCGCAGCCCCTGGCTTATGCTGTCTCCTCCGCTCTTCCTGCTCTCCCTGCTCTCCCAGATGCAGCCTTGCTTCAGGAAATACTCCTTCCCCAATGCAACTCACATTGCCGGACTGGCTAGATTCTGGAAGCTGTATCTCCCAGGGATGACAGGAGGGTTGGCGGAGGGAGGACAGCCCCTGTGGCCCCAGGAACTGGCAGCCCTGAAGTGCCAGGAAGGCTGCCCAGGCGGCTTCAGCTGCTGCCCCTACTCCAGCCAGGCAGGCGAGGCCCAGGTGGGCAGGCGAGGCCCAGGTGGTCCATGGCACGCCTCCCGTCTCCCGCCTCATCCCCTCACCTGATGTGGAGCCTGGTGCTGAGCTGTCAGAGGCCCCGGGCTGGGGTTTCGCGGTGCCTTTTCCACGTGCTTTCATGGGTGCGTTAGTTGGGGCTGGGAGGAACGGCCCTGGCGGCTTCTAAGCACAGGATGTTGCAAACCAGAAATTCATTTCATTTACTGTTTAGCCTCGAATCCCTATCCACTAAACGAAAACGAAGAATGACTCACTCAAAGTGATGCTGTAATCAGTAGAAAAGTTCACTGGAATCTAGATTCCCCAGGATTCTGCAAACCATTCCTGCAGCGTCTCAAACGTACCTGGGCCATAAGAAAGCTTCTTGGAGGACACAGATGTTATCTGAGGGGGGGTGGCCTAGAAAGGGGTGAAGAAGACCAATTTTTAAGGAGCTGAAAGCTGGTTAAGACAATTAGCGTGTTCTTCTCTGTTCAGCATTGGCTTTGCCTCCTCAATTTCCCGCCACATCCTGATTATAACCCGGCAGCCACGGGCCACAGCCAGCACTCAGTGTCTCCTGCAGTGTGTTGTATATAAAGGTGCTCGGGAAAAGTTTGTGGATTGAAAGAGAAATTTGCAAAGAAATTTCGTGTTCCGATCTCTTCAGAATCTTTTCCCTGTGGGGCACTTTGGATATCCCCGACGTCGCCCTCGCTGGGGTCTCTTCCTGACGTCGCCCTCGCCGGGGTCTCACCCTGACGTCACCCTCGCTGGGGTCTCTCCCTGACGTCACCCTCGCTGGGGTCTCTCCCTGACGTCACCCTCGCTGGGGTCTCTCCCCGACGTCGCCCTCGCTGGGGTCTCTCCCTGACGTCGCCCTCGCTGGGGTCTCTTCCTGACGTCGCCCTCGCCGGGGTCTCACCCTGACGTCACCCTCGCTGGGGTCTCTCCCTGACGTCACCCTCGCTGGGGTCTCTCCCTGACGTCACCCTCGCTGGGGTCTCTCCCTGACATCACCCTCGCTGGGGTCTCTCCCTGACGTCACCCTCGCTGGGGTCTCTCCCTGACGTCACCCTCGCTGGGGTCTCTCCCTGACGTCGCCCTCGCTGGGGTCTCACCCTGACGTCACCCTCGCTGGGGTCTCTCCCTGACGTCACCCGCGCTGGGGTCTCACCCTGACATCACCCTCGCTGGGGTCTCTCCCTGACGTCACCCTCGCTGGGGTCTCTCCCTGACGTCACCCTCGCTGGGGTCTCTCCCTGACGTCGCCCTCGCTGGGGTCTCTCCCTGACGTCGCCCTCGCTGGGGTCTCTTCCTGATGTCGCCCTCGCTGGGGTCTCACCCTGACGTAGCCCTTGCTGGGGTCTCACCCTGACGTAGCCCTTGCTGGGGTCTCTCCCTGATGTCGCCCTTGCTGGGATCTCACGTCGCCACTGGCCCACTGAGGCTGGGTCTTTATTTCTTCCTTCTGGCCCCTCTCTCCTGCTTGTTGATTGACTAAAAAAAGAAAAGTGGCTTCACAGGGTTGGTCTTACATGGTTTTTTGGTGTGTGTGTGTGTGTGTGTGTGTGTGACTTAAATAATACTTTAAGTTCTAGGGTACATGTGCTCAATGTGCAGGTTCGTTACATCTGTATACCTGTGCCATGTTGGTGTGCTGCACCCATTAACTCGTCATTTTAGCATTAGGTATATCTCCTAATGCTATCCCTCCCCCCTCCCCCCACCCCACAACAGTCCCTGGAGTGTGATGTTCCCTTTCCTGTGTCCATGTGTTCTCATTGTTCAATTCCCACCTATGAGTGAGAACATGCGGTGTTTGGTTTTCTGTCCTTGCGATAGTTTGCTGAGAATGATGGTTTCCAGCTTCATCCATGTCCCTACAAAGGACATGAACTCATCCTTTTTTATGGCTGCATAGTACTCCATGGTGTATATGTGCCACATTTTCTTAATCCAGTCTATCACTGATGGACATTTGGGTTGGTTCCAAGTCTTTGCTATTGTGAATAGTGCTGCAATAAACATACGTGTGCATGTGTCTTTATAGCAGCATGATTTATAGTCCTTTGGGTATATACCCAGTAATGGGATGGCTGGGTCAAATGGTATTTCTAGTTCTAGATCCCTGAGGAATCACCACACTGTCCTCCACAATGGTTGAACTAGTTTACATTCCCCCAACAGTGTAAAATTGTTCCTATTTCTCCACATCCTCTCCAGCACCTGTTGTTTTCTGACTTTTTAATCATCGCCATTCTAACTGGTGTGAGATGGTATCTCATTGTGGTTTTGACTTGCATTTCTCTGATGGCCAGTGATGGTGAGCATTTTTTCATGTGTTTTTTGGCTGCATAAATGTCTTCTTTTGAGAAGTGTCTGTTCTTATCCTTTGCCCACTTTTTGATGGGGTTGTTTGATTTTTTCTTGTAAATTTGTTTTAAGTTCTTTGTAGATTCTGGATACTGGAAACATTCCCTTTGAAAACTGGCACAAGACAGGGATGCCCTCTCTCGCCACTCCTATTCAACATACTGTTGGAAGCTCTGGCCAGGGCAATCAGGCAGGAGAAAGAAATAAAGGGTATTCAATTAGGAAAAGAGGAAGTCAAATTGTCCCTATTTGCAGATGACATGATTGTATATCTAGAAAACCCTGTTGTCTCAGCCCAAAATCTCCTTAAGCTGATAAGCAACTTCAGCAAAGTCTCAGGGTACAAAATCAATGTGCAATAATCACAAGCATTCCTATACATCAATAACAGAGTACCAAATCATGAGTGAACTCCCATTCACAATTGCTTCAAAGAGAATAAAATACCTAGGAATCCAACTTACAAAGGATGTGAAGGACCTCTTCAAGGAGAACTACAAACCACTGCTCAACAAAATAAGAGAGGGCACAAACAAATGGAAGAACATTCCATGCTCATGGATAGGAAGAATCAATATTGTGAAAATGGCCATACTGCCCAAGGTAATTTGTAGATTCATTGCCATCCCCATCAGGCTACCAATGACTTTCTTCACAGAATTGGAAAAAACTACTTTAAAGTTCATATGGAACCAAAAAAGAGCCCGCATTGCCAAGTCAATTCTAAGCCAAAAGAACAAAGCTGGAGGCATCACGCTACCTGATTTCAGACTATACTACAAGGCTATAGTAACCAAAACAGCATGGTACTGGTACCAAAACAGAGATATAGACCAATGGAACACAACAGAGGCCTCAGAAATAATACCACACATCTACAACCATCTGATCTTTGACAAACCTGACAAAAACAAGAAATGGGGAAAGGATTCCCTATTTAATAAATGGTGCTGGGAAAACTGGCTAGCCATACGTGGAAAGCTGAAACTGGATCCCTTCCTTACACCTTATACAAAAATTAATTCAAGATGGATTAAAGACTTAAATGTTAGACCTAAAACCATAAAAACCCTAGAAGAAAACCTAGGCTTTACCATTCAGGACATAGGCATGGGCAAGGACTTCATGTCTAAAACACCAAAAGCAATGGCAACAAAAGCCAAAATAGACAAATGGGATCTAATTAAACTAAAGAGCTTCCACACAGCAAAGGAAACTATGATCAAAGTGAACAGGCAACCTACAGAATGGGAGAAATTTTTTTTTTTTTTCTTTTGTGGAGTTGGCATCTCACGATGTTGCCAAGGCTGGCCTCAAACTCCTGAGCTCAACCAATCCTCCTGCCTCTGCTGCCCTAAGTGCTGGGATTACAGGCATGAGCCGCCATGCCTGGCAGGGTTGGTTTTTAAATCCTCTCCAACTCACTTATCCTGGAGGTGACCAGCAGCCCACTGGGGTCTTCCAGCTGGGAGACTCTTCCTCAGTCTGGGCCTCACAGGCCTACGGAAGGTCAGGATCATCGGGGGCTCCCAAACTCCGCAGCCAGCCCAGCCGCTGGTGGGAACTGGCCGTGCTAGCCGAGCCCCAGCCCAGCATCCTTGCGGCACCTGCTTCCCGGGCAGGCGGCCTGTGCTCACCGCAAGCTGCCATCTGTTTCTCCATGCTGTTTCTCTCCTGGTTCTGCTGTTACTTGCAGTTTGGATTTTTGCTGCAAACAGCTTTGCCAGAGGGCCCCCTCTGGAGGTCTGTGAGTGCATTCGGGAGTGGGTGGCTGGTGCTGGGGCGGGCGGCTGCCTGAGCACCCCACCGTCTGTGCCTGCCTCACTCTGGGCTGCTGTCACGGCATCCCTGGGGGACCCGGATGGTCATACTTCCTCAGTGTGTTGGTCGCCTCCCACGCCTCTGTGGCTCTGCCAGAGAGACCCGCTATCAGTGCAGCCTCCTGGCCTCCCACACATGGGTGGTGGCAGGAGGAGGGGGCTCCTGGTGCTCACCAGCCCCCAGGGCAGTCTGCCTCATGGGGACTCCTGCACTGCACCCCTGCAGATGGACTGAGCCATCCCATCTTCCCCTGCCCCTTGCCTGGGGCGTCTACCTGAGCCCACGTCTGTGCACTGGAGAAGTTTGCCTCTGAGGCACTGAGAGATCCAAGAGGCTGCTGACTCTTTCAGCACAGTGCTCCAGTCCGTGAGTTCATCGTTCACACACAGGCACACCGAAGGACTCCCATCGTTCATAGCAGATGTGAGCTGAGTGCCCACTAAGGGCCAGGCCATGATCATCTCGCTTCATCCCCACGGGAGCCCATTGTCCTCTGTGACAGGTGGAGAAACTGAAGCTTAGAGAGAAGAGGTCACTTGCCCAAAGACGTTGGGTAGTAATTGATGGTGCCAGGGATGAAGCCGGATGCGTCTTCCTCCAGAACACCTTCTAACAGCTCTATTCTTGAATCACTTATTCCTCTAATGTTCACTGAGGATTTGCTATGTGCCGGGCACTGTTCGAGGCCCTTGGAAAACAGCAACGGTGAAATAGCTTTGCCTGGAGCTTGCGTTCCAGCAAGGGGGCCAGGGCTGAGGGTGGGGAACAGACGATGAAACATAAACAAATAAGCAAATCGTATCATACACTAGATGCTGAACAGGAAAAAGAATAAGTAGGTCAGGCACGGTGGCTCACACCCAGCACTCTGGGAGGCTGAGGCAAGAGGACTGCTTGAGGCCACAGAAGTTCAAGACCAGCCTGGGCAACATGGCGATCCCTCGTCTCTAAAAAATAAAAAATCGGCCAGGCACGGTGGCTCACGCCTGTGATCCCAGCACTTTAGGAAGCCAAGGCGGGCGGATTATGAGGTCAGGAGATCGAGACCATCCTGGCTAACACGGTGAAACCCCGTCTCTACTAAAAATACAAAAAATTAGCCAGGCGTGGTGGCGGGCGCCTGTAGTCCCAGCTACTCGGGAGGCTGAGGCAGGAGAATGGCGTGAACCCGGGAGGCAGAGCTTGCGGTGAGCCGAGATCGCGGCACTGCACTCCAGCCTGGGTGACGGAGCGAGACTCCGTCTCAAAAAAATAATAATAAATAAAAAATAAAAAATCATCCAGGCCTGGTAGCATGAACCTATAGTCCCAGCTACTCAGGAGGCTGAGGCGGGAGGATTGCTTGAGCCCCAGAGTTTGAGACCAGTCTGGGTAACATGGCGAAACCTGTCACTACAAAAAGTTTTTAAAAATTAGCCTGGTGTAGTGGGGGCATGTCTAGTGGCCCCAGCTACTTGGGAGGCTGAGGTCGGAGGATTGCTTGAACCTGGGAGGCGGAGGCTGCAGTGAGCCGAGATGGTGCCACAGTACTTCAGCCTGGGCAACAGCGTGAGATCCTGCCTCAAAAAAAAAAAAAAAAAAAAAAAAACCCAAAAACATACTTAAAATCTTAATATAACTATTAACTCTCCAAAACTTAACTAATAGTCTACTGTTGACTGGAAGACTTACCAATAAAAAACATTCAGTTAACACATATTTTGTATATTATATGCATTATATACTATATTCTTACAATAAAATAAGCTAGAGAAAAGAAAATGTTATTAAGAAAATCATGAGGAAGAGAGAATATATTTACTCTTCATGAAGGGGAAGTGGGTCATCGTGAAGGTCTTCATCCTCATCGTCTTCGTGTTGGGTAGGCTGAGGAGGAAGGGGAGTTGGTTTTATTGTCACAGGGGTGACGGGGAGATGAGGAGGAGGAAGAGGAGGGGTTGCTTTCGTTGTCACAAGGGTGATGGAGGGAGAGGAAAATCCAGCTAGGAGTGGGCCTGTGCAGTTCCAGCCCATGTGGTTCATGGGTCAACTGTATTTATTTAGAAATGCATACATACATACAAGGTTTTTTTAAACTAGAAAAGCAAGAGATTGCTTAATACAAAATTCCAGATGGTGGTTACCTCTGAGAGGGAGGGTGGGTTTACGGGAGCTTCTCACATCCAGCACCATTTTATTTCTTGATGAGCTCACAGGTATTTACTGGAATATGATTCTTTGAAATGTCTGTATGAAATACACTTTTGTAGATTTGCTAGCTTTCACGGGCATACACCCAAAAGATGAGAGGAGGTCGCTAAAATCAGGCAAAAAATAAGAAGCTTGAATCAGTGATTTGGAGAGACCTGTAGGATCTCCCAGAATGCAGGGAAAAACCAAAGAGCTAAACGTGGTCAGGGAGACAGTGATGACTGTGGAAGACAGAGGAAGCAATGGGACTTCAGAACTAGAGGCTTTCCCCAGCAGGGAACAAGACCCGTCGGAAATGAGCCACTAATCAAATACGTAATCAAAAAAAGTGTCCCCAGATGCAGGCCGCCCGCTCTGCACCACCCTCGAGCCCTGCCGATTGGGGTCAGCCCAGACAGGGTTTCACTTTGGCTTGGGAGAACATATTTCTGAGACTGTGTTTAAACACAGGCACATTTGTTGTCCTGGGAATTGAATCAAAATCATGACGCTCGTCTGAAAAGACCTGGCTCGGTCTAATTGGCCTGTCCAATTTTCCGCCTCCAGCCCCTATTCATTTCCTGCATGCAGCCCACTCCGTCTGGGAACAGAGGCGGCTTCGCAGCCAATCACCATTGTAACAGGCCTGCCCTCTCTCAAACCGGTGTCAGAGCAGCCTCAGTACTGGGGCTCCAAAGGATTTCATGCCGCGTGCCAGTTGAAAGTGAGGGGAGTCTGTCAAATGTTGACAACACAAGTCATTAAGAGCAGCAGATGAAAGTGTCATTAGCCTCCATGCATTTGCTGAGCTTACAAGAGCATCTGGACAAAGGGAGAGGATGGCGCGCAGGACCAGAGGGAAGACAGGGGCCCCTGTTCTCAGCAGCTTGTAGGGACCTTTCCTCATCACAGGTGACGTGAGAGATGATGCAAAGGCCATGGGGTGCCCACGGGGCACAGACCCCGAGGCTGGGCTACAAGGCAGGGTGAGGCCAGAGATGAAGCTTGGCGACCTGTCCCAGGGTTCTCCCTGATCCAGGGGCACGCAGCCCTACAGGCATCGGGAGCCAGCGTTGGGCAACACCTCCCTCTGCGACTGGCAAATGCTCCTTACCGGTAATTGTGTAGAAGCCTCACAGGAGCCAGTCCCCGGCCAGGGGTTAATGGAAGCCAAAGCATTTCCTCTAGTTCTGAAATAATCTAGCCGAGGTGTTTAAATCATCTGTCAAGAAAACAGCACCCTCAGAATTCTGTTTCTCACTGCCGTTTTTCCTTTCTACTGTGCTGGCAGTTGCCTGCCTCCCAGACTGACCTGGTTGCTCAAAAACCCACTTGGAATGAAGAGGAAACTCACTCAGGCTCTGGAGAAAGCTGTGCTCTCCTGGGCTGAGTGGGGAGCTTTGCTGCCCCAGGGGGGATTTGGAAGAAAGGACAGGGGCAGGTGCTCTATCTTTCCTGGGGTGTGATTTCCAGCGCATCTTCTGATGAGGGCGGGGCCCTCCAACTGGGTACAGGGGAGCCAGCCGGCCACCTGCAGCATGGGGAGGCAGCAGACTTTCCAGGCAGGATGAATTTTATGAATCTGTGCACTCCCACTGGAGTTGAGGGGAGCACAGGGATGACGGGGGCTTTCTCCCTGGCTCACCAGCATGCACGCAGGTGCACACACACACACCCCACTGGGGAGCACAGGGATGATGGGGGCTTTCTCCCTGGCTCACCAGCATGCATGCAGGTGCACGCACACACACACACACACACACACACACCACTGGGGCCTTAAAGTGTCATCTTTTAAAACACAAATACATGAATCCTCCTGGAAGGGGTCTCACTTCGCTTTGAGCTCACACCTCAATTAGGAATGAGTTAGCACTTCAGAAGGGATTGGACCAGATGGATGCCTGGGTGGGGAGAGGGGCAGGAGGAAGAGGCTGCCCACAGCTCTGCCCAGCTGCCCTGGTGTGGCTCAGACCCTCTTGGGGGCTTGGATCGCTTGCTTGTGCTTTGCCCCCTCACGCTGAACATCCGCCGTGAGCGGAGACTCACCCTGTGGGGTGGAAGTCAGCAGAACCCTCCCAGAACAGAAGGGCCCAAAGGCGAGGCGTGAACACTCACAAGGAGAGAAGACAGCCCACTGTGGATCTGTGCCACCGGCCTCCCGTCTGCAAGAACATTGGCTTTTGTTTCCTTAGCTCAATCTTAGAACTGTACACGAGATGCTTAGTAAATGTGATTTGAATGAATTAATATCCACTGACTCCCTTTTCAGATGTTGTTTGTGTCATTTTCCAGAGGTCAGGGAAGGAAATAATGAGGAAAGAGTTATTCTAAACTTAATTCCTACTGAAAGGAAAAGGACAACAACAAGGAGAAATTATAAACAGAGCACAAGGGAGGGAAGAGGGAAGAGGGAATAAAAGAAAAAGCCATCAGCAGATCAAGTATTTCAGGATGACGAACGTTTTTCCTAGTTTTAATTCTGCTGGTTGTCTTAGGTGGATATGTGTATGCATATATATATAACTTTTGAATATTCAAAGCTATACTTATCTAATTACTTATATTACAATACAAAAAATATCTCTTGGCCAGGCACCTGTAATCCCAGCACTTTGAGAGGCCGAGGTGGGAGGATCGCTTGAGTATAGGAGTCTGAGACCAACCTGGGCAAAATGGCGAAATCTCATCTCTCTTAAAAAGAAATTACAAAAATAAATTAGCTGGGCATGGTGGCATGCGCCTGCAGTCCCAGCTACTCGGGAAGCCTAGGTGGGAGGATCGATTGAGCCTCGGAGGTGGAGGTTGCAGTGAGCTGAGACCGCACCACTACATTCCAGCCTGGGTAACAGAGCAAGGCCCTGTCTCAAAGAAGAAAAAATGTCTCTTAATTCCCTCTTCTCATAAAGTATGAGGCACCCAGTGTGTTTTATTTCCAGCTACTTTTTGGGTTTTATTGAGACAATCTGGAATTTTGGGTCAGATTTGTTTTGTTAACTGATTCTTTTATATCTACTTTCAAAGCATAATTTCTTATACATTTTCATGTTTTGCAGTTATGTGTACATTAGTAATTTAGACTGAGTTTTGTCTTGCATTGACCACTGTGAATTTTCAGGTACCACGAGTTCCCCATTCTTGAGATGTTTATTTCACTTCAACCATTGGTCACCTGAGCTGTGATATACCTGTAAACAGGTGTTTGGGGAAGAATGGCTGCATTCTGTGTTCCATTTTTGCTGATACCGGTCACAGGTGGAAGGGTCATCCTCCACGCTTAGAAGAGCAAATGCTGACCTCTTCCTGCGTTGGTCCTGTGTGGTCACAAATGTGTCCAATAGGCCTTGTGACATGCTTCATGCCCTCCTCACACCGATCAGCGGAAAACCACCATGCAGTGGTCACACACACGGTGCGGATTCTGAGTCCCCATCCAGCGCGCACGGCTCCGAAGGGTAATCCTGCTGTCAACATGCTGCGGATTCTGAGTCCCCATCCAGCGCTCGCGGCTCCGAAGGGTAATCCTGCTGTCAACATGCTGCAGATTCTGAGTCCCCATCCAGCGCGCACGGCTCCGAAGGGTAATCCTGCTGTCAACGTGCTGCGGATTCTGAGTCCCCATCCAGCGCGCACGGCTCCGAAGGGTAATCCTGCTGTCAACGTGCTGCGGATTCTGAGTCCCCATCCAGCGCTCGCGGCTCCGAAGGGTAATCCTGCTGTCAGCCAGAACTTTGAGGTAGGGTGGTTCTATTCGGGTTTGAGTGACAGATGGCATTTCCGGCAGAAAACAATGCTAGAAACAAGTGTGTATGTTACCTCAGTACACCTCACGTTTGCTGAGCTTGTTCAGTATCGGTGTGGGTCCAAGGCTCTTGGAGAGTCCGGCTTGTCGCACGCGGCCAAAATCGTGGCTTTGAAATCTGATCAGAGATCCCCGCCCAGCCATCTTGGAAAGCAGCATCGCGTCCGCTAACAGCACGATACCCTCAGGCCCTTGTTTCCTGCTGGACCCAGCTCTGCCTGCCCGTCTGCAGTGAAACTTTGGTTCCCCCTTGAAAACCCGTCGAGGTGCCCACGGCCACAATTCCGACTCCGGGCGGTTAGGTGGGTGCAGTGATGTGTGGGAAGGAACTTGGCCTTCTTCAGGGACGGGAGTGTCGGTGTGTTACCAACTCATACCGACGTTCTCAAACTAACCGTAACTTCACAAAGTCTCTTCCATGGCAGGAAATTTTACTTACTGCATTCCTTTCCTTTCCTGAGCTACCAGCTTTCCTCCCTTAAGCCACATCCAGATTCAGTGTGCCAGCCACAGACTGTGCCAGCTCCCCACGAGTCGACCTACCGTGCAGACCGAGGATTTAATAATATCAGCATCCAATTACCAATCTGTTACATTTTAATTTTAATCAAAGTAACACATCATATGGTTTTAAAAAATCAAATTGTTCGGAAGAGCTAACGTTGGGGAACGGCAGTCGCCCGGCGGCTCCTTGCCACCGCGTCACCCGCTGCTGCCTGTTCGTCCACGTGCTGGATCCTGCCGTGCCTTTCTTGATGTACCAACTTGGGAGACTCTCTATTGACTCCTGGCCATGCAAGATGAGGAGCTGGCCAGCTTGGACTCCTCTGCTTCCCCTCTGTCCCCTGATGTTGATCGTTGTGTTATTACTTTCGGCTCTTTGATTAAGTTTGTGACTTTGTATAATATTTTCCTCTGTCTTCTTCCGTCAGCTTTGGTACCCTTGACTCCCTGTGTGTGAGCTGTGGATATGGAGGCCGCCTCTTCCTCCCCCATGCCCACCTCCCTCCTTGTCTAGATGGTATCTTTAGTTGTAGATTGCCAGAATTTACATGTAGATTCTGTTCTTTAGCTATAATGAATTCTTCCATGCTTTATGATTTGTGCCCAGGTCTTCATGCACGTGGCAGAGTGATGACACAAAGAGGCTAATGTCATTGGAAGAATTTCTTGCTCACAGTTCCTGAGAGGAGGGGACCACCATGTCGGGCAGGGCCACGTGGGGAAGCACCAGAGCCAGTCGTGGGCAGAGGAGAGGGGAAAACACATCCACAGCCTTTACTGGGGCTTCTGCGGGGAAAGCAAAGTGGGGTCGGACTGAATAACCCTGCAGGCTTTGTGGCATAGGGGCTGTCCCTAGTTGTGTGCTCCCTGACTCTCCACTGATTTAGGGCAGGGGGAATATTGGCTTGGTGTGTGGGCGTTAGATAAAGGAGATGGCTCGGGGCATGGGCTTAGGATTCGTTTGATGGTTTGTCGCTTGACTTTTGCACGCCTGCAAGAGCTGGGTCACAGGGGAGATGTAAACAGCTTGGCCAGGCTGGCCTTGAATTCCTGGCCTCAAGCGATCCTCCCACCTCGGCCTCCCAAAGGGTTGGGATTATGAGCGTGAGCCGCTGCACCTGGCTGGGATTTACATTGTAAAAATTATTTTGTTGGCCGGGTGCGGTGGCTCACGCCTGTAATCCCAGCACTTTGGGAGGCCGAGGCGGGTGGATCACGAGGTCAGCAGTTCAAGACCAGCCCGGCGAACATGGTGAAACCCCGTCTCTACTAAAAATACAAAAATTAGCCGGGCCTGGTGGCGGGTGCCTGTAATCCCAGCTACTCAGGAGGCTGAGGCAGAATTGCTTGAACCCGGGAGGCGGAGGTTGCAGTGAGCCGAGATTGTGCCGCTGCACTCCAGCCTGGGTGACAGAGCGAGACACCATCTAAAAAAAAAACTGTAAACATGAAACGTCTTAGGCTCAAACGTATGTGAGGATCACATTTTTATAACGACCTTGACCCCTAGACCACCCCAAGGAGAATGTTCCCACCATTCTGAGCAAACATTCCTTTTTAACTCTGAATTTCTTCATCCCTGTCATATTTTAATTTACCCAATATTTGGACCATGATGTTCTTGTGTAACTTTTCGTTTTTCCTGGAGTTTTTATTGACTGTGTTTCTTATTGACAACAGAATAATGAAACTTTACATCCTCTTTTATGCAGCTTTTTTATTTTACCATCTATCGTGTGGAGCCTTCTGTTTTCCTGTGAGACGCCCTCCAGACCCCAGAGTAGTTCCTGAGCGCTGCCTTCCGGGAACTTCCCCTCAGCTCACCTTTTGAGTTGGAGACTGTTTCCAGGATCCTGTGTTTTCCCTTTCTTGTTTTTCACTTGTGTTTTTCTGGAACCCGTCCTAAGTTCTTAAAAAGAGTGTGTGTAAGGGAAACTCAGCGTCCTTATGAGTTTAAAAACATCTGTGTTCTGCCCTCCCATTGTGTTGATAGTTTGGCTGATAGAATTCTAGATCCAGAGTCTTTGGGCGGCCACTGTTACCAGTGATAAGTCTAATGCGATTCTGGGTCTGGTTTCCTTATAGCTGGCCTATCTTTTCCATGGTAGTCAACTTGAGCCACCATAACAACATACCATAGACTGAGTGGTGTAAACAGTGGGAATTTGTTTCTCAGAGCTCTGGGGACAGGGAAGTCCAAGATCAAGGGGCTGGCTGATCCAGATCCCTGGTGAATTCGGATCCCTGGTGAAGGCTCTCTTTCTGGCTTGCAGCTGGCTGTGTTCCCGCTGTGCCCTCACATGGCAGAGAGAGAGAGGAAGCACATTCTCCTGGTGTCTCTCTCTTCATAAGGGCAGCGATCACCCTCATGGCCTCATCTAAACCTAATTCCCTTCCCAAGGTCCATTGTCACTCACAAGTACATGAGGGTTAGAGCTTCAACATGTGGATTTGGAGGACACAGTTCAGCCCCCAGCACCCTCGAGGAGCCTGTGCTTCTCCTAAGTAACTTGAGTTACTTAAGCCTTGCAATTTGGATGGGTGTTCAGCTGACTATTTGTTGGGTATCTGCTGTGTGCTGGCACCTGCCGGGCACTCTGCCTGGCTCCCGCCATCATGGGGTCTTCCATCCTCAGGAAACAGACACAGAAACAGGTGATCATAACCCAGGGAGTGTGCATAGCTGTGGAAACATGCAAGATTATGTCTGGAAGCTTCTGGATAAAAGTGATTTCCCAAAGGCTGGAGACGAGCTAGTCCAGGGAAGGGAGAAGGAACAACGTGTCCAAAAGGAGAGCTTAGTGTGGTCAAGGCGGTGAGAGCAGCTGTGCCTGGTGATGGGGGTGGGGGAGGTGAGAGGTGAGGCTGAGAGGGAGGCTGGGTCCTGGGGTGTTGTTGGCCTGCTGCGGACTTGTTTAACTTGCCTCTTAGGGTTCCTGGGAGACCAGCATTGTGAGTGTGTGTCAGGTAATGGAGGAGGGAGAGGTACTGCCTCTCCTCTGCCAGAGAGGGTTGACCCTTGAAGAGACCTTTAAAGTAGCTGCAGTGTAATTGAGAAGACCGCTCAGTCACAGGTCTTTTCCCGTGGTTCTCCAAGACTGATTCAGTCTGGAGCTTGTTAGGCAGACAGAACGCAGTCTCCCTTGAAGGCGAGGTCTCCCCTCTGTCCCCTGGAGACAGTGCCTCTGCTTTCCCTTCTTTGTTCATGTGGTCGGTCAGTAACATAGCAGGCTCCTCACTGGGTCCCGGGAATCCAGAGATGGCTCAGGCACAGCCCTGCCCTTGAAGAGCTCACAGCCTCCTGCTCAGGAAGGTGGGCGAGTCTGAGCTCCAGCCCAGGTGTGGCGTGCTGTACCAGTGGGACCACATGGCCTCTGGGAGCACGACAGAGGGGCCCTGATTCTGCATGAAGGGGCACCCACTGAAGCCCTCCGGGGAAGCGTGACTGCCTGTTAGAGATGCTGATGAAAGGCACTCCAGGGGGAAGGAACAGCAGGTGCACAGGCCACAGACCGTCCCCTGCTGTGACTCGTGGGGTTGGGGCAGAGAGGATGGATGCCTGGGCCAGTGAAGAGCTCAAGCCAGGTGCACTCTCAGGGTGGCACGGGAGAGGGAGTGACACATGGAAGGGGTGGACAATGGACAGAGAGAGGGGTCTTCAGGCTCCCCTGTCCCACCCCCTCCAGTGGCAGGTCTGTGAGACTCCCCTTCTTTCCAGCACCAGCCTGACAATTACCACCTTCTCCAGCCACAACCATTTAGGAAATGCCAGTGATTAGCAATTGTTATCATGGTAATTAAAATTCCCTGGGAACAGCTTGGCGAATATCCATGAGAATCTGCAGTCAGATTGGCCGTGAGCTGAAACCGTAATGCAAACCTGGAAGCGGAGCACAGAGCAGGGCGAGCAGCGGTACCAGGAGCGTTTACTGCTGCCGGACACCCCGGCCACCGCCACGGCGGCTGTGGGTCTTTTCTCATTAAATGGCATTTTCAAGGCTGGCTGCTTTGCCGGCCTTATCACAGCAAACCACACGTGGGGAGCCGAGTAGGGTTTTGCAGAGTTGCTCGGCTTCTCCAGAAAGTAACTGATTTTCAATCTGCGGGGTGGCCTGGGGTTAATTCCCATGAGGGCTTTTCCTGCCACTATTCCTGGGCGGGGAGGGGTAGATGTGGATGCCAGGCAGCGGGTGACAGGCCCAGATGCACAGAGCAGAAGTTACGTGATTAAGGCTGCCGTGGTGTGTTTTGCAGAGTGGGGCGGGCAGCCAGGAGAGAGAAGGCCTGTGGGTGTGGGGTCCTTTGCACCTCACCTCAACAGATCTGCTCTCCCCTGCGGAAGGCATTTTCAGAAATACTGACAGTGTGTTTTATGCACATCTGCATGGGTGCACCTCCTGTACTGGATGATACACCTGTGTGCTGTGGTCCCCTGATGCTGGGACTTAGGAACTGCTGCTCCTCACGCTGGTCCAGATCACCAGCCATGCTGGATGGTCAGGGTGAGCTCTTAGACCTTCCACCTGGACTACAGTGACAGCAGGAGAGAATCGGAGCGAGGCCCCGTTACAATGAACTCACAGGGAATGATCCATCGGGTGCTCATGGTCCTGCCCACAGAGCCCCGGGGAGGCACGTGGCCTGCCTGGCCTGTGGGATTATTGCCCCTTCTGGGCATAAATATTGGGGTGAATCGTATGAAGTTGACGGGCTTTTTTGATAGTTCAAAAGTGGTTGACTTCGCCGGGCATGGTGGCGTGTTGCTGTGGTCCTGGCTACTCGGGAGGTTGAGGTGGGAGGATCACTTGAGCCCAGGGTGTCAAGGCTGCAGTGAGCCATGATCGTGCCATTGCACTCCAGCCTGGGCAACAGAGTGAGACCCTGTCTCAAAAAAAAAAAAAAAAAAAAACGGGTTGACTATCCCAAAATGGCTGAGTACCAATGGCAATCCAACCTGATGCTTTGGGTCCTGTGCTCTTCATCTGTCTTCCAAAAGAACGTCACTGAGCAGGAATTGAGTGGAGTGGGGGTGGGAGACGGATTTTTGCAGCAGGAGGCAAGGCTGAGGCACGGGCCGGGGGCTGGGATATGCCAGGGGAGGCAGGGCAGCTGGGGAGGAGAGGCTGGGAGCACCCTGGGCAGTCAGGGAGGCTCACTGCGCTTTCCTCCCCACCAGCACACCCCATCAAGCCCTTCCTCTTTATCCCTCTTTTAATCTGAAATAGGAAGTCCGTTTGATTAATTACAGGAACTTGAGTGAAACACCCAGGCTTCTTCCCCGGGAAGGTGGCAGACTGTAGGTTGAGACACGTTGCAGCAAACGACCCGCAGCTGCCAGCACAGTCATTCAACCAGCGTTTACTGAACACCTACGATGTGTGAGGCGTGTGCTAGGAGCTTGAAGAAACAGTGGTGAGCAAGACGGCTGTGATGCTTCCTCCTGTTTGGTGGAGCCTGGTGGGGGAGACAGATGAAAACAGAAGGACCAGCGAAAAGGGGGAAGCACCCCACGTACCTATGAACAGACGACAAAACGTGATCCATCCGTACAGGGGAACATTGCTCAGCCTCAGAAAGGAAGGACGTGCTGACACGGGTTGCTGCGTGCGTGAGCCCTGAAGAAGTGATGCTGAGGGAAATAAGCAGCCAAAAAAGGACAGATGCCGTGCGGCTCCCCTCATAGGAAGTACGTAGGGTAGTCACATTCCTAGGGATGGAAAAGGATAGACGCCGTGCGACTCCCCTCATAGGAAGTACGTAGGGTAGTCACATTCCTAGGGACAGAACAGGACAGACACCGTGCGGCTCCCCTCATAGGAAGTACGTAGGGTAGTCACATTCCTAGGGACAGAACAGGACAGACACCGTGCGGCTCCCCTCATAGGAAGTACGTAGGGTAGTCACATTCCTAGGGACGGAAAAGGACAGACACCGTGCGGCTCCCCTCATAGGAAGTACGTAGGGTAGTCACATTCCTAGGGACGGAAAAGGACAGACGCCGTGCGGCTCCCCTCATAGGAAGTACGTAGGGTAGTCATATTCCTAGGGATGGAAAAGGACAGACGCCGTGCAGCTCCCCTCATAGGAAGTACGTAGGGTAGTCACATTCCTAGGGACGGAAAAGGACAGACGCCGTGCGGCTCCCCTCATAGGAAGTACGTAGGGTAGTCACGTTCCTAGGGATGGAAAAGGACAGACGCCGTGCAGCTCCCCTCATAGGAAGTACGTAGGGTAGTCACGTTCCTAGGGATGGAAAAGGACAGACGCCGTGCAGCTCCCCTCATAGGAAGTACGTAGGGTAGTCACGTTCCTAGGGATGGAAAAGGACAGACGCCGTGCGGCTCCCCTCATAGGAAGTACGTAGGGTAGTCACGTTCCTAGGGATGGAAAAGGACAGACGCCGTGCGGCTCCCCTCATAGGAAGTACGTAGGGTAGTCACATTCCTAGGGATGGAAAAGGACAGACACCGTGCGGCTCCCCTCATAGGAAGTACGTAGGGTAGTCACATTCCTAGGGACGGAAAAGGACAGACGCCGTGCGGCTCCCCTCATAGGAAGTACGTAGGGTAGTCACGTTCCTAGGGATGGAAAAGGACAGACGCCGTGCGGCTCCCCTCATAGGAAGTACGTAGGGTAGTCACATTCCTAGGGATGGAAAAGGACAGACGCCGTGCGGCTCCCCTCATAGGAAGTACGTAGGGTAGTCACGTTCCTAGGGATGGAAAAGGACAGACGCCGTGCGGCTCCCCTCATAGGAAGTACGTAGGGTAGTCACGTTCCTAGGGATGGAAAAGGACAGACGCCGTGCGGCTCCCCTCATAGGAAGTACGTAGGGTAGTCACATTCCTAGGGATGGAAAAGGACAGACGCCGTGCGGCTCCCCTCATAGGAAGTACGTAGGGTAGTCACATTCCTAGGGATGGAAAAGGACAGACGCCGTGCGGCTCCCCTCATAGGAAGTACGTAGGGTAGTCACGTTCCTAGGGATGGAAAAGGACAGACGCCGTGCGGCTCCCCTCATAGGAAGTACGTAGGGTAGTCACGTTCCTAGGGATGGAACAGGACAGACGCCGTGCGGCTCCCCTCATAGGAAGTACGTAGGGTAGTCACATTCCTAGGGATGGAACAGGACAGACGCCGTGCGGCTCCCCTCATAGGAAGTACGTAGGGTAGTCACATTCCTAGGGATGGAAAAGGACAGACGCCGTGCGGCTCCCCTCATAGGAAGTACGTAGGGTAGTCACATTCCTAGGGATGGAAAAGGACAGACGCCGTGCGGCTCCCCTCATAGGAAGTACGTAGGGTAGTCACGTTCCTAGGGATGGAAAAGGACAGACGCCGTGCGGCTCCCCTCATAGGAAGTACGTAGGGTAGTCACGTTCCTAGGGATGGAAAAGGACAGACGCCGTGCGGCTCCCCTCATAGGAAGTACGTAGGGTAGTCACGTTCCTAGGGACGGAAAAGGACAGACGCCGTGCAGCTCCCCTCATAGGAAGTACGTAGGGTAGTCATATTCCTAGGGATGGAAAAGGACAGACGCCGTGCGGCTCCCCTCATAGGAAGTACGTAGGGTAGTCACGTTCCTAGGGATGGAAAAGGACAGACGCCGTGCGGCTCCCCTCATAGGAAGTACGTAGGGTAGTCACGTTCCTAGGGATGGAAAAGGACAGACACCGTGCAGCTCCCCTCATAGGAAGTACGTAGGGTAGTCATATTCCTAGGGATGGAAAAGGACAGACGCCGTGCGGCTCCCCTCATAGGAAGTACGTAGGGTAGTCACATTCCTAGGGACGGAACAGGACAGACGCCGTGCGGCTCCCCTCATAGGAAGTACGTAGGGTAGTCACGTTCCTAGGGATGGAAAAGGACAGACGCCGTGCGGCTCCCCTCATAGGAAGTACGTAGGGTAGTCACATTCCTAGGGATGGAACAGGACAGACGCCGTGCAGCTCCCCTCATAGGAAGTACGTAGGGTAGTCACGTTCCTAGGGATGGAAAAGGACAGACGCCGTGCAGCTCCCCTCATAGGAAGTACGTAGGGTAGTCACGTTCCTAGGGATGGAAAAGGACAGACGCCGTGCGGCTCCCCTCATAGGAAGTACGTAGGGTAGTCACGTTCCTAGGGATGGAAAAGGACAGACGCCGTGCGGCTCCCCTCATAGGAAGTACGTTGGGTAGTCACATTCCTAGGGATGGAACAGGACAGACGCCGTGCAGCTCCCCTCATAGGAAGTACGTAGGGTAGTCACGTTCCTAGGGATGGAAAAGGACAGACGCCGTGCGGCTCCCCTCATAGGAAGTACGTAGGGTAGTCACGTTCCTAGGGATGGAACAGGACAGACGCCATGCGGCTCCCCTCATAGGAAGTACGTAGGGTAGTCATATTCCTAGGGATGGAAAAGGACAGACGCCGTGCAGCTCCCCTCATAGGAAGTACGTAGGGTAGTCACATTCCTAGGGATGGAAAAGGACAGACGCCGTGCGGCTCCCCTCATAGGAAGTACGTAGGGTAGTCACGTTCCTAGGGATGGAACAGGACAGACGCCATGCGGCTCCCCTCATAGGAAGTACGTAGGGTAGTCACATTCCTAGGGACGGAAAAGGACAGACGCCGTGCAGCTCCCCTCATAGGAAGTACGTAGGGTAGTCACGTTCCTAGGGATGGAAAAGGACAGACGCCGTGCGGCTCCCCTCATAGGAAGTACGTAGGGTAGTCACGTTCCTAGGGATGGAAAAGGACAGACGCCGTGCGGCTCCCCTCATAGGAAGTACGTAGGGTAGTCACATTCCTAGGGATGGAACAGGACAGACGCCGTGCGGCTCCCCTCATAGGAAGTACGTAGGGTAGTCACATTCCTAGGGATGGAAAAGGACAGACGCCGTGCGGCTCCCCTCATAGGAAGTACGTAGGGTAGTCACATTCCTAGGGATGGAAAAGGACAGACGCCGTGCGGCTCCCCTCATAGGAAGTACGTAGGGTAGTCACGTTCCTAGGGATGGAAAAGGACAGACGCCGTGCGGCTCCCCTCATAGGAAGTACGTAGGGTAGTCACGTTCCTAGGGATGGAAAAGGACAGACGCCGTGCGGCTCCCCTCATAGGAAGTACGTTGGGTAGTCACATTCCTAGGGATGGAAAAGGACAGACGCCGTGCAGCTCCCCTCATAGGAAGTACGTAGGGTAGTCATATTCCTAGGGACGGAAAAGGACAGACGCCGTGCGGCTCCCCTCATAGGAAGTACGTAGGGTAGTCACGTTCCTAGGGATGGAACAGGACAGACGCCGTGCAGCTCCCCTCATAGGAAGTACGTAGGGTAGTCACATTCCTAGGGATGGAAAAGGACAGACGCCGTGCGGCTCCCCTCATAGGAAGTACGTAGGGTAGTCACGTTCCTAGGGATGGAACAGGACAGACGCCATGCGGCTCCCCTCATAGGAAGTACGTAGGGTAGTCATATTCCTAGGGATGGAAAAGGACAGACGCCGTGCAGCTCCCCTCATAGGAAGTACGTAGGGTAGTCACATTCCTAGGGATGGAAAAGGACAGACGCCGTGCGGCTCCCCTCATAGGAAGTACGTAGGGTAGTCACGTTCCTAGGGATGGAACAGGACAGACGCCATGCGGCTCCCCTCATAGGAAGTACGTAGGGTAGTCACATTCCTAGGGACGGAAAAGGACAGACGCCGTGCAGCTCCCCTCATAGGAAGTACGTAGGGTAGTCACGTTCCTAGGGATGGAAAAGGACAGACGCCGTGCGGCTCCCCTCATAGGAAGTACGTAGGGTAGTCACATTCCTAGGGATGGAACAGGACAGACGCCGTGCGGCTCCCCTCATAGGAAGTACGTAGGGTAGTCACGTTCCTAGGGATGGAAAAGGACAGACGCCGTGCGGCTCCCCTCATAGGAAGTACGTAGGGTAGTCACGTTCCTAGGGATGGAAAAGGACAGACGCCGTGCGGCTCCCCTCATAGGAAGTACGTAGGGTAGTAACGTTCCTAGGGACAGACAGCAGACTGGGGTGGCCAGGGGCCAGGGCAGAGGAGAGCTATTGCTTAGTGGTTATAGAGTTTCAGTTTGGCAAGTTCTGGAGATGGGTTGCACTTCAGGTGATACGTTTGATGTTATGAATACTTTAATACAATGGAAACATTTTTAATTTTTTTAAAAAAGGATTGCGCATACCCGGAGGCCAAAACCGTGGTCCGGTGCCGCAAAGGAGCAGCTCGGAAGTCCATGAGCTGAGGACTCACTGGCACAGATGAGGTTCTCGGCCCCACAGTGTGCGGGAATGCAGCTCTGTGGGGTGTCTTAGTCTCTTCCCCTGAAGACTCACGACAGAGATGGCTTGGCCACATTGCCAAGTCACCCTGAGCATCAACCTGGCCACTCCCCGTTAAACAGGGCCTTGACTGGCTGGGCGTGAGGTGGGGGAGCACTCTCAGCCCCCAAGGCCTGTCCTAGGGATGGCAGGGTAGCTCCATTGTTCGCCCCACGCCCCTCACTCTGGTGGCCTCATGCCCTGATGGATGCCTCTCCCCAAGCCCACCGTGGTTCCCTGGGAACCTTCCCCGATCAGGGTCCACAGAGGAGGCCTTGGATTCCACCAGGAAGTGTAAGCCGAGGTCCCCACCCCAAAAACACTTACTGTAGCCTCCTGGGAATGTGGCTTTTCCTCCTGGAGGGCGGCCTGACTCTATGTCATCATCCAAACACACAGTTCTCGACCCTGCAGTCCCGCTCTGTGGAATATAGGCTGAGTATCATTCATCAGAAAACCCAAAGCTGAAATGCTCCAAAATCCAAAACTCACTGGAGCATTTCAGATTTTGGATTTTCAGATTTGGGATGCTGAACTGGTTAAGTATAATGCAAATATTCTAAAATTCGGAAAAATTCAAAATCTGAAGCACTTCTGTCCCAAGCATTTTGGAAAAGGGCAAAATCAACCCGTCTTTCCTAAGGCAATAACCGAGCACTGGGCTGATGGGGTGGGTGCGGGGTGATGGCTGCGGCGCTGCCCGTGAGGACGAGGATTGGAAACAAATGTCCCTCGGTGAGGTGCTGGATTACTTAAGTTTAATAAATCCAAACTGTGGAGCAGTGAAAAACGATGATGGAGAAGTTATGAGTTCGGAACGACTGCTCTGATGCGTAGTGAGGTGTTGGGGGACAGGGTGGGAACAGGTTGCATCTACATTAGCCTAGTTTTCAAAAAAACAAAAAACAAATAGTGTGTTTTCCCAGGCAATGGTGTAAGAAAATTCACACCGCCATGGTCAGCAGGGCGTCTCTGTGCAGTGATGTTATAGGTGGCCTAGTTTCATTTTACTTTTTTGTTGTGCTAATTTTGTATGCTAGGTATGTATTTTTCAGGAAAATAAAAAAAGGGAGAGGCTAGGCGTGGTGGCTCGTGTTTGTAATCCCAGCACTTTGGGAGGCAGAGGTGGGCAGATTGCTTGAGCCCAGGAGTTAGAGACCAGCCTGAGTAACATGGTAAAACCCCATCTCTACAAAAAATACAAAAATTAGCTGGGTGTATTGGCGCACACCACCTATAGTCCCAGCTACTCGGGAGGGTGAGGTGGGAGGATCACCTGAGCCTGGGCAGGTGAAGGCTGCAGTGAGCCGATTGCTCCACTGCACTCCGTCCTGGGTGACAGAGCAAGACCCTGTCTCAAAAAAAAAAAAAAGTAAAAAAAAAAGAGAAAACTTCCAAGGCGGGTGGGGGAGACAGTGTGGCGTGCGGTTCAAAGCCTGCACGGGCCCCGCCGTTCACAGATGGTTCTTAGGGGTCTGCTTCATTTGGGGTCCCCCAGGCCCAGCCCACGGTGGAGGACAGGGAGGTGACGTGCTCAGGGCAGGATGAGCAGAGCTTTCGCTCATCAGAGGGAGGCGTAGCGAGCCCTTGGCTGGCACCCCATGGCCCCCGTGGCCTTTTGGACTTGGGTACCTGCTCTAATGAGCCTTGCAGCAGCTCTTCAGAGATGGGGTGGCCTTGGTGGCTGCTGTGTGTTTGCTGCTTCCTCCTGTCAGGCAGTCCTCTCCACTCTGGTGTCCTGCCTGTAGGACACTAAGGGTCCACACAGACGTCTGAGCCACTGAGGATTTATTCACCACTCAACTGCAGTTTAGTGAGCATCTGCTTTGCATCTGTAAACTGTTGGGTGAGACTCTGGGGCCTTCCGTGTGGAGTAGAGGCCAACAGAGGGGTGTGCTGGCTTTGGGGAAATTGCTGAACTTGTTGGAGCCTCAGTTTCCCCACCTGAAAAGTGGAGATAATAAGCTTCTTCGATGCTTCTGGGAATGGGGGAGGAGACTGGCTACTTTTGCACTTTGTGGATTTTTAGACCATGTGCCTGCATTACCCATTCAAATAAATACGTGTTGTAGGAAGGCTCCAAGAGGATCAGAAAGGGTTTTCCAAAGCGGGTGCCATGAAGCACCCATCCCACCAGACAGGTTCCAGGCCGTTCAAGAACGACACAAAAGCAGGCCCTTCACACAGGGTGGCTGGAAGGGGCAGTGAGGGATTCATGCCAGGGACCTAGTCTGGACGTGGCAGTCCGTGCCTGGCACTGTGAGCATAAGGAGGTGCCCTGCCCAGTTAAGTGCCGAGTCCATGCAGACCCATTACTAAGGTCTAGTTTCTCTAGGAAAACCATCCAGGCAGATTGCGGGTAGAGAGCACGGTGTGTTCTTTTGCCCTCTGGGATAACCCTGTGCACCTGAGCTTAGTAAAGGCTCTGAGAGGTCCTGCAGCGATGGCGCTTAGGCTCTGAGAGGTCCCACAGCGACGGAGCTTAGGCTCTGAGAGGTCCTGCAGTGATGGAGCTTGGTAAAGGCTCCGAGAGGTCCCGCAGTGATGGAGTTTAGTAAAGGCTCTGAGAGGTCCCGCAGTGGCAGAGCTTGGTAAAGGCTCTGAGAGGTCCCACAGGGATGAAGCTTAGTAAAGGCTCTGAGAGGTCCCGCAGTGGCGGAGCTTGGTAAAGGCTCTGAGAGGTCCCGCAGCGATGGAGCTTAGTAAAGGCTCTGAGAGGTCCCGCAGCGAGGGAGCTTAGTAAAGGCCCTGAGAGGTCCCGCAGTGATAGAGCTTAGTAAAGACTCTGAGAAGTCCCACAGCGATGGAGCTTAGTAAAGGCTCTGAGAGGTCCTGCAGCGACGGAGCTTGGTAAAGGCCCCGAGAGGTCCCACAGCGATGGCACTTAGGCTCTAAGAGGTCCCGCAGTGACGGAGCTTAGTAAAGGCTCTGAGAGGTCCCGCAGCGACGGAGCTTAGGCTCTGAGAGGTCCCGCAGCGACGGAGCTTGGTAAAGGCTCTGAGAGGTCCCGCAGCGACGGAGCTTGGTAAAGGCTCTGAGAGGTCCCGCAGCAACGGAGCTTGGTAAAGGCTCTGAGAGGTCCCGCAGCGACGGAGCTTGGTAAAGGCTCTGAGAGGTCCCGCAGCGACAGAGCTTAGGCTCTGAGAGGTCCCGCAGCGATGGAGCTTAGTAAAGGCTCTGAGAGGTCCCGCAGCGATGGAGCTTAGTAAAGGCTCCGAGAGGTCCCGCAGCGATGGAGCTTAGTAAAGGCTCTGAGAGGTCCCGCAGTGATGGACCTTAGTAAAGGCTCCCAGAGGTCCCGCAGTGATGGACCTTAGTAAAGGCTCCGAGAGGTCCCGCAGCGATGGAGCTTAGTAAAGGCTCCGAGAGGTCCTGCAGCGACGGAGCTTAGTAAAGGCTCTGAGAGGTCCCGCAGCGACGGAGCTTAGTAAAGGCTCTGAGAGGTCCCACAGTGACGGAGCTTAGTAAAGGGTCTGAGAGGTCCTGCAGCGACGGAGCTTGGTAAAGGCCCCGAGAGGTCCCGCAGTGATGGAGCTTAGTAAATAAAGGCTCTGAGATGTCCCGCAGTGATGGAGCTTAGTAAAGGCTCTGAGACGTCCCGCAGCGATGGAGCTTGGTTTAACCTAGTGCTTTTCAAGAGTATGTGATTAGAAACCTTTTTTTTTTTTTTTTGGCTTGACTCTTGTTAGTATCCCACAGTACTAATGTGATGCAGAGGAAGTTTGCGGGGTGGGAAGCAATGTCTCAGAATCAGGTGGATTCTGGTCTTCTGGTTTTGAATTCTTCCAGTAGGGAATTGGCCCACTGGTGATAAAGCTGTTTGTGTTTGCCAGGTGGCAGGAGGGGGGTGGCGGTGGTGCCCATGGGCCTCTCCTCTGTGGAGAGGCTGCTCCGTGCCTGGCACTGGCCCTTGAGGCTTCACGTTCATTCTTGGGCCTGATCCTCAAGTCCTCCCGGTGAGATAAGCCCTGCTCCTGTGTTTGCCTACTGATGAAGAAACTGAGGGCCAGGGAGGTCAGCGTGTCCAAATCACACCAGATGCTGGGTGCCAGACCCAGGATTCAGATTCAGGACGTCGGCTCGGAACCTTGGCCTGCCCTTCTCTGAGAAGGGTCATGTCAGTTGAGGTTTTTGCAAAGTGTTCGTTTACAGGCTCCCACCCCTCCTGACTAAATACCCTGAATTTATTTCCTTCATCAGAAAAGAGGCTATACAGTATGTGGTGTTTTCTGAAGGAGGCATTACAAATTTAGGGACCTTAACTCAGCAGCTGCTCTGAATTCTAATCGGTGGCTCTCTCCAAGAGGCGGTCCTTTCTGTTCCTGTTGGAGAGGCTGTCCCATCTGAGAAGTCCTCAGAGAAGAGCTTCCAAGGCTGTGATGTGGTCCAGCCTGGCTCTCCCTCAGCCTCGGTTGCTTCGCCCTGGAGCCTCGAGCGGAAGGGACAGGAAGGAGGCAGGCAGGTGGCATCTTGTGAACACCTTCTGGGTGCCCTTTGCTCTGTTGAGTACTTCCAACTTTCTCAGCAGCTATCATGTTTCATCAATTTAATCAATAAAGAAACTCAGGCTCAGAGAGGTTAAGTAACTCACTCAAAGCCACACAGCGAGCATGTGGAAGCTGCCATTGATTCAGCCTTGCTTCCAGGGACAGCAGGAGTGGGGAGCCTGGGTGTCCAAGCTGGGGATATTAGAGGAACAGAGGGACCCCTCAGAGCCCAAGGGGCTGTGCGTCCCAGACCCAGAGCACCTCCCACCCTGTGAGTTCAGGGTGGGCATCCCTGGATTCCTGGGGCTCTGCCAGCCTTTGGGGGTGTCTGTCTGGCCAGCTTTAGGGTGACTCTCACCACTTCCCCAGGGCAGTGATAAAGGGATGCTTTACACCTGCTTGGGCCCTGGCAGGCCCCCTCTGACCCACCTGGCTCTCAGAGTCCCTGGGGGACTACATAGGGTCAAGAGGGGCTCCTGGGAGGCTCAGGATGCAAGGAGGATAGAACTGAGGCAGGAAAGAGGGTGGAAAGCCAGTGGCTGTGCCATGGGGGCAGCCAGAACAAGTCTGGAGCTTTGTGGCCACTTCTGAGCCCCTCTCCCGAGGGGCAGTGACAAACATGGCAAGAGGGGGTGGCTCGATGAGAGGGGACTTGGGACAGCTGAGGAATCAGGGTGTTGTCCTTGAGAAGCTGGGGATCTGGGCATGGCACCAAGGAGAGCTGGGGGCAGGAGGAGGTGTCTGCAGGTACACGTGGCTGGGAGAGTCCATCCCATGCAGCTCTCTGCCTTGGGCCAGCAAGAGAAGGTGCCCGGGAGGTCAGCTGGCAGGGAGGAGAGCTTGGGGGCTGGGTGAGGTGCCTGCAGGTACTTGTGGCTGGGAGAGTCTGTCCCGTGCAGCCCTCTGCCTTGGGCCAGCGAGAGAAGGTGCCCGGGAGGTCAGCTGGCGGGAAGGAAGTGCCAGTCACTGGCAGATCTAGTGGAAACTCAGCAGTGCCTGGTGGCTTGTGGGCTTCCTGTCACTAGGAGTTTTCCAGCAGGGGCCGGAAAGGACTGGGGATGGGCAGAGGTCTGACTAGGCAATCTCTAGGATCCGAGTGGTGGATACAGACGGTAACAGAGGACGGTTTTCATAAACATGTCTCACATGCCAGGCCCATATTGAGATCCCTGCTCTGCAAGAGAGAAGCAGGAGGACATGGGCTTGTCTTTAAAGCAGGTGTAGACCCAGGTACAGTAGTCCCAGCTGCTGAGGAGACTGAGGCAGGAGGACCGCGTGAGCCCAGGAGGTGGAGGCTGCAGCGGGTGATGACTGCACCACTGCACTCCAGCCTGGGCAGCAGAGCAAGTCCTCAACTCTAAAATAAGGGAGAGAAAGAAGGTTTGGAGAGTTCATGTCCTGAGTCCTGGGAAGGTAACTGACAGCCCAGCCCATCAGCCAGGGAGGGCAGAGCCAGAGTTCCCACTCCCACTCTGCTCCTAGCTCTCCGCGTCCTGCCTCCCGTCATCTGGGCAAGGAGCAGGAGGGGAGGCTCCTCTGCGTCCTGTGCCCCAAGCAGCTCTCTTCCCCCACTCAGGTCTGGAAGAGGTCGGGGGCCTGGTTCTACAAAGGGCTCCCCAAGTATATCTTGCCCCTGAAGACCCCTGGCCGAGCTGATGACCCCCACTTCCGACCTTTGCCCACGGAACCGGCAGAGCGAGAGCCCAGAAGCTCTGAGACCAGCCGCATCTACACGTGGGCCCGAGGAAGAGGTAAGTCCCCTCTGCCTCTCTCCCAGGATGGCCTGTAAAGTTTGGGTCATTAGCCAGCCCGGCAGTTTGCAGGCACAAGGCCAGTCCCCCGCACCCTCCATCCACGAGGCTCATTCTGGTGATGCGTCCCTCCCTGTGCCCTCAGCTCCACACCTTCTCCCGAGTGAGCAGCGGGGACCTCCAGCAGGTGACTGTTCGCTCTGTGCAGGAGTGCGGCGGGAGGGCCCACGGGGGGCAGTATCACATACAAGTACTGCTCTGGGGGCAAGGATGCCATGAGCAGCACTACGCATCTTCACAGAAATGGGACGTCAATTAAGGTATTTTGCAAAGTATAAAACCTACATCTTTCCCAGGCAGGCCCTCACCATCTCTTCCTGGCACTTGCCTTGTGTCTCGGTAAGGGAGGACTCCTGGCTTCCCTGGTCCTAATAAGTATGGTGACTTTGTATCCCAGTGTCCCTGGGCGTTCTGGTGGCTACAGTAAGGTGTGTGTGTCTCAGGTGGCCGCCCCACTTGGCAACGATGGGGGCGCCTGGTTGTGGACCGTTCTCCGCAGCTTTCATGATGCTTTGATGTTTGTGGTTTTATTTCAAAGTTCCTGGTCTCACAACAGGCTCGGAAGTTATTTAATGACTGCATTTTATAGATGGGTGTACCTGCGGCTCAGAGAAGAGGAGGGACTTCCTCGGCAGGTGTGTGGCCGAGCTGGGATCCAAGGGCAGGCTCTTACCCTCTCTGGCATCTGGGTCCTTTTGCTCTGAAGTGCTCACGTTTCTGCCAAATACTCAGGGTCTGAGGGTCTTAGATGAGACGGCAGGCAGAGGGGTGAGGGAGGCTCGTTCGGATCATGGCTCGTCTTGGAGGAAGTGGACCCATCACAATAGACCTGGCGGCCGCTTCTCAGGGGCTTTGCGACATCCTGGTCTTCGGTTGTGACCTGACATCTGACCATCTTTATGTCATTCGGGCTGTTTTTTCTTGTTACAAAAGTAATGCATGTTTATTACGAACATGTGAAAGTTGTCCAGTGACGTATGTAGAAGGTATAAATCCCCCATACGTGGACCTGCCAGGTAGGTCGGCATCTGTGCCTTGGTGTGCAGCCTGCAGGCACTTTGTCCTCAGCACCCCGACTCCCTCATAGCAGCCTCTCCTCGCTGGTCCTACCGGATGCTGCGTACACCTCTGCTGCCTATGAGTTCACCCCCGACATCGCTGCCACGGACAGACATTGGTGGGGACCGTGGGATGCAATGCAGTGGAGACCGTGCAGGCGGGGAGTCCCTCAGGAGGAGGGGGTGCAGGCCTGGCTGGGACACTGGCCTGAGGGGCACTGTGGCTGCCCAGCCTGGAACTGAGTGGCCCGAGATTGGCTGGAGAAGTGGCGGTCCTCCACCTGGTCCCTCTGCCACCCTTGGACCTCAGACCTTCTCCTGCTGAGCCCTCGAGATCTGTCCATGTCCCTCAGACAGTGGGAGCAGAAGCTGGTGGACACCTGTGGGTTTAAAATGCTGCTTGGAGCCAGTTGAGCCGGAGAGGCTGAAGGCCTATGGGGGCAGCTGTGGCCTATGCCCCACTTCAAGAGCTGCCACTGCCCCGTCTGCTCCAAGTCAGGGCATACACACACACTCACATCCACGCACACAAACACAACCGCATTGACACACGCTCACACCTACACACACATCACCATGCACACACACACACTGATATCCACACACACACTGACATCCACACACACACACTGACATCCACATACACACTCACATCCACACACACACACTGACATCCACATCCACACACACATCCACACACACACCCACGTACACACACACTGACATCCACGTGCACACACACATGCTCTCATCCACACGCACACACACATCCACATGGACACACACGCTCACATCCACACACACAGACATCCACGTACACACAGACACATCCATGTGCACACACACATCCACATGGACACACACATCCACACACACATCCACATGTACACACACGTCTACACACACTTGCGCATGCACATTTATGCACACACATCCACATGCACACATAGTGCTCACATCCACACACACATCCACATACACACACTCATATCCACATGCATACACACTTGCTCACATGCAGACACACAAGCTCACACACACATGCATGTACACACACTAGCGTTACACTCATGCACACAGTAGCTTACATGCTGATTCACACGCACACACACTCGCACTCATATGCACACACACGGTTGCCCACACGCACACATACTCCCATGCACATGCGCACACCCTGGGGAGGAGCAGAGCCCCCCTCACTTCCTCAGGCACGCAGACTTGGCCTTTTAATTAATTAAAAGATGGCCTTTTAATTTCATGGGCGAGGAGGGCAGTGGCCCCATGCTCTTGCAGTAGAGTGTGGATCCTCTGGATTGGGGTCTGCTGGAAAGTCCCAGGAGATACTCGGAGGCTGTGAAAACCACCCTGCTCTCACCAGACGCTGCTCCTCCTGGGACCCTGCCTCCGAGGGCCCCGGGGCCAGCATCTTCTTCCTGCCCCACAGTCCCTTTCACTGGCTTGGAGCTGATCACAGCACCAGCTTGCTCGCTCTCTCAGCCTCTCTCTAAGCCTCTTTGCCCACCTCCAGTTCTTTCTCTCCCTCTCCCCCCCCATTCTCTTCCCTTCTCTCCCTCTCTCCCTCTCCCTACATCCCACATCTCTTAGGCTCATGCACCTGTAGCTCCCAACTTCTTCTCCCTGCATCCCAGGCCACCCTATTTTCTTTCTCATGCCCTGTTGGAAGAGGAAGGGTAATCAATAGAGGAAGGGTAATCAATAGAGGAAGGTAATCAATAGAGGAAGGTAATCAATAGAGGAAGGGTAATCAATAGAGGAAGGTGATCAATAGAGGAAGGGTAATCAATAGAGGAAGGGAATCAATAGAGGAAGGGTAATCAATAGAGGAAGATAATCAATAGAGGAAGGGTAATCAATAGAGGGGTAATCAATAGAGAAAGGTGATCAATAGAGGAAGGTGATCAATAGAGGAAGGGTAATCAATAGAGGAAAGTAATAGAGGAAGGTAATCAATAGAGGAAGGGTAATCAATAGAGGAAGGGTAATCAATAGAGGAAGGTAATCAGTAGAGGAAGGGTAATCAGTAGAGGAAGGGTAATCAGTAGAGGAAGGTAATCAATAGAGGAAGGTAATAGAGGAAGTGTAATCAGTAGAGGAAGTGTAATCAGTAGAGGAAGGTAATCAGAGGAAGGTAATCAATAGAGGAAGGGTAATCAGTAGAGGGGCAATCAGTAGAGGAAGGGTAATCAATAGAGGAAGGTAGTCAATAGAGGAAGGGTAATCAATAGAGGAAGGTAATCAATAGAGGAAGGGTAATCAATAGAGGAAGGTAGTCAATAGAGGAAGGTAGTCAATAGAGGAAGGTAGTCAATAGAGGAAGGGTAATCAATAGAGGAAGGGTAATCAATAGAGGAAGGTAATCAATAGAGGAAGGGTAATCAATAGAGGAAGGGTAATCAGTAGAGGAGGGGCAATCAGTAGAGGAAGGTAATCAATAGAGGAAAGGTAATCAATAGAGGAAGGTAATCAATAGAGGAAGGTAGTCAATAGAGGAAGGTAGTCAATAGAGGAAGGTAATCAATAGAGGAAGGTAATCAATAGAGGAAGGGTAATCAATAGAGGAAGGTAGTCAATAGAGGAAGGTAATCAATAGAGGAAGGGTAATCAATAGAGGAAGGGTAATCAGTAGAGGAGGGGCAATCAGTAGAGGAAGGTAATCAGTAGAGGAAAGGTAATCAATAGAGGAAGGTAATCAATAGAGGAAGGGTAATCAATAGAGAAAGGTAATCAATAGAGGAAGGTAGTCAATAGAGGAAGGTAGTCAATAGAGGAAGGTAATCAATAGAGGAAGGGTAATCAATAGAGGAAGGTAATCAATAGAGGAGGGGCAATCAGTAGAGGAGGGGCAATCAGTAGAGGAAGGTAATCAGTAGAGGAAAGGTAATCAATAGAGGAAGGTAATCAATAGAGGAAGGGTAATCAATAGAGGATGGTATTCAATAGAGGAAGGTATTCAATAGAGGAAGGTATTCAATAGAGGAAGGTATTCAATAGAGGAAGGTAGTCAATAGAGGAAGGTAGTCAATAGAGGAAGGTAGTCAATAGAGGAAGGGTAATCAATAGAGGAAGGTAGTCAATAGAGGAAGGTAGTCAATAGAGGAAGGGTAATCAATAGAGGAAGGTAATCAATAGAGGAAGGGTAATCAATAGAGGAAGGTAATCAATAGAGGAAGGTAGTCATTAGAGGAAGGTAGTCAATAGAGGAAGGTAATCAATAGAGGAAGGTAATCAATAGAGGAAGGTAGTCAATAGAGGAAGGTAATCAATAGAGGAAGGTAATCAATAGAGGAAGGTAGTCAATAGAGGAAGGTAGTCAATAGAGGAAGGGTAATCAATAGAGGAAGGTAATCAATAGAGGAAGGGTAATCAATAGAGGAAGGTAGTCAATAGAGGAAGGTAGTCAATAGAGGAAGGTAATCAATAGAGGAAGGTAGTCAATAGAGGAAGGTAGTCAATAGAGGAAGGTAGTCAATAGAGGAAGGTAGTCAATAGAGGAAGGTAGTCAATAGAGGAAGGTAGTCAATAGAGGAAGGTAGTCAATAGAGGAAGGTAGTCAATAGAGGAAGGTAGTCAATAGAGGAAGGTAGTCAATAGAGGAAGGTAGTCAATAGAGGAAGGTAGTCAATAGAGGAAGGTAGTCAATAGAGGAAGGTAGTCAATAGAGGAAGGTAATCAATAGAGGAAGGTAGTCAATAGAGGAAGGTAATCAATAGAGGAAGGTAATCATGAATAGATACTACAAGTCATGAACTTTTCAACCCACAGAGCAATCAGGTGAAAGGGTTGATGTTTCTGAGGTGGGTTCCTTTTTCTTCCTCCTTTAAAGTTTTTTTGTTAATTTTTTTCTTTTTTTTATTGAGACAGTCTTGCTCTGCCACCCAGGCTGGAGTGTGGTGGTGTGATCTCTGCTCACTGCAACCTCCGCCTTTTGGATTCAAGCAATTCTCAAGTCTTAGCCTCCTGAATAGCTGGGATTACAGGCATATACCACCAAACCTGGCTAATTTTTGTATTTTTAGTAGAGACGGGGTTTCGCCATATTGGCCAGGCTAGCCTCAAACCCCTTGGCCTCAAACAATTCACCTGCCTCGGCCTCCCAAAGTGCGGGGATTACCAGCATGAGCCACCATGCCAGTCCTTTCTTTGTTAATTTTTAATTACATAAGAATACAAGATATATTTTAGCGAGTTAATTCAAAGGTGTGTGAAAAAGAGAAAGAGCAAGACTCCGTCTCAAAAAAAAAAAAAAAGAAAAAAAAAGAAAAAGAAACATCTCTTCTACTTACCCTCATCTCCAAACCCTTTCTCTGTGTTCCTACAAACATATACTTGATAAAGGGGTGGGGTTTTTTTGGCTTTTGTTTTAGCAATAAAAATAGGCTCTTACCCAACACTCTGCATGGTGCTTTTTTCACTTAAAAGAGTATCAGGAGCATCCCTCCAGGCCAACGGATACAGATTTTACATTATTCATTTTCATGGCTGAGTAAAATCTCACAATATAGTGTATTATAATTAATCACCTATCGATGGACATTCAAATCAATTTCTAGGTTTTTTTACTTTTTTAATTTTAGAGACAGGGTATTGCTCTGTCACCCAGGATGGAGTGCCGTGGCACAATCATGGCTCGCTGCAGCCTTGACCTCCTGGGCTCACGTGATCCTCCTACCTCAGCCTCCCCAGTAGCTGGGACTACAGGTGCACACCACTGCACCTACCAAACTTTTAAATTCGTATATTTTGTAGAGATGGGAGCCTCACTGTGTTGTCCAGGCTGGTCTCAAAGTCCTGAGCTCAAGCTGTCCACCCACCTTGGCCTTCCAAAGTGCTGGAATTACAGGCATGAGCCACCATCCTTGGCCAACAAGATTATTATTATTATTATTATTATTATTATTATTATTATTATTATTGAGATGGAGTCTCACTCTGTCGCCAGGCTGGAGTGCAGTGGCACAATCTCGGCTCACTGCAACCTCTGCCTCCTGGGTTCAAGCAATTCTCCTGCCTCAGCCTCCTGAGTAGCTGGGACTACAGGCGCCCGCTACACGCCGAGCTCATTTTTTGTATGTTTAGTAGAGACAGGGTTCACCGTGTTGGCCAGGCTGGTCTCGATCTCCTGACCTCGTGATCCTCCCGCCTTGGCCTCCCAAATTGCTGGGATTACAGGCATGAGCCACCGTGCCCGGCCGAAGACGATTTTTAAATATTCATAAGGACACAATTGTTCACAGAAGTATTATAACCAAAAAGTGGCAACAACTCATACGTCCATCAGCTGATGAATGGATAAAATATGGTGTAATCACACAGTGGAACGTTATTCAGTCATAGGAAGAAAGTGCTGATCCACGCTGCAGCCTGGATGAGCCTTGAAAACACCATGCGAAGTGGAAGAAGCCGGAGACGAAAGGCCGCGTGTTGTGTGATCTCATCTATATGAGCCGGTGGGAACAAGCCAGTGCACAGAGGCAGACAGTAGATGGGCGGTTGCCAGGGCTTGGGGAGGATGGGGAGGGGAATGGGGACTGACTGCTAATGGGTACACAGAGCTGATGCAAATGGTCTGAAACTAGATCGTGGTGGTTACGTAAACGTATGGCTATACTAAAAACCACTGACTTGTATACTTTCTGAGGGTACCTTTTATGGTATATAAATTATATTTCAGTTTTTAAAATTCATAAGGTGGAGAATAGCTTACAACAAAAAAACCTTTTTTTTTTTTTTTGAGATGGAGTTTCACTCTTGTTGCCCAGGCTGGAGTGCAATGGCATGATCTCAGCTCACTGCAACCTCCACCTCCTGGGTTCAAGTGATTCTCCTGCCTCAGCCTCCTGAGTAGCTGGGATTACAGGCTTGCACCACCACGCCCCGCTAATTTTGTATTTTTAGTAGAGATGGGGTTTCTCCATGTTGGTCAGGATGGTCTTGAACTCCTGACATCAGGTGATCCATCCACCTTGGCCTCCCAAAGTGCTAGGATTAGAGGCGTGAGCCACTGCACCTGGCCAAAAAACTCTTTCTAATAGCAAGGGTAGGCTGGGTACACTGGCTCATGCCTGTAATCCCAGCATTTTGGGAGGCCAAGTCAGGAGGATTGCTTGAGTCAAGAGTTCAAGACTAGCCTGGGCAACGTAACGAGACACTGTCTCTACAAATAAATTTGTAAGACTTAGCCAGGTGTGGTGGCACATAGCTGTAGTCCCAGCTACTCAGGAGGCTAAGGTGGGAGGATCACTTGAGCCCAGGAGCTTGAAGCGGCAGTAAGCTGAGACTGCACCACTGCACTCCAGCCTGGGTGAAAGAGTGAGACCCCTATCTCTCAAAAAAACAAAACAAAACAAAACAGAATCGGGAGGGTAGTGGAAAGAACTATCCAGCCAAATTTTAAAGCTTACTATAAAGTTACTGAAATCAGTAAGAACGATATAGTATTGGCATCAGGATAAACAGAATATTTATTTGTAGGAATAAACAGACGAGTGGAATAGACAAGAGTAGAGAAAGGGTAGCCTGAGAATGTATGGACGCCAACCATAAGTCACTTTTCAACTTAATGAGAAGCTAACAGACCTATCTCATAACTGGAGCTGGTGCAATTAGATTTCTTTCTCCTTCTAGGTGTATCCAGAAACACACTGCAGATAGGTAAGATCGAAATGTTAAAAATAACACAATGAAAGTATTAGGGAAAGAGTAGACGTGTTCCTGTCCTCTGTGTTATCTCAGGGAGACCCAGTGACTGCACTGCACCTGCAGGACAGGTGCGCTGACTACCTGAGTTTGCTGCTCTCTCCCTCCCCTGGACGCTGGGTATTGATTTTGGCCAAGGAGTTGCCTGCAGACCCCTTGGTGGGTCCCAGCAGGGTATTCCTTCTTTCCCCAGGAGGGGGTGGGGAACGGCCTGGCCTGAGTACCTCTTGGTACCTGGTCACAGGGTCTGCCTCTGAGCGATGTCTCTCCCCCTCCACCTGATCCCTGCAGACAGTGTGTGCTCTCCCCTGCTCTTCCTGGCATACCATTGCTCATATATGACAGCAGTAAAGTCAGCTTTTGCATAGGGCCTGGTCCCTGAGGTCCCCTGTGGTATATGAGGTGTAAATGGCGGCACCGGTGCTGTGGGCCCCGGGGTGTAACACCTTTAGAGCTGGGTTCATCCCCTCCACAGGCTTCTTGCCTTCAAGCTGGATTTCCACCCTGTGCACAGAGAGAGAGCTGCTGGGGGTGGGAGGTGAAAGTAGCCACATCAACATGGCATACTTGAGTAGCGAAAGAGTACATCTTTTTCTCATAAAATACGAAGCTCAGAGGAAGGAGCCACGGCTTCGGTTCAGCAGCTTCAGTGATGTCAGGACAGATGTCTTTGCAATTCTTCTCTTTCCCTCATGGTCACAAGATGGGTGCTGCAGTTCCAGCTGTCACTGTAAAGAAAGGAAGAACGATAAAGGCGCGGCTGGAGTCACTACGCGCGGAAGCGATTCTCAGGTGGACGTTGTTCTCTGCCTCCAACGCCGAGGACAGTTAACAGGATGCGGCTTCTTCTCTTCAACCTCCAGAGCTGTGACCCGCAGGCACCGCTGCCTAGGTCTGCCCTGGAGTTTCGTTTCTTTTCTTTTCTCTCTCTCTCTTTTTCTCTTTCTCTCTCTCTTTCTGGAGTTTCGTTTCATTTTGTTGCTTTTCTTTCTCTCTCTCTCTTTTTCTCTTTCTCTCTCTCTTTCTGTCCCTCCCTCTTTTCTTTTCTCCTTCCTTCCTTCCTCTTCCTTTCTCTTCCTTCCTTTCTTTCTCTCTCTCTCTCTTTCTCTCTTCTTTCTTTCTTTTCTTTCTTTCTCAGGGTTTCACTCTGTCACCTAGGCTGGAGTGGAGTACAGTGGCTCAGTCTCAGCTAACTGCACACGACTTCCCGGACTCAAGCAATCCTCCCACCTCTGCCTCCCAAGTAGCTGGCCATGTACCACCGCACCTGCTAATTTTTTTGTATCTGTAGAGACGGGGTGATTCCACGTTGTCCAGGCCTGGTCTTGAACTCTTGGGCTCAAGTCATCTGTCTGGCTCAGCCTCCCAAAATTCTGGTACTACAGGCATGAGCCACCGCACCCGGCCTGCTGTGTCATTTCTGCCTGCCTTTCTCAATTGTGACTGAGCGCCTGACACCAGGGGCCTGAAGCCAGTGTTCAGAGGGCTCTCAGGTGGGGGCCAGGACCTCTGGATTCATGAAGTTTTACCATGTGGACCTCGGCCTGGGATCCTGGGGTATCATTGAAAGCCTTGTCACTGGGCTGTGGCCTGGCCAGATTTGGGGAGGCCTCTCCACTTTGCCCAGCACCATCAAAAGCCCTGCTCACAGGGTGTAAATACCCATTTCCTCCTCACGTCCATGCCCTTAGAGAGGAACCAAAAAGCTCCCAGGCTGGGACACAGGCAGCTCCGGCTGGGAGGCAAATTCCTTTTCCCTTCTCCTCTGAGGCCTGGGTCATTGTCCCTCCTCAGGCCTCTCTGCAGGAATCCTGCCGCCTTCCACCGTCCATCCTTCCCCAGAGGGGAGTGCAGGCCTCCTGGGTGGCTTTGAACGGGGTGACACACCGGTTCCCTTCAAGGTCTGTTCCAGAACAGGGTGACACACTGGTTCCCTTACAGGTTTTGGATTTGTTCCAGGTGGGGAGTTTTAAGAAAAATGGGAGTTTCACGATCACTTCAGTGGCTCACTTGATGTTAGACAGATTTTACAAATTCCAAACTGTGGTCCTTTTTGTGGTGGCGTGAAAGCAAGCCTGAGGGTTCTGTGTGGGTTGAACAGCCTGGTTCAGCTCAGGCCGCAAATGTTTGCCGGGGCCGCCCTTCCCCAGTGATCCTGCCGCCCCCACCCCACGCCCTCTACCTGTCTTCCGGGAAGAGCTGAGTCCCTCCGAGCTGTACTAGCCCCAGCGCTCTGTGACTCATGGCCGCTAACCCAGCTGATGCTCAGAGCAGCCTCCAGGGCAGCTACAGACGGTGGAATGGACTGTCGATGATGGATGAGGAGGGGAAGGCTGACCAGGGTCCTGTAGGCGGCCAGGCTGTGCCCAAGAGGGCCCAGGATCCCGGCTTCCAAAACCCAGCGCATGCCCCGCCCGTGGCGGAAGCCGTGCAGCGTCAGGCTGTCGCTCAGTTCTCGACGCTCACTGGCTTTTTCTTTTCCGACTGTTGGGGATTTTTGGTTGTGAGGATCAGGGACCACCAAGGCTGGCACGAGGTAGAGGTTGCTGCCAGACCACTGAGGAAGGTTCTCCCAGAATCAGGGCGGGAGACGAAGGCTGGCGAGGCCGCGAGGAGACAGACAGGGCGGCTGAGCTGCTTCTACTTGTGCCAGCTCTGTGCTCCCGACGCCCGCTCTGCAGCTTGCCAGCCCTCCAAGCCAACCATCTGCCCCACCCCCACCCCGCTCTCAGGACCTCACGTCCATACTTGGGAGAAAAAGTGATTGGCCCAATTATTTCTGTTCTGTGTCCGATAGTCAAACATAACGGATGGCGTGGCCAGTGTCCGATAGTCAAACATAACGGATGGCGTGGCCAGCTAAGGCCACTTCTCCCAGACCCAGAGCAGAGCTGAGGCAGGGCAGGGGACATTTAGGTTTCCTTGATCAATAGCCACAGCAGGGGACATTTAGGTTTCCTCGATCAATAGCCATCCAGCCACAGAACTGAGTGTTTTGCATCTGACGGAGGAGTGAGCTCCCTGTCAATGGCAGCATTCAAGCCCAGAGGTAGGACATTAGAGTGGGGGTCCTGTGGGTCAGGAGCTGTGAGAAGCTCACTGTGGGCTGGCACTGTGTGTCCAGAGTTAAGCCCAGGTTGGGAGCAGGGCTGGCACAGTGTGAGGCCTTCTGTGCTCCAAGATCAGGGAAGCCATGTGGCCGACCCCAGCTTTGAACCTGGGACCCCCGTCTTGTTAGTACGGAGCCACCGCCGACCCCAGCTTTGACCCATGGACCCGTCTTGTTAGTGTAGAGCCTTGGCCGACCCCAGCTTTGAACCCTGGATCTGTCTTGTTAGTGCGGAGCCTCGGCCGACCCCAGCTTTGAACCCTGTATCCCTCTTGTTACTGCAGAGCCTCGGCCGACCCCAGCTTTGAACCCGGGACCTGTCTTGTTAGTGTAGAGCCTCGGCCGACCCCAGCTTTGAACCCAGGATCCATCTTGTTAGTGCGGAGCCTCCGCCGACCCCAGCTTTGAACCCTGGATCCGTCTTGTTAGTGTGGAACCTCCGCTGACCCCAGCTTTGAACCCGGGACCTGTCTTGTTAGTGTAGAGCCTCCGCTGACCCCAGCTTTGAACCCTGGATCCATCTTGTTAGTGTGGAGCCTCCGCCGACCCCAGCTTTGAACCCGGGATCCGTCTTGTTAGTGTGGAGCCTCCACCGACCCCAGCTTTGAACCCGGGACCCGTCTTGTTAGTGTGGAGCCTCCGCCGACCCCAGCTTTGAACCCTGGATCCGTCTTGTTAGTGCAGAGCCTCGGCCGACCCCAGCTTTGAACCCTGCATCCCTCTTGTTACTGCAGAGCCTCGGCCGACCCCAGCTTTGAACCCGGGACCTGTCTTGTTAGTGTAGAGCCTCGGCCGACCCCAGCTTTGAACCCTGGATCCGTCTTGTTAGTGCAGAGCCTCGGCCGACCCCAGCTTTGAACCCGGGACCCGTCTTGTTAGTGTAGAGCCTCGGCCGACCCCAGCTTTGGACCCTGGACCCGTCTTGTTAGTGCGGAGCCTCCGCCGACCCCAGCTTTGAACCCGGGATCCCTCTTGTTACTGCAGAGCCTCAGCTGACCCCAGCTTTGAACCCTGCACCCGTCTTGTTAGTGCAGAGCCTCGGCCGACCCCAGCTTTGAACCCGGGACCCGTCTTGTTAGTGAGTGAAGAGCCTCCGCCCACCGAGCTAATAAGCAGCCCTGTGGCTGCCGTTTTTCCGTCAAACGCATATGCTGTTTCCTGACTTCTTCACGTGGCATGCTATTTATACCAGCCGATCCATTCATTCTTAATGAGGTGCAGTTGTGGATTGTAAAATGTTTTATTTTCAGATAGGATTGCTGACCGCCCAGAGCCAGCTGCTGCTATGCCGCCTTCCTTCTCTCTCTGTCCCTGAGAGATTTGCATTTTGGAAGCTCAGCCTCCTTCTCCTCACCCCCAGCCCACTCCCCACCCCCGTATTTTGCTAGCAGACTCTGGATTTGCCATTTCTGTCACATATACCAGCCGCGGTACGTGAATTCTCCACAGCCTTCAGAGCAGCTGGGAGTGTGTGTTGTACACACCGGGGCCGGGGGGGCTGGAGCTTGCAGAAGGAGGCGGAATGGAGTAGGAAGCCTCCCTGTCAGGAGGTGGGTGCCGTCTGTCCTCTGGGACCACACATTTGCCTGTGTTTTGGGTCACAGACTGGTGGAGCAGTGATTCAATCTGGCCTACTGCTTAAAATTCATTGTCAACTAGTTTAAATGTGGAGAACTCTCATTTTTAAAAAAACTGGAGCTCTGGCTTCCTTTGTGGAAGTCAGAAGGGCTTCCGATACCTCCCTGCTCAGGGAAGTTGGTCAGGGTAAGTAGCCGCTCCCTGCTCGGGGAAGTTGGTCAGGGTAAGTAGCCGCTCCCTGCTCGGGGAAGTTGGTCAGGGTAAGTAGCCGCTCCCCGCTTGGGGGAAAGTTGGTCAGGGTAAGTAGCCGCTCCCTGCTCAGGGAAGTTGGTCAGGGTAAGTAGCCGCTCCCTGCTCAGGGAAGTTGGTCAGGGTAAGTAGCCGCTCCCTGCTCAGGGAAGTTGGTCAGGGTAAGTAGCCGCTCCCTGCTCAGGGAAGTTGGTCAGGGTAAGTAGCCGCTCCCTGCTCAGGGAAGTTGGTCAGGGTAAGTAGCCGCTCCCTGCTCGGGGAAGTTGGTCAGGGTAAGTAGCCGCTCCCTGCTCGGGGAAGTTGGTCAGGGTAAGTAGCCGCTCCCTGCTCGGGGAAGTTGGTCAGGGTAAGTAGCCGCTCCCTGCTCGGGGAAGTTGGTCAGGGTAAGTAGCCGCTCCCTGCTCAGGGAAGTTGGTCAGGGTAAGTAGCCGCTCCCCGCTTGGGGGAAAGTTGGTCAGGGGAAGTAGCCGCTCCCTGCTCAGGGAAGTTGGTCAGGGGAAGTAGCCGCTCCCCGGTTGCATTCTGTGGTTCGCTGCAGTCCCCACCCGGCCCTGTTGTCTCTGACACCCTTTCAGCATCACCGTTGCAGTGTTTTTAAGAAGAAAGTGAAACCGTTCTTGTTTCACATCCCTGTGAAAAGAAAGAAGACAGACCAATAGGGGTGCCTGTTGCAAGAAAAATGGGCATGCTTCTCTCAGAAGGGAAGGGCCCTCATGTCCAGCTCACTTCACTCCCTGACCTTTGCACCTGGCCAGTGGGAGGCAGGGGCATGACCAGGTCACGTCTGTGTGACTGTACTCCTAACCCTGACCCCTTGACCCTGCCCCTAGTGGCTGCCATGATCATGGAGGTGGCCCAACGTGACCTCATCAGCAGGGCTTACAGGCCCAGCCCCCACAGGGCTGGTGTTTTCCTGGGGGACTCCTGGGCCGGACAGTCTTGGCGTTGGAAGTCATTTTTCCTCTCTAGGTGTTGGTTTCCCCATGAGTAGAATGGATGAGGGGCTGGGACAGAGTCTGTTCTCTCCCAGCGGTCGTGTCTTACAGGTCTAAATCCAAGGGAATGAAACTTACAGAGGAATTTCAGGCGGGGGGTAGAGCAGTGGCTGGTAAGGCAGCTCTCAGATCAGGCTCTACTGGAAAGCCCAGCCCCATTTCCATGTTGGCCCCACCCTCTGCACACACACGCACACGTGCCACACAGACAGGCACATGCTGTCAAACGAAATCCCGTCAGACCCACCCAGCATCCCCACTATGCTTTGATAAGCGCTCACTAAGTGCCATGAACTGACTGAAGCTTCCTTCCCAAGTCCTAGCCCCAGGAAGGCCTCTTATGCTTAATTATCACCTTCCCCATCTCTGTTCATTTTCCTCCCTGCATGGATTCTGTAGTCCCAGGGAGCTGGAAGTACCTGGGATTTTTGAAATGTAAAGCTAATAGAAGCCAACACACACACACACACACACACACACACACACACACACACACACACACACACACACACGCCGGAAAGGACTGTTTAGAGACAAGGAAGGGGGGAGTTGTCTTTGAACCACCTGAGAACGGCACCACAGGCCCTGTGTGGCACCTTGGAAGCCACTGACTCAGATCTCCCTGGTGCAGGTCTGCTGTTTGGGTCAAGAAAATAAACAATCAAACAATGTCATAGACAGTTGTGTCTGTGGCTCTGGTCCAGCCAGACACTTGGGGAATGAATGTCATCCCTCCCAGCTGAGACAGGGCGAGGGGAGGGGGGTGACGCTGCACTGCCCGAGGCCACCGTGGGTCCCGCTGGGAGAGACACTGATAGTCGGCCTTGGTCTTCTCAGGCAGCTGCCATTCTGCCAGGGTCAGCCGAGGCCTGGGTACCATTTGCCTGTCTGTCTGTGCAGGTAAAAGGGATGGGCTTTGGCCCTTGGTGCTGAGGAGTCCGATAAAAACAGCAACAGCTGTAGCTGCCATAGATGACACGGGTGCTCATTGCAGGCTGTCCTGGGCGCTGTGCGTCTCCGTTATTTCGTGTCATCCCCCAACAACCTGTGACGGGGCCGCTACTGTTGTCCCATTTTACAGAATAGGAAACTAAGTCATGGAGAGGTCAAATAATTTGCACCGTAGTCTCAGCATGGAAAGGCAGAGAAACACCTGCAGCAGTCAGGAAACTGCCCTTTCCCTAAATCTCAGGGGAGTAGAGGCCCGGCCACGTCTTGCTTGGCGGGTGTTTTGAAACGGAAGCTCACACACACGAATTTGTTTTGACCTTTGGAGCTCTTGGTTAAGCCAGACACAAGCTCAGTGATGAGGGGCATGAATGGAGGGGCCGCCCCCAGAACAGATGTCCTGAGCACAAATGAGCCGCTGTTGCTTTCCTGCCACACCCGACCTCTTCCCCCAGCAGCCCACCTGCCTGTCGTGGGCCTCCTCGCTGGCTTAGAGGTGGATTTCCAAGAGCAGAAGGCCCTCATCAGCCACACCACGGAGGTCAGGAGCATGGCTGTCGCCTCTAATTTGCCCGAGACCCAATGACAACCTTGGCTGATTGGTCAATTCCAGCTGCAAGGTGACATCTGCGGGCCCCTTGCCCCTGTCTTAGCTGAACTGGGAGAGTGGGGCCCAGCCCCCAAGGGCCAGCCTCTGGCTTGCTTTTGGTGTGCAGAGCTCCCGTGTGTGCCTGGCCCATGCTAGCCTCTGCCTCGTGCAGTGAAGCACGTCCATCTCCAGCCGCTCACCTGTCTCGGGGACTAAGTGAAGTGAATAAATCTGGGCCTCTCTGCCCCATCTGATTCCAGCAAAGGCCTGGGAGATAACCGCCCTGGCTCCTGTCAGCTCTCAGCTCTCTCCCAGGGCCAACTGTCCGTCACAGGTGAGGCCTGGCCTTGCACGTGGGGCTCAGCTGATTTCCCGCTGGTGGTCCAGAAGTGGGCAGCAGGGCCCTGGCCTGCACACAGGAAGGGGCAGGCAGGCCTCCCTACCTTGGTTGCTCCTGGGCTAGACAGGAGTTCCAGGCAAAGCAGGCAGCCCACCCCAAACCTAAGCTCTGACCACAGACCCCATGGGCCTGAGGGAGTGAGATTCCAGCCCAAGTGGGGGAACCTGAGGCACAAACCCAGAGGCCAAGAAAGCAGTGCCCTGAGGATATGTGACAGAGAGACCTGGGGAGGGAGAGACAGAGATGGAGGCCCAGAGATGCAGAGAGGCAGATCCTGGAGAGTGAGAGGAGCTGGCATAGACAGAAGGAGGAACCAAGAAACACTCTAGAAGGCTCTGAACACACAAAGACACAGATACGGAGGGAAATGAAGATAAGAAATTCAGAGGCAGAGGGAGAGTTTGGAAACATCAGCAAGAGGCCAGGTGCCATGGCTCACGCCTGTGATCCCAGCACTTCGGGAGGCCAAGGCGGGTGGATCCCTGGAGCCCAGGAGTTCGAGACCAACCTGGACAACATAGCGAGACCCTGTCTCTATGAAAAACAACAACAACAACAACAAAAAACAAGGGAGGCACAAAGAGATGAGGTGGAAGAACAGTGAAGGCCCCAGAGACACACGGAGAGAAAGGCTGGAGTCAGGATGCACCCGAAAGCACGTCCTGCACCCCAGTGAAGTCGTGGGCAGGGGGCATAGGCTTGCCGTGTTTCATTCTTTCATAAACCAAAAGCCATCATCTGTCCCTGACAGTGCAGACCACACCCAACCCAGACCAGGCCATGTCCCCTGTATGCCTGAGCCTGGGGCCTTTCTCCTGAGCCAGCAGGATGGTCCTGGCCCCAGAGGAGTCCACTGCCTGGCCTTTGCTTTTCCTGTTCTCTGTCCAGGATGCCTGGCACACCCCAGCCTCAGCTTTTGTGTCTAAATTATGCCCATCCTTAAATTCCAGCTCGTCCAGGAAGCCCTTACTGAGTGCCCCTCTCTCCCTGAATGGTCCCCCGCACTTCGCGTTCTCTCTGGAGGGAGCCGATCTCTTCTTCCGTCCATCCACCTTTCATTCTATCTGGAGCTCCTCAAGCGAGTGCAGGGACTGTGAGATTTCGATGCTGGTGACCACATCTCTATCGATTTGAGGATTTGTCTTCGTTATCTGGTGCCTCCTGTCTGTCTCTGGGCCTGAAGGAGGGAGTAAATGAAAATCGATGGTAAATGAATAAGCAAGTGCAGGACGCCCTCCTCCACTCCCCAGACCTGGATTCCCAGCCCTGTCTGTGCCCATCAGCTCCCGTGCCTGGGGCTGTCCTCGGGGGCCTTTCCATGGCAGCCTGGAAGGGGGACCAAGGAAGCAGCGCTCCCCAGGTACCATGTCCTCTCCAGCCCTCTGAGGTAGTCCTGTGGCTGTCAGGGGTGGTCAGGTGGTAGCCAGCAAAGGGCCAGAAGCACACCCCATATCTCCTGGCTCCAGGGTCCCTGAGGGAGGGAGGGAGGGGCAGGCTCTGAGCTGCTTCTGGCTGCCAGTGGACCCCTCCCTAAGCGGACAGGCCCTCTGGGCCTCAGAGCCCCCTTTCTCCCTTTCCAGACCCACAACCTGCAGGGAGTTTCCAAACCAAAGGAAGAGCGTGTTTCCCCCAACCCTGCACCCTGGCCCGGAGGTGGGTTTGGAAGAGCAGGCTGTGTGAACCGGGCACTCTCCCCCAGGACCCACTCATCCATGGCCATGGAAGCAGCCTCCTACAGCCCCTCCCCATTCAGCTGTTTTTTGCCAGGCTGAGGCCACCAAGCATCCCCCTGAGTGTCCCTTCAGGGGAGGCTGGGAGAGGGGCCTGGCATCCCTGAGGTCCCTCCGTCGTGGCTCAGAAGGGCTGCTTGCCCAGCGCTTGTCCTGGGGGAAACCCCAGCTCTTTGGGGGACATGGAGGTGACAGATGGGGTCTGGGGTCTCCTTTCCCTCTGTGGCCCACCCCTTGCTGACCCCAGCTGGCCCTGCTGTCTTTGTACAGTGCGGTTTCCTGTCCTGGGGAGCATTTTCAGGAAAACAGTCAGCAAGTATTTCCTGAGTAACCGCTTTGCCCAAAACCCAGCAGTGGGGCTGAGGGAAGGGACACTTGCCTTTAGGTATGGCCTTGCCCTCGAGTGGTGCCTGAATATGTTGAGGAAGTTGAGGCAGGCATTGGTAGGAGCTGAAATGCAAGCCAGACAGCATCTGGGTGGGGAGAGGAGGGAGGTTGCGTCTTCCCTGCTTCTTTCCATTGGCATTTTGCCCGTGAGGATTGAGACTTTTCAGTGGAGAAATGATTTGAATGGGTTCCTGGAGGGGGTGGATTAGATTCTAATTTTTTAAAAATATGTATAGGCTTGTATAGCCTTTTAAATTTGCAAAGCTGTTTGTCCTGCTTAGTAGTTATTTTTGTCTCCATTTTACAGATGGGAAGACTGAGGTTGAAAAAGATTAAGGTATTTGCCCAAGAGCATCCAAGGCAGGACCAGAGCTCAACCCTAGCTGCTGAGAGTGAACTAGAGCTCTCTCCCACACTGCAGCCTCTGCTGCGACAGAAAAAGGGTCCAGAGAGGGCACAGAAGAGCATGGTGGGGAGACCGAGAGGGGACTGGCCGCCTGGAGAGGAGGATTTCTGAGGGGATAGAGCCGTTAGGGTCAGGCAGGACCCTGGGGCATCCTGCGTGCTTGGTGAGGTGGAAAAGCGGGGTGTCTGGCAATAGAAAGGCCTGGGTTCAAATCCCAGCTCTGCCTCTGAATGACTTCTGAAGGCATCCTGTGTCCTGGGTGTCCTACAAAGCCCAGCTTGGGAATCCACGCTTCCTCGAAAGGGGTGAGTCCACCTGCGAGGTTGGCCTGGGCACCCCAGGGCCAGCCTGTGCTGCATGGTGTGGGCCCGTGAGTTCCAGCTGCCTCTGAAATGTAACAGCTCTTGCCTATCAAGCACCTACCACAGGCCAGATGCCGAACGCGTTACTCCTTTTGACCCTCACGACAACCCGGGGTGAGAGTCCCCATCCCCCTCTCCGCAGGCGAGCCCCTGAGCACACAGAGAGGTAAAGGACTGCTCCAGGGCCGGGCACTCACGCCTGTAATCTCAGCACTTTGGGAGACCGAGGCGGGAGGATTGTTTGAGCCCAGGAGTTACAGACCAGCCCTGGCAAATAGGGAGATGATGTCTTTACAAAAACTAAAAATAAAAAATAGGAAACTGGCCTAAAGTTATACCACTGGGAGGTGGCAGAGGCAGGACACCAACCCAAGTCTCAGAGCCGGTGACTCCCCCACCCCAGGCTCCCCTCCAGCTGCCACCAAGATGGAGCCCCAGCCTTGGGAGACATCTCAGTGGGACTTCAGGCCAAGGACCCTACCCTGTGTGCAGGTGGAGCAGCCGTCCCCTGTCCCAGCAGGGACAGACAGTCCTGCGTCTCTGCAGCTGTGCCTGCCTGGTGGGCTGGAGACGGCTAATTGGGAGTGTCTACACTCCCAGGGGCCTTATCATCATTCCTTTACATTAGAGAATTTTTTTTTTGTTTTTAGTATGCAAAATTTTCCACCATCTGCTTTGCCTTGGCAGAATGTTTGCTGAAAATATCTCTCTTCCTCTATAATTCCCATAATTTCTGGGGGCTTTGGGAGCCTCCAAGCAGAGTGGCCGTAGCTCACAAGTGCCTCCCAAACTCAGGCTGCTGGCTGTCCTTGTGCCGGGCGGCAATGCTCTGTGGCCCAGTGGGAGCATCTCCCCACCCCGACCAGGGAGAGGCACCAGGGCTGTCTCCACCCATGGGCTGACCCAAGGTTAAATCCCAGGATTCAGACCCAGAGTGGGTGCCTGGGTCAGCCCCTGTGTTTTTGTAGTGAAGCCTGGAGAGATGCCTGGGGCCACAGAGACAGGTGGTGGCTGAGCAGAGCCTGGAAGCAGGGCCCCCACATCCCCAGCGCAGTGCTGTGAGGCCACACGGCCAGCATGACGCCTGTCCCCTGGACCATCCCAGGCCAGGCCTCTCCACAGGACAGCTGCCGCCCATGTCCTTTGAGGCAGTCAAGAAAGCGTTTCCAGAAGGAAAGACTCTTCCCCCCGCTCCGTGTACCAAAACCCTGCGTTTCCATGGTGACAGTCAAATTGCAAACCCAGCCAAGAGTGAGCAGGGGGAAAGAAAAGCTGGCCTCTCCCCAGAGAAGTGGGCACGGCTGGCGCTGGGGCTGGCCACTGCTGAGGATGAGCACCCGGCAAGCAGGCAGCCCTTCTGGGCTGCAGTGGGGAAGCCTCAGGGATGCCAGGTCCCCAGCAAGTGGCTCAGGCCCCTGTGGAGGGGCCCAGGAGGGGAGCTTCTCCCCCACCCCTGCCTCTCGGCGGCACCCGGGTGACTCCATGATACTTCTTCCTCCGAAAGGCTGTTGGGACAGCCTTCTCCCTGGTGTACTCGCATCTTCCATCTGAAAAACCAGGCGTGGGCAGAATACAGGGCTCGTCGGTGAGCCATCCCAGACTCAGCCTTTGGAGAATTAGAGAGAAAAAAAATGTATCAGCCTTCAGACACACAGAGTGTTATGTTGAGGATGGAAGAGCAAGGGCCAGATGTATGAGTCTGAAATCTTTGTGAATAGACCTGGAAGACTGACAATCACAGCTGCTATGCAGGGAGAAAGGTGGCAACAGCAATCGAATGGCAAATTAGCCGAAGTTTGAGTTTTACGGTGACATTTCAATGGAGGGAGGAAGAAGAAAAGGCTTCTTCCTTTGCAGCCCGAGGAAGCCAGGAACATTTGGGGACACCGTGTTTGTGTTGGGCCCAGGGCTTCTCAGCAGGGTTTGCTCGGTGTGGCCCTTCCGCCCTGCCAGTAAATGCCAAGGCTGGTGCGGGCACTGCTGACTTCCTTTGGTTTATTTCTTTCGAGTGGTGTTTATTAGAGTGGATTAGAAATGGGATTTGGGTCTGTACCACAAAGACCTCTAAGCCCCAGCTTGAAATCCCAACACAGTGAGCAGAGAGGGTCCAGTCACGGAGAGGCTCTTCCCTGCTTCTTCACGGCTGTGGCCCTTTGGGGTCTATAAACGGAGATGAAGAACAAGCCAGGGAGGATGCATCTAATGAGATGAGTCTGTCTCATCGGCTTCCTGGCGCCTGCTGTGTCACCTGTGTGAGCTCAGTTGGCATCTGAGGCTCTTCCCCACTTCTTCACGGCTGTGGCCCTTTGGGGTCTATAAATGGAGATGAAGAACAAGGTGACTGTAACTCAGGGAGGATTTCTACCTGTTTTTTGTGAATCCTTGTGCACACGGGCACCAAATGGGGACTAGGCCAGGTGGCACCCTGACCCTAACTCCACCTCCAGGGTTGCTGTTTTGGATAAAATGCACGACTCATAACAAACGCCGTCCTCACGACATGGCACGGCATGGTTCACGGTTGTCTTGCCGTTTTCGCCTGCTCCCAGCCCAACTCTGTGACCATGTGTGATAGATGACAGAACAAGGAAGAGTGGGGAGATGGAGGGTGAGCTCACCTCCCTAACCCCAGTCCTGGGACATCCCATCCCATCGTCTCCTTCTGAGTCCTTTGACATCTGCCCCTTTGCACCAAAGGAGCCTGGTACTGTGTGACACCACGGAGCCCCGTGCCCACCGCCAGCCCCAGACTGTGTAGATTTTCCATATTAGCTGTGGGGGAGATGGGACATTCCAAGTCAGGAAGCATGACTAGACCTCCCATAAGCATCTCTGCCAGAGAGAGGCGGAAACCGGTGTGCAGACGAGCCACCCCACCCTCCGCAGGACTGTCCTCCTGCTGGACACCTCCCTGCTCCCGGGAAGTGTGAGCCACAGGCCTCTAATTTCACTGTAGCTGCCCCAAGGGCAACATGGGAACAACTTGCTCCAGGAGCCCAGCAGGAATCCCTGGCTCCTTCCCACCTCCTCCTATCCCTTTTTCATGGGACCCATGAGGTTGGCATCTCATCAGTGAGTCAAAACTACAGAAATGCTTATAAAACTGACACCCATGAGGTCCAGTCTTGGTGGATTCATGATCAAAGCAGCTCAGTCCAGGACCCGAAAAACAACTGCAAAATAAGGCAGGTTTTCCTTGCATTTCTCAAGTACTACGAAGAGGGCACACGGACCACAGCCATGCCCCATCCCCATCTCCTCTTGCTGCGGCATCATAAAAGTCCAAGGAGCCGGAGTAGAACTCTTCCTGGGGAGCAGGACAGAAAAAGGCAGAGCCTCTGAGCAGATGGAGGAAGGAGAGGCCAGGCCTGATCCCATGCTCATCACTCTTTTTTTTTTTTTTTCCATTATATTTTAAGTTCTAGGGTACATGTGCATAACGTGCAGGTTTGTTACATCTGTATACATGTGCCGTGTTGGTGTGCTGCACCCATTAACTCGTCATTTACATTAGGTATATCTCCTAACGCTATCCCTCCCCCCTCCCCCAACCCCATGACAGGCCCCGGTGTGTGATGTTCCCCACCCTGTGTCCAAGTGTTCTCATTGTTCAATTCCCACCTATGAGTGAGAACATGCACTGTTTGGTTTTTTGTCTTTGCGATAGTTTGCTGAGAATGATGGTTTCCAGCTTCATCCATGTCCCTACAAAGGACATGAACTCATCCTTTTTTATGGCTGCATAGTACTCCATGGTGTATATGTGCCACATTTTCTTAATCCAGTCTATCACTGATGGACATTTGGGTTGGTTCCAAGTCTTTGCTATTGAGAATAGTCCATGCTCATCACTCTTGCTCCAGTGTACAGGTCAGGTCCACAGAGAGGAGAGCCACACCAGCCTCATTTGCATGTGCAATTTGGTCCCTGCCCTCAAGGAGCCTCACAACCTGCTAGGGGAAGCAGACATGCAAACAGAGCAGACAGTGGTTGGTGCAGTTGTAGCAGAGAGCACAGGGCATTCAGCCAGCCAGGGCACAGGTGAGACGGAGGGCTTCCTGGAGAAGACAGTTTTCTGTGCCAAGAGAAGACGGGTGGGCAGGGCATTCTGGGCAGGGGCAAGCCAGTCCCAGCGGGAGGTGCTGGCAGGAGCCACAAGCCGCAGGAGGCTGGAGGCACCCAGGGTGAGACAGCAGGTGGCGTGGGATGCAGGAGGAAAAGTAGACAAAGGGCAGGAGCCCAGTGTGGTCCTGGGGGCATGGGGAACCTTTAAAGAGGGTGAAGCTGGGATCTGTGCTTTTGCTGGAGCATCCCCTGGCTGTGCAGAGAACACAGAGTGGAGTGCCTGCAGGTGGGGCCCTGGTGGGGCATTGTCACAGGAGTCCAGGTTGGAGGAGCTGACACCTCGAGTTAAGGCAGTGACAATGGTGAGGAAGTGACTGATTTAAGAACCATTTGAGTGAAACTGGCAGGACATGAGGGGAAAAGAGGCAAGACCACGAGTCCCCTGACCTTCATGAAGCACCTACTGTGTGCTGGCCGCTCTGCTGGGGGTGCACCCTTGTGTGCTGGCCTCTCTGCTGGGGGTGAACCTACTGTGTGCTGGCCGCTCTGTTGGGGGCACGCCCACTGTGTGCTGGCCGCTCTGCTGCGGGTGCACAGGGTTGAGAGTCTTCCAGGTCTTCACGGCAGCCAGCTCCAGCCTCTGGTTGCTTGTTCCAAGACCTGTGGCTCCCTTAGCTGAAAGGTGACAGAGGCTGGAGCCATGAAGGCTTTTCCAGAAGCCTCTGGATCTACATGGCAGCTACCGTTTCCTCATCCCAGTGCCCATGGTGGATTTTCATAACTGACCAGGCACTTCCTCCCACTAAGCTTCAGTGCGGTCTCTGAATTCTTCCCTACACACTGCTCCAGAAAGGGCTCACTGGATCAGATGAAACGTGCTAGCCACCGCAGTATAGACGGATTTTGTTTCCAGTCTTACCTCTCACCAGCGGCTCAGGGTTGTTTGGAAGACGATGCTCACTAAGGGCCCAGCAAAGTGCCTGGCATAAGAGCTCAACCCGCCCTAACCTTCCTCCGTAACCACCAGTGTTTTGCATTCCCCAAGGAAAACGCTGACAGGCGCCCATGACTCCTGTCCCATCTGCTGAGTTTCTCGCCTATGAGAGCTGTTACCCTTGATCCAGACCTTCCTGTGCTGTTGTACTTGGTATTGCAATGATATCACTTAATTAAATGTTATGCGAATTGATGGAAAGAGGCAGAAAAGAGACAATTGTTTCATGAAAACCGAGACTTTGGAAAGTCTTTTTTTTTTTTTCTTTTTTGAGACAGAGTCTTGCTCTGTCACCCAGGCTAGAGTGCAGTGGCGCAATCTCAGCTCACTGCAACCTCCGCCTCCCAGGTTCAAGTGATTCTCCTGCCTCAGCCTCCCGAGTAGCTGGGAGTACACGTGCCCATCACAACGCCAAGCTTACTTTTGTATTTTTAGTAGAGATGGGGTTTCACTATGTTAGCCAGCCTGGTCTTGAGCTCCTGACCTCAAGTGATCCACCCGCCTTGCCCTCCCAAAGTGCTGGGATTACAGGCGTGAGCCACCACACCCAGCCCTGGAAAGTATTGATGGAGGCAACTTGCTTTATAAAAATATATGGAATTAGGGGTGGGCAGGACAACTGTGGAAACCAAGAGGAAGAAATGGAAAAAGGAGGATTCTGCAGTTGTCCTGCTTGGCCAGGGTCTGTGGGTCCCGCTGCAATTCAGAGAAACTGCACCTGGGGTCACAGACAATGCAATACGGGTGCAGTTTATACCTGAGAGACTGTGTGGGCCAATCTTGCAGAAGCACCCAAGCCTGGCATCAAAAGATTGGTGAATGGATGTACATTTCTGTGTTAAAAATTAAAATAGAATGTTTAAAGGGTAGCTATATCCTGTATTATGACTCTCACTGTTGATTACCCAGCCAAATACGGTTTCCATTTAGTCCAGAAAAGAGAGTTTCTCCCACAGTGCATGTTCACTGTGACAACATCCTCACCTCCCCTTGCTGGGATTCCAGCCCCATCCGTCTGGTTCCCTTCCGCATTTGTGAGACTGCACTGTGCGTTACTGGATGAACTGGGATGAGAGCCCAGGCCTGCTGGCTTCCAGTTCAATTCTTGCAGTAAAATCAGAGGGTTGTGAGCAGGAGCCACGGAGCCAGCCTGCCAGGATGAGAATCCGGCTCTTCTACTTACAACTTGGGCACGTGCCCCCGTTTTCTTGCCTGTGAAATGGGGGTAATGCTGTTTCCTACCTCACAGAATTGTTCTGAAACTTCAATGAATGTGTCCATGGAAACTGCCTGGAATGCTCCCTAAGGGTCAGCTCTGACTGTCCCCACATCCCTGCAGAGCATTGCCTTGGGCCTTGTCTCAGCGAGTGGAGGCCTCAGAGCTGTTGTTCTTGGGCCTATTGTCTCAGTGAGTGGAGGCCTCAGAGCTGTTGTGCTTGGGTCTATTGTCTCAGTGAGTGGAGGCCTCAGAGCTGATGCGCTTGGGTCTACTGTCTCAGTGAGTGGAGGCCTCAGAGCTGATGTGCTTGGGTCTACTGTCTCAGTGAGTGGAGGCCTCAGAGCTGATGTGCTTGGGTCTATTGTCTCAGTGAGTGGAGGCCTCAGAGCTGTTGTTCTTGGGTCTGTTGTCTCAGTGAGTGGAGCCCTCAGAGCTGTTGTGCTTGGGTCTATTGTCTCAGTGAGTGGAGGCCTCAGAGCTGTTGTTCTTGGGTCTATTGTCTCAGTGAGTGGAGGCCTCAGAGCTGATGTGCTTGGGTCTATTGTCTCAGTGAGTGGAGCCCTCAGAGCTGATGCACTTGGGTCTATTGTCTCAGTGAGTGGAGCCCTCAGAGCTGTTGTGCTTGGGTCTATTGTCTCACCGAGTGGAGGCCTCAGAGCTGATGTGCTTGGGTCTATTGTCTCAGTGAGTGGAGGCCTCAGAGCTGTTGTGCTTGGGTCTATTGTCTCAGTGAGTGGAGGCCTCAGAGCTGATGTGCTTGGGTCTATTGTCTCAGTGAGTGGAGGCCTCAGAGCTGATGTGCTTGGGTCTATTGTCTCAGTGAGTGGAGGCCTCAGAGCTGTTGTTCTTGGGTCTGTTGTCTCAGTGAGTGGAGCCCTCAGAGCTGTTGTGCTTGGGTCTATTGTCTCACCGAGTGGAGGCCTCAGAGCTGATGTGCTTGGGTCTATTGTCTCAGTGAGTGGAGGCCTCAGAGCTGTTGTGCTTGGGTCTATTGTCTCAGTGAGTGGAGGCCTCAGAGCTGATGTGCTTGGGTCTATTGTCTCAGTGAGTGGAGGCCTCAGAGCTGATGTGCTTGGGTCTATTGTCTCAGTGAGTGGAGGCCTCAGAGCTGTTGTGCTTGGGTCTATTGTCTCACCAAGTGGAGGCCTCAGAGCTGATGTGCTTGGGTCTATTGTCTCAGTGAGTGGAGGCCTCAGAGCTGTTGTGCTTGGGTCTATTGTCTCAGTGAGTGGAGGCCTCAGAGCTGATGTGCTTGGGTCTATTGTCTCAGTGAGTGGAGGCCTCAGAGCTGATGTGCTTGGGTCTATTGTCTCAGTGAGTGGAGGCCTCAGAGCTGTTGTGCTTGGGTCTATTGTCTCACCGAGTGGAGGTCTCCGAGCTGTTGTGCTTGGGTCTATTGTCTCAGTGAGTGGAGGCCTCAGAGCTGTTGTGCTTGGGTCTATTGTCTCAGTGAGTGGAGGCCTCAGAGCTGATGTGCTTGGGTCTATTGTCTCAGTGAGTGGAGGCCTCAGAGCTGATGTGCTTGGGTCTATTGTCTCAGTGAGTGGAGGCCTCAGAGCTGTTGTGCTTGGGTCTATTGTCTCACCGAGTGGAGGCCTCAGAGCTGATGTGCTTGGGTCTATTGTCTCAGTGAGTGGAGGCCTCAGAGCTGTTGTGCTTGGGTCTATTGTCTCAGTGAGTGGAGGCCTCAGAGCTGATGTGCTTGGGTCTATTGTCTCAGTGAGTGGAGGCCTCAGAGCTGATGTGCTTGGGTCTATTGTCTCAGTGAGTGGAGGCCTCAGAGCTGTTGTGCTTGGGTCTATTGTCTCACCGAGTGGAGGCCTCCGAGCTGTTGTGCTTGGGTCTATTGTCTCAGTGAGTGGAGGACTCAGAGCTGATGTGCTTGGGTCTATTGTCTCAGTGAGTGGAGGCCTCAGAGCTGTTGTGCTTGGGCCTATTGTCTCAGTGAGTGGAGCCCTCAGAGCTGTTGTTCTTGGGTCTATTGTCTCAGTGAGTGGAGGCCTCAGAGCTGTTGTTTTTGGGTCTATTGTCTCAGTGAGTGGAGGCCTCAGAGCTGTTGTGCTTGGGTCTATTGTCTCAGTGAGTGGAGGCCTCAGAGCTGTTGTTCTTGGGTCTATTGTCTCAGTGAGTGGAGGCCTCAGATCTGTTGTGCCTGCATCACGGTGATAATCAGCCTCCGACACGGCCAGTGGGTTCTGGTTCCACTAGAGGAACTAGAACAGGGGTTGTCATGTGGAGGTGGCTGGCCAACAGGTGAACTCTTCTCTGCTGGTCAGCCTGAGCCCAGATCCCAGCCTCCTCACATCAGGACTCCCCTCTTTGTGCAGCAGAAATGTGTGTCCTCCCATCCCCAGGCCATTATTTCTTCTGCCCAAAGCGAAAGGGCCAGCTGAGCTGCTACGCCACGTGGTAATGAGCTGGGGAGGCCTGCCCTCGTCCCTCCGTCCATGCCTGCAGGTAGGGGCTGGTCGGGTGACCTCCTGTGCTGTGGTCTGTCTCTTCCAGTGGTTTCCAGTGACAGTGACAGTGACTCGGATCTTAGCTCCTCCAGCCTAGAGGACAGACTCCCATCCACTGGGGTCAGGGACCGGAAAGGCGACAAACCCTGGAAGGAGTCAGGTAAGGTGGGGAGTGAAATGCTGCTTATTGGCCGGGCACGGTGCACTCCAGCCTGGGCAACAGGAGCGAAACTCCATCTCAAAAAAAAAAAAAAAAGGAAGAAAAAGAAAAGAAATGAAACTATTAGGCCGGGCACAGTGGCTTATGTCTGTAATCCCAGCACTTTAGGAGGCCGGGGTGGGCAGATCATGAGGTCAGGAGATTGAGACCATCTTGCCCAACATGGTGAAACCCCACCTCTACTAAAAATATGAAAATTAGCTGGGTGTGGTGGCGGGTGCCTGTAATCCCAGCTACTTGGGAGGCTGAGACAGGAGAATTGCCTGAATCCAGGGGGTGGAGGTTGATGTGAGCCCAGATTGCATCACTGAACTCCAGCCTGGCGACAGATCAAGACTCCATCTCAAAAAAAAAAAAAAAAAAAAAAAAAGTGCTGTTTATTTCCAAAGCCCCAGGGACAGAGTGGTTTTGCTGCTTCCCAGTGGGTGTCCAAGGAGTTCTTCTACATCTGGAAGGAGAAGCAGGCCTAGGGATGGGACAACAGGCTCCTTGAGGCTCTTCTGTACACACAGCAGGGTGAGGAGGGCAGGCAAAGGACAGGAGCCAGGGCCAGCCAGGCCACCCATGCCCTTGGCCTGCATACCTGGGACTCCTCCCATGCCCACCTGTGAGCGTTCCCCAACTGAGAGTTTGCCTCTTCAATCATGAGAGCTGAGAAAATCAGGTGCAGACCTCCCTGCACTAGGTCAGTCCTGCCATGAAACCACCATGGGGTCCCCAGGACCTGCTGTGACCTCTGGGCCTGCATTTCCTTCTCGTTAGCAAGTGAGACAGAACGGGTGGCCTCCAAAGCGCCTTCTGACTTGGAGATCCCTGAGCTCACCCTCTGGGAAACTGCTGTATGAAAGAGGGTTAACGGGGGCATTGAGACTGGTATAGAGAAGGCCTGGGAGAGGAAAGGAAAGACATTTTCCTGTCCTTCAAACACACAAAGGACTTCTGGGAAAAGGGCCAGCTTCATTCGGTCACTCCACAGGTCGGAACTGGGACCCTTGAAAGAAATTTCAGGGAGGCCAATTTTAGTACAGAAGAAGAAAGGGCTCCATAATAACTGCCCCAAACAGGAATGAAATGCCTTGGAGGTCCTGATTTCAGCGAGGCCAATTTTAGTGCAGAAGAAGAAAGGGCTCCATAATAACTGCCCCAGATGGGAACGAAATGCCTTGGGGGTCCTGATTCCAGTGAGGCCAATTTTAGCGCAGAAGAAGGGCTCTGTAATAACTGCCCCAAACAGGAATGAAATGCCTTGGGGGTCCTGATTTCAGCGAGGCCAATTTTAGTGCAGAAGAAGAAAGGGCTCCATAATAACTGCCCCAGATGGGAACGAAATGCCTTGGGGGTCCTGATTTCAGTGAGGCCAATTTTAGCGCAGAAGAAGGGCTCTGTAATAACTGCCCCAGATGGGAATGAAATGCCTTGGAGGTCCTGATTTCAGCGAGGCCAATTTTAGTGCAGAAGAAGAAAGGGCTCCATAATAACTGCCCCAGATGGGAACGAAATGCCTTGGGGGTCCTGATTCCAGTGAGGCCAATTTTAGCGCAGAAGAAGGGCTCTGTAATAACTGCCCCAAACAGGAATGAAATGCCTTGGGGGTCCTGATTTCAGCGAGGCCAATTTTAGTGCAGAAGAAGAAAGGGCTCCATAATAACTGCCCCAGATGGGAACGAAATGCCTTGGGGGTCCTGATTCCAGTGAGGCCAATTTTAGCGCAGAAGAAGGGCTCTGTAATAACTGCCCCAGATGGGAATGAAATGCCTTGGGGGTCCTCATTTCAGCGAGGCCAATTTTAGTGCAGAAGAAGAAAGGGCTCCATAATAACTGCCCCAGATGGGAACGAAATGCCTTGGGGGTCCTGATTTCAGTGAGGCCAATTTTAGCACAGAAGAAGGGCTCTGTAATAACTGCCCCACATGGGAATGAAATGCCTTGGGGGTCCTGATTTCAGCGAGGCCAATTTTAGTGCAGAAGAAGAAAGGGCTCCATAATAACTGCCCCAGATGGGAACGAAATGCCTTGGGGGTCCTGATTCCAGTGAGGCCAATTTTAGCGCAGAAGAAGGGCTCTGTAATAACTGCCCCAGATGGGAATGAAATGCCTTGGGGGTCCTGATTTCAGCGAGGCCAATTTTGGCACAGAAGAAGGGCTCTGTAATAACTGCCCGAGATGGGAACGAAATGCCTTGGGGGTCCTGATTTCAGTGAGGCCAATTTTAATGCAGAAGAAGGGCTCTGTAATAACTGCCCCAGATGGGAATGAAATGCCTTGGGGGTCCTGATTTCAGCGAGGCCAATTTTAGTGCAGAAGAAGAAAGGGCTCCATAATAACTGCCCCAGATGGGAACGAAATGCCTTGGGGGTCCTGATTTCAGTGAGGCCAATTTTAGCGCAGAAGAAGGGCTCTGTAATAACTGCCCCAGATGGGAACTAAATGCCTTGGGGGTCCTGATTTCAGCGAGGCCAATTTTAGTGCAGAAGAAGGGCTCTGTAATAACTGCCCCAGATGGGAATGAAATGCCTTGGGGGTCCTGATTTCAGCGAGGCCAATTTTAGGGCAGAAGAAGGGCTCTGTAATAACTGCCCCAGATGGGAGTGAAATGCCTTGGGGGTCCTGTCTTGGGACCAAGACTGGGTTGGGAATGGAAGTTTGAGCTAAATCAGAGCTGGCAAAGACCTGACACACGTACCACCACCCCCCTCTCCTGTGACCATGGCAGACATTACTAGGTGATCATGATACTCTTTCCACAGAGCCCTGATGTGCCCTCAGAATCCTCCTCAGTGCAGTTTTCTAAGTGGCCAATATCAGCAGGTAGAGATGGTGCAAGAGATGAAAACTGTCCCTGGACCAGTGACTTCCCAGGCTCCATCAGGCTGAAGATTCTAGAGAAAATTTAGAAGAGTATAAAGGAAACTTACCTGCCAGCCTCGGTTTCCAGGGCAGGCTTTATACTCCCCTCCTCCTCCCACCATGGGCTCTTGTCCCCTCGCTCCACACCCACCCTCAGCTCTGACCAAGCAGGACTGGGAGACAAGAGAAGTTCAGCAAAGTAGCAGGCTCCACGTCTGCTCTCTTGGCCAGGCAAAGACCAGAAACCATGTTTGAGTGAAGACCCTTTAGTGAGTTAAGGCAGCAGTCAACATCTCTCTCTCATTAGGTTAACCAAAATATATATCCCCCACCCCCACCCCCATTCTGTGATAATTGTGGACTTTCATGTTGGTGATCTGTGACTTAGTGAAAAGACCTGCAGGCCCGTTCTTGGACCCACCAGCAACAGCCAGAGGGTGGGGTCGGGCCAGAGCCCTGCAGCCATGTGGGTGAGGTCAGGCCAGAGCCCGGCAGCCATGTGGGTGGGGTCAGGCCAGAGCCCGGCAGCCATGTGGGTGAGGTCAGGCCAGAGCCCGGCAGCCATGTGGGTGGGGTCAGGCCAGAGCCCGGCAGCCATGTGGGTGAGGTCAGGCCAGAGCCCGGCAGCCATGTGGGTGGGGTCAGGCCAGAGCCCGGCAGCCATGTGGGTGAGGTCAGGCCAGAGCCCGGCAGCCATGTGGGTGGGGTCAGGCCAGAGCCCGGCAGCCATGTGGGTGGGGTCAGGCCAGAGCCCGGCAGCCATGTGGGTGAGGTCAGGCCAGAGCCTGGCAGCCATGTGGGTGGGGTGGGGGGCAGACATCCCATAGAGATCTAGAGTTCCAAACGAGGAACTGGACTGAGATCACCCCGTCTCGGTTTGAGATCCACGGGGCCCACACGTGATTTCCCACAGGTGGCAGCGTGGAGGCCCCCAGGATGGGGTTCACCCACCCGCCGGGCCACCTCTCTGGGTGCCAGAGCAGCCTGGCCAGTGGTGAGACGGGGACAGGCTCTGCTGACCCGCCAGGGGGACCCCGCCCCGGGCTGACCCGAAGGGCCCCGGTGAGTACCCAACTGCTGCCTTCTCCCCTCTCCTGCCCCCGCGGCCGTGTCCTCTCTCACTCACTCCTCCCAAACTGGAGACTGGTCGGTGACGTTTTCAATTCTGCATGTTGTTTACCAAGCACTGTGCGGGGGAACAAGGTGAGCCAGACCCCATCCCTGCCTGCAAGGAACAGAGAGAGGGACCCAGAATGATAATGGTAGCCATCCCTAGCCACTCTCGGTAATCACAGCAGTGGTTACCATCCTCTGCTACATAAAACGTGTCGGGCTCCCCTGGGGCGAACTTTCATTCTCTTGGCAGAGTGGCTGGGAGGCTTATTGTCCCATTTGATGGGTGTAGAAACCAAGGCACAGAGAGAGAGTGAGGGGAGAATCCTGGGCTCCCACCCTGCCCTGCACCTGCTGGGCCCAGCCCTGGTTGGCCCAGGATCATCCTGTGGCGGGGGTGAGGGTTCTCCTTAAACTGAAGCCAGAGAAAACTGCGCAGGTGCAGGATCAGCCCTGTCTCCTTCAAGAAAGAAGCCCTGGGCAGGTTGGGCCCCTCCCTGGCCAGAGGATTCATGGGTACACGCATGCACCAGGGCAGCAGCTGATCTCCGTCCCCGGGGTGTGGAGGGCACCCGGCAGCCACCCACAGGAACGCCTGCCGCACCTCTCTCCTTCCCCACTCGATGGCTCCCAGGAGCTGCAGAGCATCCGGGAGGCATCTTTGGCTGTGGAGTGGACCCTGCCCCCTCCCTCTAGCCTCCTGGAGGTCCTCCACAGAGGACAGTGTGGAATCCGGCAGCCCCGAGTTCTTGTCCCAGCCCTGCCACCCACAGCCATGTGACCTTGAGCAGACCCCCAGGTTGAACCATATGAAATTGCTTTTTTTTTTTTTTGAGACAGGATCTCATGCTGTTGCCCGGGCTGGAGTGCACTGGTGTGATCACCGTTCACTGCAGCCTCGACCTCCTGGGCTCCAGTGGTCCTCCTGCCTCAGCCTGCCAAGTAGCTAGGACTATAGGCAAGTGCCACCATGCCCGGCTAATTATTTTTTGTATTTTTCAAAGGGACGGGGTCTCCCTATGTTGCCCAGGCTGGTCTCGAACTCCTGGGCTGAAACAGTCCTCCCACCTTGGCCTCCCAAAGTGTTGGGATTACAGGCAAGAGCCACTGCGCCCAATTGAAATTGCATTTTTGTGGTTCAAAAACAGTGAAATATCGGCAGTTCAATATGGTTCACCCTTATATTTGATCTCTCTGTGCCCAGTTCTATTATCGGTACGGTGTCCTTCACAGGGTTCCGGGGAGACAAAATCCAGTGTCACATGGACTGCCTTCCCCTAGGAGGTCCTCAGTAAATGTCCAGTGATAAAGGGGGAAGCTGTGTGGCCCAGTGCAGAGAGGGTTCCTGGGCTTAAGAAACAACCTGGGGAAAGATTGGCTTAAAGGAGGGTGTTCTCTTTCCGTGCCCATTTGCTCCTTCCGGCATCCTGAGGTCGCCATGTTGATCACCTGGGTTAGGAGGAGGGCCTGAAGCCCAGAGGGGCAGGTGACTTTCCTGCCATCACACAGCAGAGCAGAGCGGTGCTGGTCTCGAGCTCGGGCTGAGGCACGGATGCTGTCAGCAGAAGCCTGCCTTCCCCACCAGCTCCTCCATCTCATTCCCAAAGGCCGAGCTGTCACCGGGGAGGGAGGGACTCCACCGCTGCTCACCATGTGGTGGCCTTTTCTCTCATCCAAAGGTAAAAGACACACCTGGACGAGCCCCCGCTGCTGACGCAGCTCCAGCAGGCCCCTCCAGCTGCCTGGGCTGAGGTGTCTGGTGCCTGGAACAGACTTCCCTGTGGAGGATTCCTGCCAGACCCTGCCCGGCTCCTCCCTGACCGGTCCTTGTGCCCTCACCAGACACCCTGTTGGCCATGACTCAACAAACCAGTGTTGGGAGCCGTCTGCCTCCCCAGCTCAGTGCCTTTCTGCACCCCTTCTCTCCTGGGGAGCTGTCTGCATCCGCCACCCCCTCCAACCACTGCCCTCAGCCCCCGACCTTATTTATTACCCTCCCCTCCCACACCCCCAATCTACCTGGTGATGATTTTAAGTTTGCGCGTGTCTTGGGTTGGGCTGGGGGGTTTCCCACATGCAGTGTCAGAGGGGCCGCCCGGTGGGGCTATCTCCGTTGCTATATTAATGGCAAGACTAAATGAAACCTAGGGCACGGCCTCCGAAGCTGCGTGTGGCCCCTTAGAGGTGAGCATCAGAGCCAGAGCAGTGAGGGGGAGACTCACCCACCCTCTCCCTCTCCCTTCAGCTCTGGGAGGCAGGCGCAGTGCCCCCCTCCCATGGGCTGGCCCAGGACCGTGGGTGAAACCTGGGTCTGTTTAGTTTCTTTGGTTTTTGTATGTTTGTTTGTTTTTGACACAGTCTCGCTTTGTTGCCCAGGCTGGGGTGCAGTGGCACGATCGCGGCTCACTGCAACCTCCACCTCCCGGGCTCAAGCGATTCTCTCACCTCAGCCTCCTGAGTAGGTGGGATTACAGATGCCCGCCACCACACCCAGTTAATTTTTGTATTTTTAGAAGAGATGGGGTTTCTCCATGTTGGCCAGGCTGGTCTTGAACTCCTGGTCTCAAGTGATCTGCCCGCCTCGGCCTCCCAAAGTGCTGGGATTACAGGTGTGAGCCACCGCACCCAATCCTATTAGGTTTCTTTGAATCCCCTCATGGCCTGCCTGGTTTTTGCTCAGCCTGTCTTCAGCTTGAGGAGCTGGGAAGCTCTGGTGGATGCTATGAACTCACTTGCTGAAGAGCAGCGTTCAGGTGCATCCCCAGCCAGGGCACGTGGCTCCCTCAGCCATGAATTCACTTCTCTTCAGGAGGTTTGGCTTGGCATGAAAATACTTCATTCAGAGTATGGGCAAATGCTTCTGGAAAACCCTTCCCTGAAGAGAGAGAACGTGTGTGTGTGTGTCGGTGATCACACCCTCCCATCCTTCCTGCCTCCTGCCCCAAACCCCGGGTTCCTGGGTCTGGAAGGGCCTTCTCTCCAAGCTGGGAGCTCCTGGGCCCCCACCATTCACTTTTTGTCCTTGCTGCTGGCAAACAGTAAAGAAACTCACTTTCCCTGTGGCACGTTATGCTTCAGAATTAAAACAATGAAGATTAAAATTTGCACCGAGCCAGTGTGTTGATCGAAGACCACGATTGCCTGTGTTTCTGAGATGCGTCCATGGAAAAATGGAAAAAACTGTGGTGCGTTGACTTGCTGGAACCCTTCCTAAGCCGCAGTGAAAGGAGGGGCTAGATCTGTGTGTGTTCATGCAGCTCACACACCTGATGCTGAACGGATAAGCAAGGCCATCTACATACAAAAGTACACACAAATAATCAGAATGAGTTCTGCAAACACATACGTATGTATGCAAAAATGTCTTTTAAATGCACAAGGACTTCTGGTTATATATGGTGCACTGAATATATTCATATTTTCCTCTGTCCCTCAAAACCCCACTAGAATGACGTAAAGGAATGAAAATGGCATAAAGCACAAAGACAAAAAGAACAGGAGAGAAGATGGCAGTGAATGACAAATATCTGAAGAGCTTTGGAAGCTGGAACAGTATGATTTGCTTAGTGTCAGCCTCAAAATGTCTACAAAGAAGGAAGCCAAGCATGAACAAGCCCATTTGCTTTGCAGAATCCCCCAAATGCACAGAACTTGGAGGGGCCAGGTGTCCCAAAGGTGGAAGTTCAGGGTGGGTCTGAGAATTGTCTTGATTGAAAGAAGTGTTTACACCCTCAGGTCCCCTCTCCCGGCCTGGTGACTGCCCTTCTCTGACCATGGCAGGAGACAGGTTTACTGCCGGCCAATGGTGATCTGAAAAGATTCTGGATTGGGGACCCCAAGGGTAGCCAAAGGCTGGGGCAAGGTGCCTTCCTGAAATCAGGATGTAAATGGGGACGCCCTCATTCCCCTTTAAAATCCCTGATGGAGGCTGATAAAAGCCAGGCCTAGTCCCCATCCATCCACCCCCAAGGCAGGACATTTATTATTATTATTTTGAGACGGAGTTTCGCTCTTGTCACCCAGGCTGAAGTGCAATGGTATGATCTCGGCTCACCGCAACCTCCGCCTCCCAGGTGCAAGTGATTCTCCTGCCTCAGCCTCAAGTGAGTAGCTGGGATTATAGGCATATGCCACCACGCCCAGCTAATTCTGTATTTTTAGTAGAGATGGGGTTTCTCCATGTTGGTCAGGCCGGTCTTGAACTCCTGACCTTGTGATCCACCCGCCTCAGCCTCCCACAGTGCTGGGATTACAGGCATGAGCCTCTGCACCTGGCTGGCAGGACATTATTGAATTTCTCTCTGGGAAACTGATCAAAGAGAACAGATGGACAGATCCTGACACTGGGGGTTCCCCAAACAGTGGGTCTCTGCCCAGTCCACTGTGAGACCTCCAGTCCACAAGCCTCACCCACATGTTCAGTGCTGCCTATTAGCTTTGCTGTGTTTCACTCAGAGTGGGGACAGCCAAGGGCACCCAACGTTTGATGAAATCCAATAACTGAAAATAGAGACTCCAGTACACAGAAAAAAGGAGAGGAAAATCCCCTGAAGTATTACACCTATGAAATGAGAAAAGAATTTTATTTTTTTAAAGGCAGTGTTGAAGTTCTTGAACATTAAAAATATAATAGCAGGAATTTAAAATGCATGAGAAGGGATGGAAGAGGAGAGAAAATCTCCCAGAAAGTAAAATGCATAAAAGCAAAAGAGGAAAAAGTCAAGAACATTGAACAACAACAAGATCAGCTCAACACAGAAGATCCAGCCTCCATCAAATAGGAATTTCAACCCAAGAAACAGAAAACAGAGGAGAGGAGATTGTTGAAGAAATGACACAAGAATATTTCCCAGGACTGAAGGGAATGGGCTTCCATAGAGAAAGCCTGTAAGTGACCGGCAGAGGGACGTGAAGCCTCCACACCCGTGTGGCCCCTCCACCATCCCGAGCAGCAGTTTGGTGATGCCCAGTAGACGAAGGTGGGCGCTGCCTGCAGCCATCCCTGAGGTCCTCCTGAAACACACATGCTCACTCGCCAGCTCTGGGGCGGGACCCCAGTGTGCACATCTAACATGCTGGCAGGTGACACATGGTTGAAGGGACACTCCTTGAGTAGCATTGGTCTAGGGCAGTGGTTGTTCCCCTTGGCTGCTCACTGGAATCACCTGGGGAGCTTTAAAAGTACTCCTGGCAGACCCACCACTAGAGATTTTGGTTTAATCGATTTTGGATGTATCCTTGGCTGGCATCGGGATTTGTGAAGCTCTCCAGATGACTCCAATGTGCTGGGAGGCCTCAGGACCATTTCCCTCCAGAAACTCATCTACATGGGCTCCAGGAGACATGCACTGAATATTTACAGCTCAAATTTAGAAGCAACCAAAAAAGCCTTCAACAGAAGAATAGGTACATAAATTGTGATATATGCAAACAATAGAATATTATGCAGTGGTGAAATTGAGTCACCACCCTCAGAGTATGTGTATCTCACCAATAATGCTGACAAAGAGACAGGTGGCAGAAAAATACGTGACACCATCTATATAGAGATTTCACAAACATGCAAGAATGTTATATATTAAAATATATTTTATGCAGCAAGAGAATTCAGAAACAGGAAGGATAACAAAACAACAGACTCAGGACACATCTTGGGAAGAGGAGAAATACAATTAAAGAGGAATCTTAATGTTTTATTAAGCTCAGTGATAGGTAGATGGGTTTGTAATATTTATATTTTACTTCATATTGTATATTTATATGTTTATTATAGATTTGTATTATTATTATTTTTTTGAGATGGAGTCCTGCTCTGTCGCCCAGGCTGGAGTGCAGTGGCGCGATCTCAGGTCACTGCAACCTCCGCCTCCTGGGTTCAAGCAATTCTCCTGTCTCAGCCTCCCGAGCATGTGCCACCATGCCCAGCTAATTTTTTGTATTTTAGTAGAGACGGGGTTTCACCGTGTTGGCCAGGATGGTCTCTAACTTCTGACCTTGTGGTCCATCTGTCTCAGCCTCCCAAAGTGCTGGGATTACAGGCGTGACCCACTGCGTCTGGCCTAGATTTTTATTTTTTATATGTCAGAAATATTTTAAAGTAAATTAAGGAACTACACCAAACATTCTTATGAAATTTCAGGACACCAGGATAATCAGAAAATATCCCAAAGCCTTCCAAAGAGAGAAAAAAAAAGTCACATACAAAGGATCAGGAATTTAAATGGCGCTGAAATTCTCAAAGCAAATTTTGAAGTCCGAGCACAGAGAAGCAAGAGCTTCTGAATTCTGAGGGCAAACAATTTCTAAGTTGACTTTTCTATCCAGCTAGAACTTCGTGCAGTGTGAAGTTAGAATGAAGATATGTTCAGACATGTGAGTTCTTGAAAAATATCACCTCCCTTGCCCTCTTTCTCGGGCAGCTACTGTAGGATGTGCTCCAACCAAACAAGGGAGAAAACCAAGAGAAAATGGGCACAAGAAACTGGAGCCCTCACACAGGAGAGAATCCTCAGGGTGATGGTGGAGCTGGGTGGCTGGTCCAGCCAGCCCAGATGAGGACAGAGGAGGTGCACAAGGATATACAAGAAGCATATGTGTCTCAGGGAGATCGTAAGTGAGAGCTACATCGTGATATTTTATAGTACATAATGCTGTATAAAATTACAAAATCAAGACATAGAATCCGCATGAGGTTTTAGATACCAAGGAACTAAAAGAGTTCTAAGGTGTCTCGAGGTGAGCAGGGGATTCCTGCTTTATGTTATAAACTTTGTAGGACAGTTACCCTTTTAAAACCTACTATATTTCATGTATAACAATGAATTTTTATGGAAAAATACACATCAAACTGCTGACAAACCCACAGGGCGGGGGGCGGCGGCAGTGAGCCCAGGGCCATAGCAGATGAGTGAGTAAACACCTGCCTGGCAGAGAAAAGACAGCCTGTGGGCTGCCCCACAGTCCCTAGGTCCACACCCGACCTGGGAACACCAGCCTGGGAGTGGCTCGGGCCTCTGCCCGCAGTTCTAAGCTGCAGGTGCGCTACCCACGCCTCTGTAGGACCAAAGCCCTCTCAGACCTGATGCAGATGAGCCCCCACACTCAGCCCCCACCAGAACCCCATGACTGGGCCAGACCCAGTCCCTGCAGCCCCAGGGTGGATTCCAAATGCATTTCCTAGAAGGCATTCATTAAGACGACGTCATCGTGGAAGTGTCAGCTTCAGAGCTGAGGTGGGCTGCAGATCCCTCACGGGAGCCTGCGGCTGCCTTGGAGTCAAGGGTTCTTTGTGGGCTGGTCTGGGAACCAAGAAATCCTTTCTTTATGAAACTGCTTTCTTAGTCCCAAGCAACCAACTTACAAGTTAGCTTTCAGAACTGAGCCTTTCCTGGTAGAAGGTGGAAGGTGTTCTGTGACATCCGTAAAAATCAGGGCATACGGAAGGGACTGGATTTGTCCCAAATACCAGATAACCCAAGTGGTTCCTAGAAGAGGCCGCAAGTGGAGAGCTCATGAACTTTGGACCCTGGTTTCAAATCCCAGATCTGCTACTTAGTGCCTGAAAGTATGGGTGCTTCTCTGTGCCTCTGTTTCTCATCTGTGAAATGGGGATAACACTTCCGTCCCAGGATGACTGGAAATTTAAAACATGAGGGCCCCAGTACAGCTCCCACCACCGTGACCAGTATGTCAACAGCTACCAGCTGTTTCTCCCGTAGAATTCAGTGAGGCACGTGCCTCAGGAGTGGTCAAGATGCCATAAGAACGTGAGAAGGGTGGCAGCCTGGTACCCGGGGCACAGTAAACCTTCATGCTTCTCCCTTTGGGGCTTTGGAATAATGGTGCTTATCCACATTCATTCCTCTGTCGAGCATTAATCGGGCAGATGCTGGTGCAGGTGCAGTGTTCTAGGCCCTGGGTTTGGTAGTGGACAAAACGGACATGGCCCCGTCCTCCTGCTGCATCTGAACCACCCAAGGGACTTGTTAGAACACAGAACACACTAATCCTACCTCGGAGTTTCTGATTCAGAGGTCTGCCGTGGGGCTGACAATGCATATTTCAGTTCCCAGGTGATGCCGAGGTTCCCATTGGAACCAGCTCACCTGTGACTCCTGGGGCTGACATCCCTAAACCCGCACCAGCTGGGGCAAAAGATACACGGACACTGGCAGACGACCGAGGGGCAGGGGATGCGGATCAGGCTGGCAGAGAAAACGCAGCCCTCACAGCCCTGCTGCCGCGTCCCGCCCCCGACAGATGCACGGCTCCGCGCTGTTGCTCAGCCCTGGCGCACAGGCCCAGCGGGTTAGAGGATTTCCACCCCAAACAGCGGGGGCCGGCATCTTTCCCACATGAGAAAACGCCTGCTTTCTGCTGGTACCTGGAGGAAAGGAGCATCTTATCGCGAGACCATGGAGCGGGGTTGGAACGACATGCCTGGCTCAGGTCCCCGCTCACTCCACTGACCTTGTTCTCTTCGCCCAATCACGTTTCCCCACCACCTTCTACCTTCCTCGAGCTGCCGTAAGAAACACTCGCCCAATCATGTTTCCCCATCGAGGTGCCATAAGAAACACTCGCCCAATCACGTTTCCTCATCGAGCTTCCGTAGGAAATATTCGTCTAATCACGTTTCCCCATGGAGCTGCCGTAAGAAACACTCACCCAATCACGTTTCCCCATCGAGGTGCTGTAAGAAACACTCGCCCAATCACGTTTCCCCATGGAGCTGCCGTAAGAAACACTCACCCAATCACGTTTCCCCATCGAGCTGCCGTAAGAAACACTCGCCCAATCATGTTTCCCCATCAAGGTGCCGTAAGAAACACTCGCCCAATCACGTTTCCCCATTGAGGTGCCATAAGAAACACTCGCCCAATCACGTTTCCCCATCGAGCTGCCATAAGAAACACTCACCCAATCACGTTTCCCCATCGAGCTGCCGTAAGAAACACTCGCCCAATCATGTTTCCCCATCGAGGTGCCGTGAGAAACACTCGCCCAATCACGTTTCCTCATCGAGCTGCCGTAGGAAACATTCGTCCAATCACGTTTCCCCATCGAGGTGCCGTAAGAAACACTCACCCAATCACGTTTCCCCATCGAGGTGCCATAAGAAACACTCGCCCAATCACGTTTCCCCATCGAGCTGCCGTAGGAAACATTCGTCCAATAACGTTTCCCCGCCACCTTCTACCTTCCTCCAGCTGCCGTAAGAAACACTCACCCAATCACGTTTCCCCATCGAGCTGCCTGCCGTAAGAAACACTCGGGTTCTGTGGTGCCTTCAGGTGTTCACTTCTTCATGGAGCTTCCGTGTGACGTAACACATGCTAAATACATGCTCAGACTTTTCTCTGGTTAATCTGCCCCCCCCTTTTTTGTATTTTTTTTTTTAACAGGGGGCCCAGCCAATGAGCCTGAGGTGGCTGTAAGGAAAAAGCTCAGTTTCCTCCCCTATGATTGGTTCCCCAGCAGGAAGGAGGCTGAGGCTGGATGGGGAACTGGCCTGCCTGCAGCCTCCACCCCAGGCCACCCTGCCCTGCACTCCGCCCATGGGGGAGAGAAGCCTCCTACATAAGGTGACCAGCTGGAGGGTCCAGCTGTTGGAGGTACTAGGCAGAAGGGGCCCTCGCCAGGGGAGATGGACGGCACACAGACGCACACACACGTGTGCATACACTAGTATGTACAAACACAGAAAGGTTCACCTGTTTACAGAATACGTAGGAGGCCAGGTGCAATGGCTCATGCCTGTAATCCCAGGACTTTGGGAGGCCAAGGCAGGAGTATCACCTGAGCCCAGGAGTTCGAGACCAGCCTGGGCAATATGGAGAGATGCCATCTCCACAAAAATTAAAAAAAAAAAAAAATAGCCAGACGTGGTGGTGCATGCCTGTAGTACCAGCTACACAGGAGGCTGAGAAGGGAGGATCACTTGAGCCCAAGAGTTTGAGGCTGCACTGAGCTGTGACTGTGCCACTGCACTCCAGCCTGATTGACAGAGCAAGACCCTGTCTCAAATATATGTGGAGGACCAGTGCCTTTAAATTGCTCATCCAAGTGCCAGCAAATGCTCTTCTGCACAGGGGAGGGATGAGACCAAAGGAAAACCTGGCACTGGCATTGCCCGGAGTATGTGAGGAGAAGGACCTCGCCAGGCCATGTGTGAAGAGCATTGGCAGAGCCCCTGCCATGGCTAAGTCCTGGTGTCCCCTGCAAAGCAGGGCCTTGATGCTCCAGTTTCCTGTCCCTTTCCTTTCCTCTGCAAACGGTCAGGGCTCTGACCCGCAGCGCCCGGCCCCACCCCGGGGCTGTCTTGTGCAGAAAGCAAAGCAGAGTGTGCCTCTCCTCACCCCACAGTACCGAGGAGAGCAGGCAGGCAGGAGGAGGAGGAGGCAGGAGCTCAGAGATCCTTAGGAGCCCCCGACGAGGTGCCCCCAGTCTCCACCAAGACGGCCGAAGCTCTGAGCCTTTGATGCAGACCTCAGGATGTCTGCAGCTTCTTCAGTGCCAATTACCAGAAAATAATTCAGCGTGCTCACCCCCTGCCTCTCAGCGGCTGCTCTTTGGAGACATTTTAAGTCTGACTGTACCTGCTGAGCAGCTGACAAATGAAGCTTCTCCCTCCCTGCTCCCTCCTTCCCGACTGCCATCGCCTCCACCTTTGCCCAGGCTCTTTCATGGGGAAAAGGGAACCAAAAGCTGGGCCCTGTCATCCCTGCCCCCACAGCAGGGGCCTGCCCAGATCAGTCGCTGCACCTTCTTCCCAGGCTCTGCTTCCAGACGTGGCATGGCAAGGCTGGGTTCCCTAGAGCCCGGCTCCTGAAGGCAGAAGTCAAGGCTTATTCACCTTTGGGTCCCTAGTTAGCTGTCAAGAAATATTGCTGGATCAATGGATGCATGGATGCATGGGTAGATGGAGGGGTAGGGGATGGGTCAGTGGGTGGTGGAGGGGTGAGGATGGTTGGGGGATGGGTGGATGGCAGGTGAGTGAGGAGATGGATGGAGGTCTGGATGAGTGAGGGATGGGTGAGGAGATGGATGGGTGAGTGGGTGGAGGAGTGGGGGATGGGTAGGGCGATAGTTGAGTGGGGAATGGGTGGGGGAAGGATGGGTGGGGGAGGGGTTAACGGATGGCTGGGTGGGGGAAGGGTGAGTGGGGGCATAGGGGGTAGTTGGATGGATGATGATTGGGTGGGGGATGGTGGGGGTGGGTGGGTGGAGGACAGATGGGAGGATGGATGATGGACAGACTGATGGAGCATTGGACAGATGGATGGAGAGACAGGTGCATAGATATTCTGCATGGACCAATGTGCTGAAGGACATCTGAGAGGATGGACAGATGAACAGAGGATGGACCAGTGTCCTGATGGGAAGAAGGATGTGTGGATGGATGGAAACACTCCAGGCCCAGGGCCTGTGTGCTCTGCATCCCTAGGGAGGGGCCAGCAGATCAGGAGCCCCAACCTACACTTCCCAGAAGCTGTGGGTCCTCGGCCAGGAGCACTCAGTTCACAGCAGCCACAGGAATCCTGGGCAGAGCAGCTCTTGAGCCCTGGTCTCTGTGCCTCAGCCTGGTCTGCGTACCTCAGAGGGCCCTTGTGTGGAGCCCTGGTCTGTGTGCCTCAGAGGCCCTCGTGGGGAGCCCTGGTCTGTGTGCCCCAGCCCGCCTCAGTGACCCCCAACAAATTCCCCCCCTATCAAAATCACTATAGCTGTAGTCCCAGCTACTTGGGAGGCTGAGGCAGGAGGATTGCTTGAGCACAGAAGTTGGAGGCTGTAGTGAGCCATGATCTCGCCACTGCACTCAGCCTGGGTAACAAAACAAGACCCTATTCAAAAACAGTAAATAAATGAAAGAAAACCCACTGCCACATTCCTTATGCTAATAAGGCTAGCCAGCCCTTAATGTGTGTGCAGATGAGATCTTACTCAAACTCATTCACACAGAAGTACAGGCATGTGTCACCTAACAACCAGGATACGACAGGGATACTTCCAAGAGATGTGTTGTCAGGCAATTTCATCATTGTGCAGACATCATAGAGAGCACGGACGTAAATCTAAGTGGCAGAACCTACAGCACACCTAGGCTATGTGGGAGAGCCTGGGCTCCTGGGCTACAAACCTGTGCAGCATGTAGCAACTGCGACACCGTGGAATTATGTGTGTAGCTAATCATAGAAAGGGTACAGTAAAAATACGGTATAAAAGATGTTTTAAAATGACACAGGTGTATAGAGCACTTCCCGTGAATGGAGCTTGCGGGACTGGAGTCGCTGTGGGAGAGTCAGTGTGTGGTGAGTGTGAGGGCCCAGGGCATTACTGTCCACTCGTATGTGACTGGCAGTGTAATAGGTGTGTTCACACCAGCATCACCACAAACGAGTGATAACGTGTTGCACTGTGACATTACACGCCGCAACCTCACTAGGCAACGGGAATTTTCAGCTGCTTTGTAGTCTTATGGGACCACCGCTGGATATACAGCCTGTCATTGACAAACTTCGTTATACAATGCATGACTGTATTCTAAAATAAATCACTCAGGCCATAGCACCACTCTCCTCCACTCTGCTGCCTCCAGAGTGTGTAAGTACAGACAGGTCACTTGGCCAGTGCGGGCCTCAGATTCCCTGTGAAACACGAGGCCGAGTCAGACGCACTCCAGGGTCTCTTGGCCCTGAAAGTCTGTGACTTTGTGGCATCTCTGCCCTAGGCTGTGGGGTGAGACCGGGCCAGGTCGCCAGGCTCCTCACACTGCGGGAGGGCCCTTCGTCCAAGCCCAGCGGCTCCTGCAGAACCTGAGAGCTGTGCCAGGCGCACCTGGGAGAGCAAATCAGCCAGACTCTAAAGTGGGGTCCAGAGCCATCTCCCTCTGAAAGAGCTGATGACGTGGTTTGGATCTGTGTCCCCCCCGCGTGTCATGTCGAATTGTAACCCTCAGCGTTGGAGGTGGCGCCTGGTGGGAAGCGACTAGATCACGGGGGCGGTTTTCCCATGACTGGTTGAGCACCGTCCGCCTTGGTGAGTCCTCACGAGCTCGGCCATTTACAAGTGGGTAGCACCTCCCGCCTCACTCTCTTGCTGCTGCGCTGACCGTGTGGCATGCCTGCTCCCCCTTAGCCTTCTGCCATGATTGTAAGTTTCTTGAGGCCTCCTCAGAAGCTGAGCACATGCCAGCATCAAGCTTCCTGTACAGCCTGAGGAACCGTGAGCCCATTACTTTGCTTTTCTTTATCAATTACCCAGCCTTGGGTACTTTATAGCAGTGCAGGAAAGGACTAATACAGCCAGGGATGGTGACCCGCAAGGCCTGGAACCAGACCCCAAATGTGGCCTTCCCCAGCTCTTAGCGCCTTCCAAGTCTAAGCTGACAGCTCGGCATTGTTGCAGGTGGAAACACACCTGGATTTTCTGAACAGCTGGGGAGGGAACAGCTCCTCTTGGAGAGGAATTGTCTTCGTTTAGGAAAAATGCTTTTAAAGGGCACATTTCAACCCGGGGCCAAGGCCACAAAAGAGACGTTAGAAACGAACAAAATTTAGAGGAAAGAGCAGAGGTCAGAGTGAGGGGTTGAGGCAGGAGGTCCCTGAGTGAAGCTCCCTTCCACCCCTGCATCCCCCACACTTTCAGGGGGCGGCCAAAGGAGTTGTGTGTCATGTTCCATTTGATGCTGTTTGCACTACAGTGATCTCAGCGCCCCCATCCCACCCCAAACGTCTGCGGTGTCTCCCACACCCAGGTGCCTTGTGCCTGTGGATTGCACTACGGTGATCTCAGCGCCCCCATCCCACCCCAGACGTCTGCGGTGTCTCCCACACCCAGGTGCCTTGTGCCTGTGGATTGCACTACGGTGATCTCAGCGCCCCCATCCCACCCCAGACGTCTGCGGTGTCTCCCACACCCAGGTGCCTTGTGCCTGTGGATTGCACTACGGTGATCTCAGCGCCCCCATCCCACCCCAGACGTCTGCGGTGTCTCCCACACCCAGGTGCCTTGTGCCTGTGGATTGCACTACGGTGATCTCAGCGCCCCCATCCCACCCCAGACGTCTGCGGTGTCTCTGACACCCAGATGCTTTGTGCCTGTGGATTGCACTACGGTGATCTCAGCGCCCCCATCCCACCCCAAACGTCTGCGGTGTCTCTGACACCCAGATGCTTTGTGCCTGTGGATCTGGGGGGAATGGGGGCTGAATGTCACATCTGAGTCTCTGTGGTTCAGAAACGTGTGCAAGCACACGTACCGACCTCAACACCGAATTAACTCAGCCAAAGCAGGCCTCAGAGCCACAGGTGATATTACAGAAACCTTAGCAAGGGCTTCGGCCTTCCCCAGGACACAGACATGACCTGGCACTTTTAGTGCAATGAGGAGCGGGAGACCACAGGCAGAGTGAGCAACCATCCAGGTTTTCCAGGACCAACGGGTTTCACAAGATGCGGGACTTTCAGGGCTAAAACCAGGAAAGTTCCCAGCAAACTGGGGAGAGTTGATCCCTGTAAACAGCCACCACCTGGGTCAGATGGACCCCAGCTGGAGGCCAGACTGGGTCTTTACACACTTGCCCTGAGTTAGCGCTCACATTAAAGGAATAATGGGGGGTGGACACCATTCCCTCCACTTCACAGAGGAGGAAACTGAGGCTGAGAGAAGTCCGTCAACTTGCACAGGACCACACTGCCAGCGAGTGACAGAGCGAGGATTTGAGCCCAAGGCCCGTGCTCTTAAGCTGTGTGTTGTCACGTGGTATCCGGAGGATCCTCGACTTGTCAAAAACTGAAATCAACACCCTCAACAGCCTTACTCTGTGCCCCGGTCCAGGGCCTGGCCCAGGAGTCCCCTTGCTTTCTGTAGCCCTCTCTGCATTCCTACCAATGCCTTTGCCTGCCTAGGACCACCCCCTGCCTGTAGGTCGCAGTAGCCCTCTGCCACCCTTCCCACGTATCAGCCTGGCAGAGCCCTGTGGAATTTCATCACACAAGCCCCTCTGGATTCAGAAGAATCACAAATGCTGCCTGGTTGCTGTTCTCAGCCCCCTCCCCACTGTGTCCCTGTCCCAAACACCCCCTGACCCTCCGCCAAGCCTGCAGGCAGCACCTCCCTCGTCTGCTCCTCCCTCAGGAAACAGCATTTCCCGCCCAGCCTGGGGATTTCCAAGCTGGAAATTCAAACAGCTCAGCACGGAATAGGCTCCAACAGGGTCAGGTAATGGAAATTACAAGATGGTAAATTATTCCAGGGAAAGGGCAATTTTCCTCATATGCTGCCTGACTCTGAGAACACTGTGATCATGGTGGAAATTGGAGGGTCAGAGCTGGTGTCTAGGGAAAGAGAAAGGAAGGCACTGTGCCCGCCGCTGTCAGTGAAGCCCCAGGTGTGAGAGAGGGTGTGAGGTCAATCCCAGGCTGGGCCCACAGCCAGGCACGTCCTCGCTAGAGGCCCAGGACCTGCCACCAGCCACAGCTGAAGAGGCTGGGGCGTCAAGGCAGAAAGCCAACATCCCGGAGTCATACAAGTGCACGTTCTCTTCCCAGCTCTGGCACATACCAGCTGTGTGACCTTAGGTAAGTAACTTGACCTCTCTGAGCCTCCTGGACACAGCAGTAGTGAGGGCTACATGAAATAACGTGGGGCACATGGTCAGAATGGTGCAGCAGTAAATGGCAGCTGCCCACTCCCGTGATCAGAGGGCTCTGGGTGCGAGCTGCAGCAGGGCATGGTGGAAACTGCCATGAGATGCAGGACCCTCCAATTATCTAGGGGGCCAGGCCCATCTCAGAGGAGCAGCTCCAGAGGTGAGCGCACACCACTGCTAATTCTGCAGAGGGTCCGGTCTGACTCCTACCTCCCACCCAGCCAAGGCTCTCACCTGTGTACCCTCTCCTGTCTCTGAGGCTTCCAGGTGATGGAAGTTTATCCTTTCCCTTGCCTGTTTGTGTTTTGTTGTGGTTTTATGATTGCTTTTTAGCCCGTTTTATGGAAATCTTTCTAAGATGTACTAGGAACACCTCCTTTTTCCAGATCAACGTAGAAGTGTCTTGTAAACTTCGATGACTCGGTGCTGTGGAAGTAAGGAGACCTCTTTGTCCCCACACTGCCTGACCGCGGCGTGTTGGAGCTGCCTCCTTCTCCAGCCCCAGACAGCCCTCCCAGCTTCCTCTTGAATCTGCAGCCGGTTACCCCTGGGGAGACCAAGCCTTGCTGGTGGAGGGGAGATAAACAAGCTCACCAAATCATTATTCTTAATTTGCAGGAAGGCCAAAGCTCCCTCTGAGCCGAGCTCTAAAGACATTTTTTACTGTTTAGAAGCCTTTGATTCCTTTACTTCCCAGCAACTGGCTGAGTTCCCAGGGCTGAAGTTGCCTTGAAGTTTGACTGCTGAATAAGAAAAAGAGTTTTCCTCTGTTTTGTTGTTAATCCAGAGTTTGAGCTGGGAGCATAAAGATTTCAAACATACCAAATAGGATTTCTTCAACTAGATTGTTTTGGAAAATACAAATATGAGATCTGAGAAGGACAGATACAAAAGAAAAAGAAGTCTCAGTTCCAGGCTAAGGTGGACGGAAAGGGGGTGCCCTAAGGAGGCTCGAACCTGAGACAGTCTGAACCAGAAAAACCTCCCCTAGAGTTTGGGGGCTGGCGTGCAGCTGCTCACATTTTTATCTTGCTAAATTAAGAATATAAAATAAGAACCACTGGATAAGATCACCCTTATTTTAGAAAAGAGAGGGGAAAAGTCAACCAAAAAAGCTGTTTTTTTTTTAAATTAAAGGGATTTAACTTTATGAAAAACTTCCTACATTGCCCTGTGCTTTTCTTATTTTGTCATGGGTGAGTAAAGCTGTCAGCTTCTCGGCTTCTGTAAACCACCAGGGTAGGACCAAGACTTGGAGGCTGGATACTAGAATGCCTGGGTTCCAAGCTCGGGATCCTGCTGTGGACACCTGGGTTCCAAGCTTGGGATCCTGCTGTGGATGTCTGGGTTCCAGGGTCGGGATCCTGCTGTGAACACCTGGGTTCCAAGCTCGGGATCCTGCTGTGAACACCTGGGTTCCAAGCTCGGGATCCTGCTGTGAACACCTGGGTTCCAAACTCGGGATCCTGCTGTGGACGCCTGGGTTCCAGGGTCGGGATCCTGCTGTGAACGCCTGGGTTCCAAACTCGGGATCCTGCTGTGGACGCCTGGGTTCCAGGGTCGGGATCCTGCTGTGGAGGCCTGGGTTCCAGAGTCGGGACCCCTTTGTGAACACCTGGGTTCCAAGCTCGGGATCCTGCTGTGTTGCGTGAGCGGGGGTCGAGTGTTCTCTGTGCTGGGTTGTGCAGTCCAAGTTGTGCAGACATACAGCCTGGGTGTGAATCTGGAGTCCATCTCTAGCCACGGGGCCCTGCAGAAGGCTGCTGTGCCTCAGTTTCCCCATCTGTAAAATGGCAGTAGACCTGCTCGTGGACCTGTGGTGAGTCCCGCTGTCTGGCTGTCGTGTCTGCTCACTGGCTGCTGCTTGTGGTTGCTTGTTAGGTGTGGTTCCTACAGGCCCTTGCAGGTCTGTGTAGACTCAGAGGAGTCGCGGGGCAGAAAGGAGCTTTGGGGATGGAAGCACCAGACCAGTGAAAAGAGAAGCAGCGGATTCGACGTGGCCACACGGGGCCAGGAAGTCCCCAGAGATCATGCCTAGCTCCGTCTTCCAGGTCCTGAAACTTTATCTAAGGACCTCAGCAAGCACTTGGTAGCATAAAGAGAGGGTGGTGGGGCATGGGGCCCTCCTGGCTGAGAGTGCCTTTCGGAGAAGGGGTCTGCCCCTGATGGAGCATTTCTCAGATCTGGACCCTGACAGATGGGCCACCAGGGGACCCTGGAAGACTGAACTCCTGTCTCCCACTACACACACATGTACACACACACACGCATGAGCACACATACACACTGACATTCTCCTCACCCTGAGTAACACAGGATCTGTGAACACCAATTCTAGTCATTTCAGTGTGTGTACAGCTGTGTGAGTGTGTGTACAGCTGTGTGTGTACAGCTGTGTGTGTGTACAGCTGTGTGTGTGTACACCTGTGCCTGTGTGGGTGTGCACCTGTATGTGCCTGTGTGGGTGTGCCTTTTAGGGTGTGTACACCTGTGTGGGTGTGCATCTGGAATGGTGTGTGAACGCACATGTGGTCTCAGGTACACATATGCATGTGTGTGCACACATGTGTACAGCCTACACACACACAACTGTGCACACACTCAACTGACTAGAGTTGGTGTTCAGAGATCCTGTGTTGCACATGTATATATGTAAGTATCTGTGGATATAGGCTGAGCATAAAAGAATTTAAAAGTTTGTTCTGGTCAGGCACGGTGTCTCATGCCTGTAATCCCAGCTCTTTGGGAGGCTGGGATGGTGGATCACTTCAGGTCAGGAGTTTGAGACCAGCCTGGCCAACATGGAGAAACCCTATCTCTGCTAAAAATACAATTAGCTGGGTGTGGTGGCAGGTGCCTGTAGTCCCAGCTACTTGGGAGGCTGAGGGAGGAGAATCACTTGAATCCAGGAGGCAGAGGTTGCGGTGAGCCAAGATCTCACCACTGCACTCCAGCATGGTGACAGAGCCAGACTCCATTTCAAAAAAAAAATAAAAATAAAAGCTTTTTCTGGCATCTCTCTCTCCCCCTTTCCACCCATCCTCCTCTTTTCTCTCTTTTATTCCTTTACTGTAATGAAAAAAAGGAAAGGCAGCCAAGGAGACCAGAGACCAGCAAAGGGCCAGCGAGCTTGAAGTCACGTAGACGTAGATTCAAACCCCAGCTCTGTTATTCTCTGTCCAGTGATACTGAGCAAGTCACTTAACCCCTCCAAGCCTCGGTTTCTCATTCATACCGTAGGATAAAAACATTTGCCTGACATAGCACGCGACAGTAAGAGTGCATGAATTCACAGTGGGTGGCTAAGTGGCTGACTCTGGGGTCAGACTGGGTTTGCAGCCACCTGTTCTGTGAGTTTCTAATAGGGTGACCGTGGACAGTTTGTTACCCCCTCTGCCTCCGTGTCATCGTCCCTAAGACTGTCACCTTGTGGAGTTGCTATGAGGAGTGAATGTGGTGGCATATTTAATACCTTGCAGCAGTGCTTGGCACATGCAGGAGCTTTATAAGGGGCAGTTATTAAAATGTGTATCAAAGGCACTTAGGAAAAAAAAAGAGAGAAAGCAAAAAAGCATTTAGACTGTTTTCTCTTCAGAGACAAGATCTTGCTCTGTCGCCCAAAGCTGGAGTTCAGCGGCGAGATCCTAGCTCACTACATCCTGGAACTCCTGGGCTCAAGCAATCCTCCCACCTCAGCCTCCCAAGTAGCTGGGACTACAGGTGCAGCCACTGTGTCCAGGTAATTTTTGAAAAAAAATTTTTTGTGTAGAGACAGGATCTCACTATGTTGCCCGGGCTGGTCTGCAACTCCTGGCCTCTTAAAATCCTTTCACCCTGCCTTCCCAAAGTGCTGGGATTACAGGCACGAGCCACCATGCCCAGCCTATTTAGAGTTTTTAGGAGGGATGGAAATGATCTAAACTTGGATTGTGCTGGTGGTTGCACAAGTCTTTAAATTTGCTGGTGGTTGCACAAGTCTTTAAATTTACTAAAAATCATTAAATTGTGCACTTAAAATGGTTGAATTTTATGGTGTATAAATTATGTCTCAATACAGCTGTTTTTTAAAAAGCATTTAGAGTTAGTGAAAAAGCAACTTGCAGAATAATATACACAGTATTGTTGTCATTTGTGAAACGTTTTAAACTATGTAAAACAATACTTCTCTAATATTTGTCGTAAAAATATCAAATGCAGCCTGGAATGACATATGTAAATCTCATCATTATGCTTGCCCCTGGGGTGGGGTTGAGACACAAGAAGGGAATTTTTATCTGTAATGTTTTATTGTATTTATACTTTTTAAAGGCCAGGAAAGCTGGGCAACGATGTCACATAAAGTCATAACATAAAAACGGCAAAGCCAGGCACAATGGCATGGGCCTGTGGTCTTAGCTACTCGGGAGGCTAAGGCAGGAGGATCGTTTGCATCCAGGAGTTCAAGTCCAGCCTGGGCAATATAGCAAGTCGCCATCTCTAAAAAAATAAATAATCATGGGGGCAGGGAGAGGTGCCTAATGAGAGAAACACATGCTGGGGGTGGGGAAGGCTGGCAACTTCCTGTTTCATGACTTGGGTGGTGATTATGCTGATGTCTGCTTTATAACTAATCATTTTAGGCAACTGTGTTTTATGCAGTTTTATATGCTATCGTTCACAATCTTATGAGTTCAAAAATCTCGGGCTGGGAGCGGTGGCTCGCACCTGTAATCCCAGCAATTTCAGAGGCTAACGGGGGAGCATCACTCTAGCCCAGTAAGATCAGCCTGGGCAACATGGCGAAAACCCGTCTCTGCAAAAAAATACAAAAAAATTAGCCGGTTGTAGTGGGATGTGCCTGTAGTCCCAGCTACTGAGGGGGCTGAGGTGGGAGAATCACTTGAGCCCAGGAGGTGGAGGCTGCAGTGAACCGTGATTGTGCCACGGCACTCCAGCCTGGGCGACAGAGCAAGACCCCGACTCTTAAAGAAAAGCAAACTAAACAAAACCCTCCATAAAAAATGAAAAAGTTAGGGTGGATATGTTTTGGGATTTGTTATGTTATTTTCTACAGTCTTGTGTATTAAAATTCAAAATAATTAAAACAAAATTATGGCCTGCCTTGCAGGTTGGGGTGGGGGCTGTTAGGTATTTGGGATAACACACTGAAGTGCCTGGGGAGACGGAGGGAGGCTTGCCCGCCCTCCTCAACTAGGGGAGCCCCGAGGCGTGGCTGTCTCCTTTCCCCGGAGGAGCAGCCTGCCCTCCCAGGCTCCCAGACGCCAGCAGATGCTTGGCACAGGGGCCTCAGACAGCCTCCCTGATTTACGAGGCTCTACACGTTCCCCGCTGATGGATGGCCCTCCGCTCGCCCTCCCTCCTCCCTCTAAACGCTGCTGTCTCCAAGGCCACTGGCCCAGAGTGGGAGCCGCACAGGCAGGGAGGAGCCGGGCTGGCCTCCCTCCTCCTCCCACCCAGCTGCCCTGTCACCCGGTGGTCTCCCCCACGGCTGCCTCCCTTCCACCTCCGTGAATTGAGTGCTTGCCCTGCATGAGCCAGGCACCAGGCTAGGCCTCTGCCTCCAAGGAGGCTTGCAGACCAGAAATGAGCAGGGCCTGAACACAGCTGCTTTCCACGGTTCCCCAGGCCTCCCTAGGAGTTGGCCTCGAGTGAGACCTTCAGTGAGGATGAGCCCCCCCATGGGATGGTTTGGTGGCAGAATATTCCAGGAGGAGGCCCTGGACAGTGGAAAGGCCCCGAGGTAGGTGGGGCTGTGAGCCTGCACAGGTGTGAAAGTGGGGAGGGTAGGACAAAAGCATGAAATGGGCTCTTCCTGAGTACTAAGACCTTTCTACCAAGGCCCTGTGGGAAGGCGTGAGCCACAGTCACCACCGGGGCTGCTGGAAGCCAGGTGCGGTAGGAACAGTCTCCCCGCTGGCCACACAGGGGTGGACTTTGAGCCCTGAGCTAGAACCCCAGAGGGAGCCGGGAGCCCTGGCCCTGCCTCCCAGTTGCTGTATGACCTTGGACAGCTCAGGCCGCCTCTCGGCCTCCGTTTCCACATTCGCAGAGCTGGTGAAAGCTCTGCCGGAACTCCCGCCTCAGAATACTGGGCCCCACCCTGGGCCTGGAGCCTGGGCTCCCTGGGAATGGGTCCTGCGAATCTCCCAGGGGGTCCCAAGGCAATCGAGTTGGACCCCACAGCTCAAGGGCCACAAAGATGGTGATGCCCCATTCAGGTCCTCAAGCAATTCAACCCCGTTGGGGAGACACACTTGGACAATAATCACGAAGCGTGGTGAGGCCCACAAGGGTGGCCATGCCAGGGGACCACTGTGGAAAGCTTGTCGGAGGAGGCAACACCTGAGTGGGGTGTTGAGGGCAGCATAGGAGTGTGCCAGGTGGTCAAGGGTGAATGAGGCTGCCCAGCAGGCTGAGCCATCCGAGCAGGGGCGTGGTGGCTGGAGCTCACCAGTGTGTTTGGGCGCTGGGCTGTGGTGGGAGTGGGGAGATGGGGGGTACTGAATGAGTTACAAGGACCCTTCATCCCTGAGTCTTTGACTCGGAATGCAGACAGCAAAGGGCTCCCCGCACTGACCCATAAGACTGGTGGAGCCCACGGCATCAGTAGCCTCCAGGGGAGTGTGATAGGAGGGTGACCCCATGCCAAGGCCACAGGACAGATGCAATAGGAGCCACCGGGCCTCCACCCTCTGCCCCGTAGGGCCCCTTCACACCAAGAGCTCCAGCCAGGCTCAACCACAAGCAGCTCCCCAAACACCACACTCCTCCCCATGCCCGGCCTCAGCACGTGCTGTTCCCCCTGCCTGGACCCCTTCCTCCTTCCTGCAGCTCTTTGCCTGGCTAACCTTTTCTCAGCCTTGAGGTCTCAGGACTGAGGCCAACGCAGTGCCTCCTGCTCTTGCCTTAGGGCAGAAGAGGGGTCAGGGAGACAGCGGGTGGGGCTGCAGAGGTGGGGGCTGCCGTGTGGTTAACCTGATGCAGACCCCCAGCCCTCTGAGGAAGGCTGGGCATGAGCCTGAAGGCCAGGCCTTGTAGAGAGTCCGGGACCCCTGGGTCATTGTCCTGTGGGTTCAAGGGAACGGAGGACTGGCCCAGCCCTGGCAGGTGCCACCGAGGATGGTAAGCAAAGCTCAGCTCAGCTCGCCCTCCCTCCTCACCCACAAAGAACTATGCTCTGCCACCTGCAGCCTTAACATGTTGGGCAAGCATGCCCCTTCATGGGGGCAGGGGACAGCTAACTGTCGCGGGGGCGGGGGAACGGGTGACTGTCGCGGGGGCGGGGGAACGGGTGACTGTCGCGGGGCGGGGGAACGGGTGACTGTCGCGGGGGGGGGAACGGGTGACTGTCGCGGGGGCGGGGGAACGGGTGACTGTCGCGGGGGCGGGGGAACGGGTGACTGTCGCGGGGGGGAACGGGTGACTGTCGTGGGGGGGGAACGGGTGACTGTCGCGGGGGCGGGGGAACGGGTGACTGTCGCGGGGGCGGGGGAACGGGCGACTGTCGCGGGGGCGGGGGAACGGGCGACTGTCGCGGGGGCGGGGGAACGGGCGACTGTCGCGGGGCCGGGGGAACGGGCGACTGTCGCGGGGGCGGGGGAACGGGTGACTGTCGCGGGGCGGGGGAACGGGTGACTGTCGCGGGGGGGGAACGGGTGACTGTCGCGGGGCCGGGGGAACGGGCGACTGTCGCAGGGCCGGGGGAACGGGCGACTGTCGCGGGGCCGGGGGAACGGGCGACTGTCGCGGGGGCGGGGGAACGGGCGACTGTCGCGGGGGCGGGGGAACGGGTGACTGTCGCGGGGCCGGGGGAACGGGCGACTGTCGCGGGGCCGGGGGAACGGGCGACTGTCGCGGGGGGGGGAACGGGCGACTGTCGCGGGGGCGGGGGAACGGGCGACTGTCGCGGGGCCGGGGGAACGGGCGACTGTCGCGGGGGCGGGGGAACGGGTGACTGTCGCGGGGGCGGGGGAACGGGTGACTGTCGCGGGGCGGGGGAACGGGTGACTGTCGCGGGGGGGGAACGGGTGACTGTCGCGGGGGGGGAACGGGTGACTGTCGCGGGGGCGGGGGAACGGGTGACTGTCGCGGGGCCGGGGGAACGGGTGACTGTCGCGGGGCCGGGGGAACGGGCGACTGTCACGGGGGCGGGGGAACGGGCGACTGTCGCGGGGGGGGGGAACGGGCGACTGTCGCGGGGGCGGGGGAACGGGCGACTGTCGCGGGGGCGGGGGAACGGGCGACTGTCGCGGGGGCGGGGGAACGGGCGACTGTCGCGGGGGCGGGAACGGGCGACTGTCGCGGGGGCGGGGGAACGGGCGACTGTCGCAGGGGCGGGGGAACGGGTGACTGTCGCGGGGGCGGGGGAACGGGTGACTGTCGCGGGGGCGGGGGAACGGGTGACTGTCGCGGGGCCAGGGGTAGGTGACAGTGGTCAAGGGTGTCAATTCTGGAGCCGGTCTGCCAAGCCTCAGGGCCAGCCTCTGCTTCTTTCTAGTTATGAGACCTTGGCCATTTGCTTAACCCTTACTGACGTAACACACCCTATTTTACTGTAATAATTATATGTTTATTTCAATGTGCCATAGAGAGACGTAATCAGCACATCAATTCCCATCATTGATATTATTGTTAGGACAAAGCTAACCTGGGTATTTAAGGGATTTTTAAGTAAGTCTGTTTAAAGAAAAGTACTAAGTAAATAATAGTGCAGGTTCCAGTTGGGAAGCTGATTCATAAGTGATGAAAGTTAAGGTAATGCCAGCTGGGGTTTTCCTTAGACCCAGTGGTCTTCGAACTGTTCCCCAGACCCTGGGAGCCCCAGAAGGTTCCAGGCAGGCAGAGATGCACAGATTAGGGGCTGGGAGAGGGGTCAGGGTTGCTCTCCAGGGGAGCATGAGGAAGCTGCTCATGGACCAAGTGCTCCCCCTCGGTGCAATTTAAATTTGTTTATTGTGAGCTTATTTTTATCTGCTTTTTTTAGTGTGGTAAAATAGATATAACCTAAGATATAATACCATTCCAACCATTTTTCTTTTCTTTTCTTTTCCTTTTTTTTTTTTTTTTTTTTTGAGATGGGGTCTTGCTCTGTCACCCAGGCTGGTATACAATGGTGCAGTAATGGCTCACTGCAGTCTCGATCTCCCTAGTTCAAGGGATCCTCCCCACTCCTCCTGAGTAGCTGGGACTATGGGTGCATGCTACCATACCCCACTCCTTTTTTTTTTTATTTTTTGTAGTGATGGGGTCTCACTGTGATGCCCAGGCTGGTCTCGAATCCCTGGCCTCAAGCAATCCTCCCACTTTGGCCTCCCAAAGTGCTGGGATTACAGGTGTGAGTCACTGTACTTGGTCTTTTCTTTCTTCTTTCTTTCTTTCCTTTCTTTCTTTCCTTCTTTCTTTCTTTCTTTCTTTCCTTCTTTCTTTCTTTCTTTCTTTCTTTCTTTCTTTCTTTCTCTCTTTTCTTTCTTTCTTTTTCTTCTTTCTTCTTTTTCTCTCTTTCTTTCTCTTTCTCTTCTTTCTCTTTCTTTATTTCTTTTCTTTCCTTCCTTCCTTCTTTCTTTCCTTCTTTTTTTTTTGAGACAGGGTCTCACTGTGTTGCCCAGACTGGAGTGCAGTGCTGAGAACATGATTCACTGCAGCCTCAACCTCCTAGGCTCAAGCAATCCTCCCGCCTCAGCCTCCCCAGCAGCTGGGACCACAACCTAGGCTCAAGCAATCCTCCCACCTCAGCCTCCCCAGCAGCTGGGACCACAGGGTGTGCACCACTGCACCCAGCTAATTTTTAAAAAACATTTTGTAGAGACAGAGTCTCACCATCTTTCCCAGGCTGGTCTCAAACTCCTGGGCTCAAGTGATCCTCTTGCCTTGGCATCCCTGAGGGCTGGGATTACAGGTGTGAACCATTGTGCCAGGCCATTTCAACATTTTTTTTTTTTGAGATGAGGTCTCACTTCTGTTGCCCAGGCTGGAGTACAGTGGCGTGATCTTGGCTCACTGCAACCTCCACCTCCCAGGTTCAAGCAATTCTCCTGCCTCAGCCTCCTGAGTAGCTGGGATTATAGGCGACCACCACCACGCCCAGCTAATTTTTGTATTTTTAGTAGAGACGGGGTTTCACCATGTTGGTCAGGCTGGTCGTGAACTCCTGACCTCAGGTGATCTGCCCACCTTGGCTTCCCGAAGCGCTGGGATTCCAGGTGTGAGCCACCGTGCCCAGCCCATTTCAACCGCTTTTAAGTGTACAGTTGAGTGGCATTAAGTACAATCACAATGTTGTACAACCATCACCACTATCCATTTCAGAACTCTCTCATCATCTCAAACAGAAAATGCATCTATCAAATAAAAACCCCCTATTCTCTACCCCAAAACCTCTGGCAACCTCTATTCTACTTTCAGTCTCTACGAATTTGCCTATTCTAGGGCTAATTTTTTCCAACAGGCTAATACACATGCGTGGTAAGAATTCACAGAGCAAAAAAGTTTCCCTGTCCTCTAGTGCTCTTCCCAGATGAACTGTGGTTACCAGTTTCCTGTTCATTCTTTCAGAGGTATTCTGCGCATATACATACAAATATGCATGTGTATACATATCTTTTCATTTATTTACAAAGGGAATATGCTTTTTATGCCTCTTGCTTTGTAACAATAAATCTGGGAGATGAAAAGATATTTAGTACATCAGAATATCAATATCTCTTCCATATCAGCACACTCATCTTTGTTAATGATTGTGCAGTATTCTATTGTACAGGTGAGGCATACTGTATTTAGCCAATCCCTTATTGATGGAAGCTCTTCAATTTTTAATCTGTTGCATTTATCTATTGACAGCACATGCCCACCCTTAGCAGCAGAAATGAAGTAGCACTAGTTAGCAAGGAGAACTAATTAAACATAAAAAAAACCTACCAGACTAGCAAAAATTCAAGTCTGGCAATACCAAGTGTTGACAAGGACAAGGAGGAACTGGCACTGTTAGAGATGGTTGGTGAGAATGGCCGTGGTTCTAACCAGTTTGGGGAGCAGCTAGGCACTCTCTAGTCAAGGTAAAGATATACAGACCCTAGGCCCAGCAAATTTCCTATCCAAGAAACTCTCTTAAAGAAACTCTCCCTGGCCAGGTGTGGTGGCACACGCCTGTAATCCCAGCACTTTGCGAGGCTGAGGTGGGAGGATCACTTGAGCTCAGGAGTTTCAGACTAGCCTGGGCAACCTGGCAAACCCTTTCTCTACAAAAATTATAAAAATTAGCCAGATGTGGTGGTATGTGCCTGCAGTCCCAGCTACTCGGGAGGCTGAGGTGGGAGGATCGCCTGAGCCCAGGGAGGTTGAGGCTGTGGTGAGCCGAGATGGTACGACTGAACTTTAGCCTGGGCAATAGAGTGAGACCCTGTCTCAAAAAAAGAAATCCCATATACAGACCAGGAAACAGGAATAGCCATTGCAGCATGTTGATGATAGCCACGCATAGGAACCAGCTTAAATGATCAACAATAGGAGAAAAGAGAAATAAATTATGGCGTATTCACATAGTGGAACAGTAGACAGCAATAAAAACAAACTATAGCTAGATGCATCTACAGGAAAAAACTTCACAAATAATAATAAGCCAAAAATGAGTTTAATGAGGTTATGTATAGTATGATGCCATTTTTACAAAGTTTTAAAGCTTGCAAAACAATACCATATATTGTTTATAGGTACACACATTTGTAGTAAATGTAAAACTCAGTTCATGTAAGCCTGGGCAACATAGCAAGACCCATCTTTAAAAAATAAAACATAAAAAGATTAACTGGACGTGGTGGTGCATATCTGTGGTTCTGGCTATTGAGGAGGCTGAGATGGGAGGATCACGTGAGCCCAGGAGTTCAAGACTGCAGTGAGCCATGATCACTCCATGGCATTCCAGCCTGGGTGACAAAGCAAGGTCCAGTCTCTAAAAAAAAAAAAAAAAAAAAAAAAAAGGCGGGGGGTGCCAGGTGTGGTGGTTCACACCTGTAATCCCAGCACTTTGGGAGACTGAGGCGGGCAGATCACCTGAGGTCAGGAATTCAAGACCAGCGTGGCCAACATGGTGAAACCCCATCTCTACTAAAAATACAAAGAACTACGCCCGCCAAACATGGTGGCAGTCACCTGTAGTCCCAGCTACTCAGGAGGCTGAGGCAGGAAAATTGCTTGAACCCGGGAGGTGGAGGTGGCAGTGAACCGAGATCGTGCCATTGCACTTCAGCCTGGGCAACAGAGTGAGACTCTCTCAAACACAAAAAGTGGAACACGTTATCATTGAAAGCTACCACTTGCATTGTTAATTCCTTTGAATTGCATCATGAATTCAAAGCGATTGGAGGGAACATTTGTGGCTGTTGGCCCTGGGTTTCCACCAGCCCTGGGCTAGTTAGAGTTTCTACTCATTCTAATTCATGTATAATGCTGAGATGTTCACTTCAGTCATGAAGACCCTGGGCTCTAGTGGTCCCCAGGCCTGTGGGAGGGAGGCTGATCTGTGCTGTGATGTAAGCCTCAGGCTCTGCCCCTCTTTCTCCCAGAGGTCATTTCTAGAGCTTCCCCAGAGGATTCAGCATTATCCCTCTGTGACATCTAATCTCTTGCCTTAGGCAACCTGATCCTGGGCTAAGTCTCTCCTGGCAGGGGAGCCTCTCACCCGGCCTCTTTCCAATCCCACAGCACAGACCTTGGCAGTGTGGAGGGAGAGAGCCTGGTTCTTCTGCCGAGCCCTGGGCAGCCTTCTGGTGTCCCAGGATAGAAGAAAGACTCACATTTCTTTGCACCATTGAGCCCATCACTGCAGCACCAGAGCATCTGACATCTGCAAAACAACATCATTAGGTAGGTGTTAACTTTTCCCCACTGGTAGGCCTGGTGCTCGTAAATGTACTGTGACGAGTGTAATGTGTTTATGAGAATGCGCATAAATTATCAGAAATAGGCTGCATTTTTAATATCACTTAATATATCAAGTTGGCCTCTAAGCAGCCACACGCTATATTGCAAATGTTGAGCTGACTTGCTGGCATCAGTGCTCCATCATGCTCTCCATGCCGAGGCCATAGCGTATGCCAAGAAGGAGGCAAGGGACCCCTAGAGTGGTGGTTCCTACCTCCCTTCCTGACTTCCCCTCCATCATCTGGAATCTAAAGAAAAATGGGCTTCATTTATCACTGAGCCCCCTACAGATCACAGCTCGGGGCCTGTTACAGGGCAGGTGCACAATAAATATTTGTTGAAATGTGGCTTCATGAATAAATGAATGGACAAGAGACCTTGGAATGCCCCTCTCCATCAACCAGCAACATTGTTTGGATTTCCTCCATCCAAGCACCTCTGTTGGGTTAAAATTTTCTGTTAATACAGAGAACGTTCTATTAGCACAGCAGGACAAGATCTCCTCCGGTTATCAGGGAAGGGTGGAAACGGGGGACACATATTAGGCCTGGGTCAGAGAGGGCCCTTCTTCTCCGGGCACATGGACACCAGCCAAGATGCCAACCAAGGAACATCCAGCCAAGTGCTGCACAGAGGGCATTTCCTCAACAACACACGTTACCTACGCTAAGAAGAGCCATTAACTGGTCCTTCTCTGCCGAGACCAGCTTGGTCGGGGAGACCCTAACCCAGCGGCGCTAGAGGAATTAAAGACACACACACAGAAATATAGAGGTGTGGAGTGGGAAATCAGGGGTCTCACAGCCTTCAGAGCTGAGAGCCCGGAACAGAGATTTACCCACGTATTTACTAACAGCAAGCCAGTCATTGGCATTGTTTCTATAGATGTTAAATCAACTAAAAGTATCCCTTATGGGAAACGAAGGGACGGGCTGAATTAAAGGAATAGGTTGGGCTGGTTAACTGCAGCAGGAGCATGTTCTTAAGGCACAGATCACTCACGGTATTGTTTGTGGCTTAAGAACGCCTTTAAGGGGTTTTCCGTCCTGGGCGGGCCGGGTGTTCCTTGCCCTCATTCCGGTAAACCCACAACCTTCCAGCGGAGGCGTTAGGGCCATTATGAACATGTCACAGTGCTGCAGAGGTTTTGTTTATGGCCAGTTTTGGGGCCAGTTTATGGCTAGATTTTGGGGGGCCTGCTCCCAACACTTCTCCACCGGGAAAGAGGTCAGAATACCCAAACAGGAGGAGATCAGACTCCCCACTGTGGCTTTGCCAAACCTCTCTGGAAATTCCAACACCTGCCTTGGGTTAGTCACTCACTTCCCCAGTGAAGAATCATTAAATATTGAGAGATGTCACTGATGGGCATATGTTACACATGTGAACAGTATAGAGGCAGCCCAGCAGGTTGAAAATCACCGTTAAACCATTAGCACCCTCTAACCCAGCGAGTCTCAACCTTCACTGTGCACCAGAATCATCAGGGGCGCTTGTTAAGATGCATCCTGAGTGTGCACACACATATTCTGAGTCAGTGGGTGTGAGATGGGGGCCTGGAATCTGCATTATTGATAGACATCCTGGGCTGGGTGTGGCAACTCACGCTTGTAATCTCAGCATTTTGAGAGGCCAGGGCAGGAAAATCATTTAAAGCCAGGAGTTTGAGACTAGCCAGGGTAACATGGCAAGACCCCGTCTCTACAAAAATTTTAAAAATTAGCTGGGGATGGTGGTGCATGCATTTGGTCCCAGATACTTGAGAGGCTGAGTTGGGAAGATCACTTGAGCCTCGGGAGGTCGAGGTTGCAGTGAGCCATGATCACACCACTGCACTCCAGCCTCAGTGACAAAGTAAATAGACATGCTAGTGCTACAGATACCTGGACCATTTTTTAAAGAACCCACTGTATCTCACTTGACAGGAGGAGCCTTTGAGAGGGTCTGTGGGGAGTTGGGAGAAAGCTCAGAAGCTTGTTGGGAAAAGCAGAAGGCAGAGAGGCAAGGGCACAGGGCTTCTGAGGACTGTGACCAAGGGCAGACTCCATCCACTTAACTTTGCCAGAGGCTGGTCCAGCTGCCCAGCTGCCCACCTCAGCATGGGGAATGGAAGGCAACATGATTGATGAGCCTTTGGACATATCCAACTGCTTAGAGATGCCCACACATGCCAGCCAGCGCCCAGCCTTGGCAAGTGCATCCATTTCTCACCTGGTCCTGGCAGCAGACAGGGAGCAGCCAACCACATGTCACTGGTAGAGAAATCAAGGCAGGCACTGGGAGCGCAATGACAGTTTGCATCAGGAAGGTTTGCACCAGGACGATTTGCACCAGGAAGTTTTGCACTGGGACGGTTTGCACCAGGAAGGTTTGCACCACGACGATTTGCACCAGGAAGGTTTGCACCACGACGGTTTGCACCAGGAAGATTTGCAATGGGACGGTTTGCACCAGGAAGGCAGGGGCAACAGAATCACAATTCCCTGAGTGCCAGTTGCACACTGGGCACTGTGCTAAGCACTGTATACCCATCCTCACCTTTAACTCACACAACGTTGTTCTTATTCTCCCCCATTGCAGATGAGACCCAGGGCCTAAGTTAAACAACTTGCCCAAAGTCCGGTACGCTTAGGAGGAGGCACACCTGACTTTTGACTCTACGTCTGCCTACTCCCTGACCTATGCTCTTTCTAGAAAGTGGACACTTGCCCAGATAACACCACTTCTATCCACTTCTATCCCTCGGGGAGGCCCTACCCCATTTCAGCTGGGCTCAGAGCTGGGCAAATTCAGACCTAGAGTGGATTTCAACTCTGCCACCTGCCAAAGGGTAGACCCCAACATGCCATGTGTTTCTCCAGTGGGCATCCTTGGGTTCCCTGGCTCCATGCTTAGGAGGCTGGGCCCTCCACCTGACTTCTTCAAAGCCCTCCCCAAGAGCCAGCTCCTGCAGAGCCAAGAGCCATGAGCCGATCCTCCAAAAACCAGACCCATAGGACAAGAGGCCAGGAGAGAGCGGCCAGCTCTCGGTGAACACAGGTACAGGGCCTTGGCAGGCTCAGCAGTCAGGACGTCCAGGTCTCATCTCCAGTCTGCCTCTTGCTAGTCACTTGACCTCCCGCAGCCTCAGTTTCCCCATCTGTAAGATGATGACGACACCCTCCAGCTCCTTAGTAAAGGAATGATAAAATGACAGTTCAGCGTCTGTATTTTAATACCTGCGTCATTATGTAATCATTTTGTGATGCAGCCACCTCTGGCACAGAAAAAGTCACCCTGTGCCTATTTAAGGATTAATCCCCTTAAGCATTCCTGGAAATGAGAACCCCTCTGTGCCAGGCTGCCCTTCCAGGCTCTTCTGTCCTTTCCTTGGCCTTTGGCTCTTGGAAGGCTGAATATTTCTCCCACCAGGACCTCAGACTATCTTTAGGGAACCCCGGCTGGTTCATTCCCACTGTAACCCCTGAGGCTCTTGGCCTCCTCCCGTCCTCCTCTTCCTCCTCCTTTTTTTCCCTCCTTCCCCTCCTCCTCAGTTTGGGCTTCCCCTGTCCAAGAAGCCTCAGGATGAGCTTTGGGAACGAGGTTTTACCTGTGTTTCCAACTCTGCTCTGAGCCCCTGAGCTCTGTAGTGGAGGGGAGGAAAGGGAGAAGGGAGGGAAAGTGGAAGCATCGAACAGTCAGGACACTGGGCTCTCATCGCAGCTCTGCCGCCAGCCAGCAGTCACCCTGGACACATCCTTGTGCCTGAGCGCTAATTTCCTCCCCTGTGAAATGGGAACAGCAGGCCCTGCCTACATCGTGGGGTGGTTTAAGGAATCAATGAGATGACAGCTGTGAATGTTCTTGGCGCAGTACAACATATGCCATGTGTTTCTCCAGTGTTTTCAAAGGCCGGTAGTGCCCGCCACCACCCAGTTCAGAACTCACCACAAAACATGAATTTCTCATCACTTCTCACCATGAGTCTTGTCTTTCCAAAGGAAGGGAGAAGGGAAAGCCAGCTGAGCACCTCTTACCTGTCTGTGCTGGATGGGGCCTTGCCACAAGGCTGTGCAGTTGGAAATAGCCTCACTTCATAGATGAGGAAACCGAGGCTCAAAGAGGTCAAATAGCCTGCCAGAACTGTGCAGCTGGAAGCCACAGGCCAAGGCTTTGCCTCTCTTTCCTCTGCTCCCCATCACTCTGCAGGGGTTATGGTGGGGGAACAAGAGAGGCTTGGAGCCCCTCATTCAGATGCACCAAAGGCACCCACTAAGAAGCTAAGTGTCTTACACATCAGTGGAAACCAGAGGGTAAACAGGATTCCATCCATGCCCAGGGCTTTCCGGGAACACACCTGTCCAAGCAGCAGCAGTTCCCAACAGAGCTCTGGTCCCGGAAAGCCGGACAGCCAGGGCTGGGCCCTCTGGGATTTGTTTAGTGATCTGACCGTGTGGGAGGCCTAGAGTAGGAGTGGGGGTGGGGGGAGCGTGCCGCCCAGCCTTATTGCATCACTCACCGCCCAGGCCCTGCCCTCACTCCCTCCTGACCAGGCCCTGTGCAGGTTCTCAGCCACCCTGCCCCGGGGGGTCCTTCAGACTGTACTCACTGACCAAGTGAGGGACTGACCCGAGGTTAGAGTGCTGTGTTGTATGTGACCTGAGAATATGTGTGCACAGACTGAGCCCCGGTGTCCTTGTGCAGTTGAGCGTGTACATGTCCTGCCCGTGTGTAGGCAACCTGTCCCTACATGCTAGGAGTGTGACTCCACGTCCTGCTAGAGGGGGAGGAGAGAAGGAGTTGTGCCCAGGGTCCCCTGATCACTTCTATGGGCTCATGTTTGTGCATCTTGTTAGGGGTGCTTGGGGGTAGGGAAGCCTGTGCCCTGGGTGCCCTTGATCACCTGTGTGTGTGCTCCATCAGGTGTGCGCGCCTGTGCATTGGGGGTGTACTGTGTCACAGCTTCCTAAAACAACCATGTGCGCATGCAGACGTTTGCGTGTGTGACCTACGGTGTGAGCGAGCGGATGCTTCCACCACGTGTCTCTGCACACGCATGTGTGCACTTGCACACCTGCGTGTGTCCCGAGAGAGCGAGCGGAGCCCAGCGTGGGCTGGCACGCGCGGGAACGTGTGGGTGCGCGTCCTGCGGGTCCCTGCCGGGTTGACTCCCAGCTTGTGCCGCGGGCGTGCATGAGCGGAAGGCGCCCGGCGGCCCTGCCTGGCCGCGAGTGTGCGCGCGCGGGGTCCCGGGCCGGCGTGCACGCCGGTGTGAGTGCGAGTGCGAGTGAGTGTGGCGCCGCGCGGCTCCCTCCGCTCCGCGCCGCCCGCGCAGCCCGCACACTCACCCTGCTTGGTTGCTGCCGGGTGACGCGGGCTGGGCCCGCCCCCTGCCTGCCGGCCTCTGGCACTCGCTCGCGCCGTCCGCAGCGGAGCGGGCAGCGGCCAAGTCAGGGCCGTCCGGGGGCGCGGCCGGCGATGCCCGCAGCCCCCGCCGCGCCCCGCCGGGCCTGCTGAGCCGCCCCCGGGCCGGGGTCGCGCCGGGCCGGGCCGCGCCCGGGGCGGGGCGGCGCTGCCTGCATGACCCTCCGGCGGCGCGGGGAGAAGGCGACCATCAGCATCCAGGAGCATATGGCCATCGACGTGTGCCCCGGCCCCATCCGTCCCATCAAGCAGATCTCCGACTACTTCCCCCGCTTCCCGCGGGGCCTGCCCCCGGACGCCGGGCCCCGAGCCGCTGCACCCCCGGACGCCCCCGCGCGCCCGGCTGTGGCCGGTGCCGGCCGCCGCAGCCCCTCCGACGGCGCCCGCGAGGACGACGAGGATGTGGACCAGCTCTTCGGAGCCTACGGCTCCAGCCCGGGCCCCAGCCCGGGTCCCAGCCCCGCGCGGCCGCCAGCCAAGCCGCCGGAGGACGAGCCGGACGCCGACGGCTACGAGTCGGACGACTGCAGTAAGTTTCCCACGCGCCGACTTCGCGCCCCCTCCCCTGGCTCGGGCTCGGCCCCCCCACGGCCTCGCGGCTTCCCTCCGCCGGTCCCCCTCGCGCGCTCGCGCTCTGCCTCGGTTCACAACCCCGCCGCGGGCTTGCGGGCCCCTGGCGCACTCGGTGCGCTCTCCGCGCCCTGCCCACCGGCCTCGAGCCCTCCCCCGACCCAGGCCGGACAGGAGGGAAGTTCGGGGGCACCCCCTGGGGGTGTCCCATTTCCGGGGCCGGGTTCCTCGGAGCCGGCGCCGCGCCCCCTCCCTGCCAGCCCGCCCTCCCGGAGCTCCGGCGCGGGCGGCTGCTTTTGTTCCCGGGAAGGGCGGAGCTGCGTCCCGGGGAGACACCAGTTGCTGCCGGCCGCGCGGTCGCTCCCCGCTCGCCAGCCGCTCCGGGAGGGCCTCGCGGCCGAGGGTCGGGGCTGGGGCGAGCTGGGGAGGGGCCCGAGGCTGGGAGCGGCCCGGCCTCCCGCGTGGTCCCGGCGGCCCGCAGAGCGCAGCTGCTTTGCTGGCGCGCGAGCAGAGGACCAGGAGGACCGCGGGGCCGCTTGTCCTTTGGAAAAACCTTGGCGTTTCCTCCTCCGGTGTCCATGGACCCCGCCGCAGCCCTCGCCAGGGCCGCGCACCTTCGCCCACCTGTTACGCCCGCGGCCCCCGGGCAGAGAGGGCCCCCCAGCCCGCTCCCCCTCCTCCCGGACTGAGCCCTGAGCCCCCGGGAGCAGGCAAGCGCCGGAGTCCCGGGACCGAGGCCCGGCCGGTGGGCGCTCCTGGCGCCTTTTCCCGTCCCCGAGGGTGCCTGTCCGGCCCGAGCCGGGACTGGCTGGGAAACCGAGGCCGGAAGAGGTCGCAGTCCAGTGAGGAGTCGGTTTGCGCGGGGTGGGGATGGCATGTGAGAACCCCCTCCTAGCTCAGCTGTGGCTCCAGACTTGTCACTGAGACCTGGAAAACCAGCGTCTCGTCAAACCCCAGCCCTTCCCGGGATGTGGCCCTTCTCCAGGGCTGGTGCTGCCCCTCCCCTGCGCAGCAGGGATGTCTGCGCCTGGCCTGGGCACTCACCAGGGCCTGTGGGCTGCGGGCCTGGAGTTTCCCAAGCATCAAATGTGCCACCAGAAGCTGAAGGTAGGGATTACCAGTGCCCCCGGGGCACAGACCCCCCATCGCCCCACCTGGGGAGGCCCATCAGCAGTGGCCGGTTAGAGCAGGGCCCCTGTAGGGGAAACTGCCTGCTTTGCACTTTCTAGAGGCCTGGACCACGGCCCTCGGGCCAGCGCCTGGCACATGAAGGCCCTGCCCTGGGGCGTGGGGGCTGGGGAGCAGTCTTGTCCCTCCACTTTCCTGCCAGCTTGGGGAGATTGGGTCGGAAGAGTTTTTTGCCCTCAGGGCTGTGCCCTAGATCCACCCCCCCTCCCCTCTGCCCCTGGCACCCTGTGCGAAGCTCACCCTGGACTTGGTGATCCCCTGGGTGGGCCCTGAGTGGGACCCAAGTAACTGCTTTGGCTGCCCTGAATCCAAAGCCTCCCCCAGAAGAACGGATGGGAAAGTTGTTCCCATTTCTGGCATCTCTGCTGCTGCACCAAGGAAGTAAGAGGGGAGGGCAGAGCTTCAGGCCACCCTCCTGGTGCCACAGAGGGCCCTCTGCATGGCGAATGGCCAAGAGGCTTTTTCTTTTTCTTTTTTTTGCTGTCTCTGAACCCACAAAGCAAGGAGGGGACCAGGAAGCTAGAAACTCAGGCCAGCCAGCCCCATCTCCAATCCATCAGCTCAGCAGCCCTTCAGGGAGCATGTCCTGGCAGCAGGGCTGGGCCCCTGGCCTGAGATACATGCGGTGCAGGGGCCAGACTCACATGAGGTCAGCAGTGCAGGGCAGAGCTGGATGCAGCTTTGCCAGCTTGAACTGTGGGCTGGCCACACCCGTATTATCAGGACATGCCAAAGAAATGCTGAAGACGGGCTCAGAGGAGCTAAGGAGGACGGTGTGCCACTGAGCTAGGGCCAGCTTGGGCCCCTGTCGCCCCCTTCGAGGGGGGCCCCACCCTAGGCTTGGATCCTATGGGAGGCTGACAAACATCCTAGGCCCAGAAGCCCAGAAATCTTGGCTCTTGTCCATGGTGGGGGAACAGGTTCTGGGGTGGGACTGCCTTCCACCCAGTACCCCAGGCGGTGCCCCCCTCTGGGCTGTGACAACCAGATCCTTAGAATAAGCCTCAATGATTCAAGCCAGATGGTTCATTACGGCTTTAGCCAGGGTTATGCTATTTGCTGCCCTAATTATTGGATTATCTCTGTTCTGACAAAAAGAAATGAGGGCGGTTGCTCTGTTGTCCAAGGCAGAGAGTGAAGTGCTGTTTATTTACTCAGCCTTTTCTCCTGGCTTTTTAAAGCCCTTTCTTTATTAAGTCATGTCAAAGCACAAGCACATAACTCGCATGTTCCCAGCAGATCTCGAAGAGGGGCGATGACAGGGAGGAAAGGCAGTGAATGTCCCAATGAGGAGCAGGACCCAGTGTCGGCCCTGCCAGTTCTCCTAGGGTGGCCTCTGTGGCGTGCTGCCCTCCAGGTGGGCCGTGGGCCACACACCCCACACGCTGCCCCTACCTGAGAGGCTCTCCTGCCCGGCACCCACCTGTGGAAGCCCAGTCCATTCTTCAAAGCTGTAATCACTAGAGTGCCATGGGTTGCAAGTGACAGATAACCAACTCAGAGTGGCTTAAACAATGAGGACAGCTGAGGTCTTGCTGCACCAGGGTGCACCAATGCAGCAGCCCCTCAGCACTGTTGGGGTGATGGTTCTGTCCATCTTTGCTCGTGGCTGTGCGTTTTTCCTTGTAGAGCAAAATCAAGGCCCGTTTCCTATTCCTAAGGGTGTCTGGGTGAGGAAGGTTCAGGTGCAGACCAAAGTCAGAATGACGCTGTCAGTCTCCATCAGCCAAGCAGGACCCTCAGGTCCAAGGTGGCTGCTGCAGGTCCAGGCATCACATGTAACAATAAGGTCCTTGACTGGGTAAGGAATTGGTAAGGACCGATTCCTTTTCTCATGTCTCAGTTTAAGAGCGAGGAAACCTCTCCCAGAAGTCCCCAGGAGACCTGTCCTTTTGTCTCATTGGCCAGAATTGGATCACATGCCCGTGTTAAACCTGCCCTGTGTGGTTCACCCAGGACCGGGTCAGGACCGATGCCTGTGCAGGTCTGGAGCAAGGACAAGGGGTTGAGTCCACCACAAAGGTTCTCCGTGTTAGGGGGCATATTCCAGCCCCCATGGGCTGTGGTGCCCCTTCCTTTGAGCCCAGAACCTCTTTGGCCCCAGTCATGTTCTACCTGGACCTGTGATATTTGTAATGCACTCGATGTTACGGCACCAACTATGTGGCAGGCTCTGTGTTAGGCACAGAGATACAAGAATGCTGAGAGGCAACCTCTGACCTGAGGGTGTTCATCAAAACCAAGACAAACAGGTGACCCCACAGCGAGGGACAGGGAGGCAAGAACCCAGATGGAAAGCTCTGGCAGGCGGAGGTCACTCACAGAGAGGGCTCAGCCCTAAGACTGGGAGGAGGGAGGAGGTGGGCTGACAGAGGGAAAAGAGGAAAGGGAGGTGCTCTTCGCAGAGGGACAGCTGTGTACACAGGTCCTGAAGTGTCAGAAACTCAGCCCAGTGTAGGCAAAACAGTAGAGCCAAGTGGCTCAAAGAAGGGGAAGAGACCTATGAGGAGGCCAAAGTGGTCATATCACACAAGGTCTTGAATGCCACACCAAGGAGGTTGAACTGAGTCCAGGAGTTGATGGAGAACCTTTCAACAATTTAAAGCAGATGAATGAAGATGTTTATAAAAATCTTAACACTCGTCTCTAAGCTCCTGGGAAGCAGGGATGATGGCTCATTTCTCTCTGTCCCCCCTGCAGTGCCGGCCTGGCTGAATGGCTGTTTCCCCAACTATAAAATGCTTTCAACACAAGCTTGATGATTTTCTATGGTCCTTGCCACAATTGTTTTGTTTTTTTTAAAGTATTTGAGAGCCTGACATTTTTCTTAAAAAAAAAAAAAAAAAAAATCAGGGCAGATTTCCTATTCCCAAGGGTGTCAGGAAAGTCCAGGTGCAAACCAAGGTTATGATGATGCTGTCAGGTCTACATCAGCCAAGCAGGGGGTGCTCGGCCTTAGAGGAGCCAACAGGGGCTTGAGCTTGATTTTCTCTGAATTAGCCCCATTAAAGCTCTGTAATTATCGACAAGCGGGTGACAACTCTCAAAGGCCCATTAGTGACCAACCCTCATTATTTTTCCGAAGATGTAAACTTCAGTGGGGTCATGTGATTGGAGCGCTCCAAGGGCAGGGCACTGTGGGTCACAGAGAAGCACCTTCTCCTGCCCTTAGGGCCCTCCTCACGCCCAGCACAAGCCCAAGGTGCTTTTCCAACTCGGAGGGCTCTCCAGGGCAGCGGCTGAGCCCCCACTCTCCTTCCCCTAGAGCAACTCTGCTTTTCTCTCTTTTTGTTTCTTAGTTGCATCCTCCTAAGATTTCAGCTAAACAAAGTGGCCAAAAAAAAGCTTTTTGGACCAGGGCAGAGTGGCCCGTGTGTGCCTGTAATCCCAGCACTTTGGGAGGTGAAGGCGGGAGGATTGCTTGAGCCCGGGAGTTCAAGACCAGCCTGAGCAACGTAGTGAGACCTACCCCCCCGCACCCCCCGCACCAACACCACTGTCTCTTTTTTTGTAAATATATTTTTTAAGTTAGCCGGGCATGGTGGTGGGCGCCTGTAGTCCCAGCTACTTGGGAGGCTGAGGTGAGAGGATCGTTTGAGCCTGGGAGGCTGAACTGTGATCGCACCACTGTACTCCAGCCTGGGTAACAGAACAAGACCCTGTCTCAAAAAAAAAAAACTTCTTGGGAGCCAGTAGGCTTTAAGGGAGAAACTATCAGGATGGAAGTGAAGAGGCCTAGATTCTGTGCCTGGGTCTGCTGGGCCACGCTGAGCAGCTCCCCTCCCCTCTCTGAGCCTCATTTCTCTAAAGGGAAATGAAGAGTTTGGGCCATGTGCTCCGTAAGAGAGCTTCACCAGCCTCTCAAAACTGTGACCGAGCTTCTATTTATAAACTATCATTTCTTACAGACCTTCCAGTGGAGTTCAAAGAAATTCATCAGTCCCTTCCTGGTGACACACTGGGTGTGCTGTTCCTTCCCAGGAGGTGGTGACGGGTGTCAGTTTTCCCCCCAGGCAGTTGGAGAAGATCGCTGCCCTCCTTGGACAGGGGTTTCTGTAGAGCCAGTGCAGGGGCTTCTCCCCTCCAGGAGCTGGGTGTCCCAGGGGGAGCAGGCAGCCGCTCTGTCTTCTGGCTGTCCTTCTCTGGGGTTGGGAAACAGGCAGAAATCAGAATGTGCATTTTTACACTTGGGTGTCACACCAGATCCCAGCTCCTGGGAGCACCTGGAGGGCAAGTTGGTTTGAATGGACCAGCCATGTGTGTCTGCATCTGCTGTTTGTTGGTCTCACAGGTGTGGCCAAGGCATGGTCCCTGTGCTCAGGGGGCTAATTCGTTGGGGGAACAAACCCCAGGTAGGCCTGACCTGAACAGCAGATCCATTTACTATCATGTAAAGCCAACAGCTTCAGAGAATATTGTTACAAAAGTACAGATTGGTGCATCTCGGGCTGTGGCTGTGTTCATTGCTGCAGGAGCAGTGGGATACACCTCCCTTCCAGCAGCCTCACCTGCCTGGTGTGGAGATGGCAGCTAGCATGCAGGCAGCTGAAGGCCAGCTACAGCTATTGCTGCTGCACACATACCCTGCTCAGGAGAACGTGCCTCAGGCTTCACTCAAGACCTAGTATTTATTTATTTTTTTGAGACAGGATCTCGCTCTGTCGCCTAGGTTGGATGCAGTGGCACAATCACACTCACTGTAGCCTCAACTTCCTGGGCTCAAGCGGTCCTCCCACCTCAGCCTCCCGAGTAGCTGGGACCACAGGCATGCGCCACCATGCCCGGCTATTTTTGTATTTTTTGTAGAAATGGGTGTTTCCATGTTGGCCAGGCCGGTCTTGAAATCCTGGGCTCAAGTGATCCACCCGTCTCAGCCTCCCAAAGTGCTGGGATTATAGGCGTGAGCCACCACACCCGGCCATTTTTGTAGTTTTTGTTGCCATGTTGGCCAGGCTGGTCTCGAACTCCTGAGCTCAAGTGATCCATCTGCTTCGGCCTCCCAAACTGCTGGGATGACAGGCATGAGCCCCACACCAGCCACTCAAGGCCTGTTGGCTCTTAGTTTGCACACACTTCCAACAAGTATCATCACCTGGTCTCATGGGAGAAACAATTATTGAATAGGTGAGAGCTGTCTGCGCCAACACAGACAAGTAATCTAATAGGAGTTTCAGGCTGATGTCAAAGGAAGAGGCAGAAAAATGAAGAAAACCGAAAAGAGGGCCACCCGGGACCCTCTGGTGCAGGGGTTGCTTCGTGTCCCCTTTTGCCTCTGGAACATGACCGTGACATACGGAAGAGTCATCGTGGCCATAGCAATGACTCAGGTTATTCAAAAAATTTAAGTGACTATTTGTATGTTCTGTTCCCAAAGGCAGGGAGGGAAATGAGCCAATTGAGGACAGTTTCATTCCAGAATGGGTCTTAGAGAAGCCAGTACTGTTAGCTAGAAAACCCACCATAGGGATCTGCTCCTTCTATAATGATCTACTGAGCACCTCCTACACCGCAGGCACACTGTGCTGTGAGGTGGATACTATCGTTGTCTCCATTTCACAGATGAGTAAACTGAGGCATAAAGACGTTAGATAAGCTGGCCACACAGCAGGGAAGTGCACGCTGGGATTTGAACCGAGGAGACTGATGTCAGAGGGCAGGTCTTGCACCCCACACTGCTGCGAAGACAGAGACATGTGCCTGACCCGTGTTAGAAGGGGATGATCTAGACAAATGCCACTCCCATCACCAGCTCAGAATAAAGGACACTCCACACTCGTGGCCTTTCATTAGCCAATTTCCCTGCAGACCCAAGAAACTTTGTTATGCCTGGGCCCAGCACTCGCCCAGAGATCTGCAAACTTGTTCTATAAAGAAGGGCTGGATAGTAAATATTTTCAGCTGTGCAGGCCGTAGGGTCTGCTTCTGAAGTAGGAAAGCAGCCGCAGAAGAGATGTAAATGATGGGCCTGGTCAGGTGTGGCCGTAATTGGATCTAGATCCAGGTTGGGAGCCTAGCTCAGAGCCTGAAGAACACAGTCTTTCAAGTTTGGCCTTCCCTTATCCCGGGATCACACCAGCCACTAAGCCCGTACCTGCTGGTTGGCCTGTGGTTGGAATCGTCACCTCCCCCAGCCCCTCTTTGCCATTGGCCAACTCCTACTCATCCCTCATGGCTCAGGTGAAGCATCACCTCCTCCAGGAAGCCTTCCCTGGTGGTCCCAATTCACATGGGCTCCCCATGGCTCCCGGCTCACCAGACTCTACTGCGGCAAATTATTTCCATTTGTTCCTCCCCTTAAGCTGTGCTTTCCTTGGGATAGGGACTCTGCCTCACAGATGTCCATCCCCTAGAGTCTGGCATGTTGTAAACACTTGGTAAATAATGAAGGAATGTGACACCATTTGACCAGCCCTGCAGCCTGGGAGCAGGCTCTGGGCTTCTGAAGCCATCTGTGAATGTGCATCTTGCTGTCTGCGGACTGCCACTAAGCTCTGCCCCCCACCATCATCTCCAAGCTCTGCCCCAACCATCACCTTGGCCTCCATGCTGGGAGCCGCTTCTGCATGGAAAGCCACAGCTGCTATGAGTGATTGCCCCCGGGGAGGGAGGCAGCTGCACCCAATTATGGCTGCAACCTCCCCCAATTATGGCTGCACCCTCCCCCCGGCTTTTGGGAGTTACCACTGCCATTGAGAGACTTGGGGGCAGCAGTATGAGGACCCAGCTGGCTCCTCACGGCCTGCTCGGGGTTCCCAACGGGCCAGAGAGACAGAGGAGCTGCAGTCCTGTGTGTTGGCTGGGGGACTGTTGAGCAAATCAGCTGATCTTCCTGGCCAGGACCTGTTCCTCTCAAAGCCTCGTCTCCTCCGCCTTGTGTGATCCTTGTGACATTTCACAGGTGAGGGAAACTGAGGCACGGGGCCCAGACTGGCAGTTGCACCAGGAGGGCAGGAACTCCTTTGGCTGGGTGCCCAGCTCAGGTGGACCACACACTGGGCCAGACAGGGAACTGGAGTGACCCACCTGACCTCTCTGGGTCTCAGCTCCTCCTCTGGAAAGTGGGGAGATTATTGTGACTTCCCAGGGTTGGGTGGGACTGGGAGGATGGGTGAGGGGCTGGCATAGAGCAGGTGCTTGGTTGGTGGCAGCCGCCATGGAACGGTGGCACCTGCCCAGGCCAGGCTCATCTGGTCTCACAGGGGCAGGCGAAGCCTCTCCAAGATGCGGCCAGGGTGGGACCTGTGCCCTCCTCTGTCCGCAGCTGCCCTGGGCACGCTGGACTTCAGCCTGCTGTATGACCAGGAGAACAACGCCCTCCACTGCACCATCACCAAGGCCAAGGTAGGCCCCGCCAGCCTGCCCCCAAATTCCCTGCCCCGGGGTCCTCAAGAGGGCCTAGGTCAGGGAGGCCAGACCACACCACTCCCCAGGTTCCTGTCCAGGCTTTTGGATGTCTGCGCTGTGTGGGGTGCGGGGCCAGGAAGGAATTCTTCTTTAAACCTTCTTGAATACCCAACCCCAAGAAATGCCTTGGACAGTCAGGCATTGCGGGGAGCAAAGAAACAGATGAGAATGGGAAGATGAAGGCCTGGACCGAGGACCCTCGAGCCTGGGGAGGGGCTGCTGAGAGGGAAAGAGAGGGGCAGGGTGATGTCTGTCCTGCAGGCCAAGGGAGGGCGGGTTGGGTACTGGTGCCTCCAGGCCTCCCAGACGCCCTGAGGAGTGGGGACGCCACTTTGCACCCTGGAAGCCGAGCCACTGTAGGAGGCCGATGCCACTCCAGGCAGGGTGTCCACGGCCTGAGCCCAGAGGCCCTCTGAGCCTCACTACGTGGGCTGGGGTTGTGGGTGCCTGTGGACCCCTCTGCAGCCTGGCCCGGCCGCTGGTGCTCCCCTCTGCAGCCTGGCCCGGCCCCTGGTGCTCCCCTCTGCAGCCTGGCCCGGCCCCTGGTGCTCCCCTCTGCAGCCTGGCCCGGCCCCTGGTGCTCCCCTCTGCAGCCTGGCCCGGCCCCTGGTGCTCTCCCCTCTGCAGCCTGGCCCGGCCCCTGGTGCTGCCCTCTGCAGCCTGGCCCGGCCCCTGGTGCTCCCCTCTGCAGCCTGGCCCGGCCCCTGGTGCTCTCCCCTCTGCAGCCTGGCCCGGCCCCTGGTGCTGCCCTCTGCAGCCTGGCCCGGCCCCTGGTGCTCCCCTCTGCAGCCTGGCCCGGCCCCTGGTGCTGCCCTCTGCAGCCTGGCCCGGCCCCTGGTGCTCCCCTCTGCAGCCTGGCCCGGCCCCTGGTGCTCTCCCCTCTGCAGCCTGGCCCGGCCCCTGGTGCTCCCCTCTGCAGCCTGGCCCGGCCCCTGGTGCTCCCCTCTGCAGCCTGGCCCGGCCCCTGGTGCTCTCCCCTCTGCAGCCTGGCCCGGCCCCTGGTGCTGCCCTCTGCAGCCTGGCCCGGCCCCTGGTGCTCCCCTCTGCAGCCTGGCCCGGCCCCTGGTGCTCTCCCCTCTGCAGCCTGGCCCGGCCCCTGGTGCTGCCCTCTGCAGCCTGGCCCGGCCCCTGGTGCTCCCCTCTGCAGCCTGGCCCGGCCCCTGGTGCTCCCCTCTGCAACCTGGCCCGGCCCCTGGTGCCGCCCTCTGCAGCCTGGCCCGGCCCCTGGTGCTCTCCCCTCTGCAGCCTGGCCCGGCCCCTGGTGCTCTCCCCTCTGCAGCCTGGCCCGGCCCCTGGTGCTCTCCCCTCTGCAGCCTGGCCCGGCCCCTGGTGCTCCCCTCTGCAGCCTGGCCCGGCCCCTGGTGCTCCCCTCTGCAGCCTGGCCCGGCCCCTGGTGCTGCCCTCTGCAGCCTGGCCCGGCCCCTGGTGCTCCCCTCTGCAGCCTGGCCCGGCCCCTGGTGCTCTCCCCTCTGCAGCCTGGCCCGGCCCCTGGTGCTCTCCCCTCTGCAGCCTGGCCCGGCCCCTGGTGCTGCCCTCTGCAGCCTGGCCCGGCCCCTGGTGCTGCCCTCTGCAGCCTGGCCCGGCCCCTGGTGCTCCCCTCTGCAGCCTGGCCCGGCCCCTGGTGCTGCCCTCTGCAGCCTGGCCCGGCCCCTGGTGCTGCCCTCTGCAGCCTGGCCCGGCCCCTGGTGCTCCCCTCTGCAGCCTGGCCTGGTCCCTGGTGCTGCCCTCTGGCTCTGCCACTCAAGCATGTGTCAGCTCCATGTTCTCAACTGTCCTGTTCCCTTCCCCTCACCCCATTGCTCCCTGTGGGAGGAAGGTGCCAAAATTGATGTTCTCTCGCAAGGTAAGGGCCTGCATGGCCAGTAGAGTCTCCCTAGTAGTGCCATGTAAGGGCCTGAGCCAGCCCAGCTCAGATCCAGCGGCTTCCCACAGAGCTGCCTGGGCCCAGGCCCCACCCAGCCTCCCAACCTGCAGGCCCCCTGCCCCTCCTCCCAGCCTGGCAGCAAGGGCTGCCCTTGGCAGCATGCTCACCCAGCAGGACAGGCTACTGCGTGCCACCCCAGGCTGTCCCCCAGCCCAGCCTGGGCCACATGTGGACTGCCATGGGTAGGTGTGAGTGCCATCCACGCAAGCCTCAGGGCCCTGGTAGGGCACTGAGAGGCCTGCACGCTCCATCCCACCCCTGCCCTCTCTAGAACCACCCATGCTATGACTCAGGGCATGTCCAGCCCTGCCTGGCGGGGGCTCCAGCCCACCCCTAGGAGCAGAACTGAGCATTTGTCAAATCCCAGCTGTGCCAAGGTAGAGACCAAGCTAGACCCTTCCTCCTTTCCCTCTGTCCAACTTTGTAGAGGTGGTCCAGGCCTGGGGACTGGAGAGGTGCCGGCTGCCAGGCCACTCTGGCCAAAGCCCACCCCTTCCTCTCTCCATGCCAGACACCAGGGCCTTCCCTTCCCAGCTCCAGGTGCGTTTGTGTGTATGCACATACATGGCTGTATGTGTGTCTCTGTGTGTACATGTGTGGTACCGTGCGTGCACACATGTAAGTGTGTGTCCACTTTGGGCTGTATCCCTCAGGTATCAGAAGTGGGGGTGGGAGGCCCAGTTCCTTCTCTGTGTAAATCCAGTTCTGTAGGGAAGGGGTGGTGCAGGCTGGGGAAGAGCTGGGGCTCTGGGCTGGGGTGTGGGGAGGGGCCCAGGGTGGGTGAGCTGAAGGAGGGCTGGCCTCTGGAGGGCCAGGGTGGGGGCTGGACACCCTGGGGTGCACCCTTGCTTGTCCCCCCTTATAAGGGTCAGTCTCAGTTTGCCCATCTGTAAATAGGGTTGGTTGTCCCTGCCCTACATGCCTGTTGTGAGCATTAAATGAGTTAACACGTGGCCCCTGGCACTACCAGTTCTGGGAGACTTTTTATTTTTATTGTGGTAAAATACACAGATATACATTTCCCACCTCAACCACTTTTTTTTACTTCTTCCCTCAGCGCTCAACCATTTTTAGCGTACAGTTCAGTTGTGCTAAGTACCTTCTACCTTCACACTGCTGTGAAACCCATCTCCAGAGCCCTCTTCAGCTTGCAAAACTAAACTGGACCCATTAAACAACAGCTCCCCCTTCCTCCTCCCCTGGCCCCTGGGGAGGCTGCCATTTGGCTTCCTTCTCTATGGATTTGACTATTCTAGGGACCTCATGTAAGTGCAGTCTCCCGGTATCTGTCCTTTTGAGTCTGCAGTCCCCGGGATCTGTCCTTTTGAGTCTGCCTTCTTTCACTCCGCAGAATGTCTTCAGGCTTCATCCCCATTGCAGCACGTGTCAAAACTTCCTTTTCAGGCTGAATGATACTTCAGACTAGAAAGCTCCTCTTCCGAACACTTCACCAGCAACAGCCTCTGAGAGGCCCAGGGCGGGGCAGGGCTAGGTTTTTGGGGAGAAGCTCTCCTCTCAAAGCCAGACCCCCCATCTCTTCCCTCAGTGCCAGTACCAGCCAGGGCCTCCCCCGGGGCCGCTTCCACCCATCCTCCCTGTATTAGTCCATTTTCATGCTGCCGATAAAGACATACCTGAGACTGTGTAATTTATAAAGGAAAGAGGTTTATTGGACTTGCCGTTACACGTGGCTGAGAAGACCTCACAGTTATGGCTGAAAGTGAAAGGCACTTCTCACATGTTTGGTGGCAAGAGAGAGAATGAGAGCCAAGGAAAACGGGTTTCCCCTTATCAGGCCATCAGATCTCGTGAGATGTATTCACTACCTCAAGAAGAGTGTCAGACCATGAGATCTCGTGAGACGTATTCACTACCTCAAGAACAGTGTCAGACCATGAGATCTCGTGAGACGTATTCACTACCTCAAGAACAGTGTCAGACCATGAGATCTCGTGAGACGTATTCACTACCTCAAGAACAGTGTCAGACCATGAGATCTCGTGAGACGTATTCACTACCTCAAGAACAGTGTCAGACCATGAGATCTCGTGAGACGTATTCACTACCTCAAGAACAGTGTCAGACCATGAGATCTCGTGAGACGTATTCACTACCTCAAGAACAGTGTCAGACCATGAGATCTCGTGAGACGTATTCACTACCTCAAGAACAGTGTCAGACCATGAGATCTCGTGAGACGTATTCACTACCTCAAGAACAGTGTCAGACCATGAGATCTCGTGAGACGTATTCACTACCTCAAGAACAGTGTCAGACCATGAGATCTCGTGAGACGTATTCACTACCTCAAGAACAGTGTCAGACCATCAGATCTCGTGAGACGTATTCACTACCTCAAGAACAGTGTCAGACCATGAGATCTCGTGAGACGTATTCACTACCTCAAGAAGAGTGTCAGACCATGAGATCTCGTGAGACGTATTCACTACCTCAAGAAGAGTGTCAGACCATGAGATCTCGTGAGACGTATTCACTACCTCAAGAACAGTGTCAGACCATGAGATCTCGTGAGACGTATTCACTACCTCAAGAACAGTGTCAGACCATGAGATCTCGTGAGACGTATTCACTACCTCAAGAACAGTGTCAGACCATGAGATCTCGTGAGACGTATTCACTACCTCAAGAACAGTGTCAGACCATGAGATCTCGTGAGACGTATTCACTACCTCAAGAACAGTGTCAGACCATGAGATCTCGTGAGACGTATTCACTACCTCAAGAACAGTGTCAGACCATGAGATCTCGTGAGACGTATTCACTACCTCAAGAACAGTGTCAGACCATGAGATCTCGTGAGACGTATTCACTACCTCAAGAACAGTGTCAGACCATGAGATCTCGTGAGACGTATTCACTACCTCAAGAACAGTGTCAGACCATCAGATCTCGTGAGACGTATTCACTACCTCAAGAACAGTGTCAGACCATGAGATCTCGTGAGACGTATTCACTACCTCAAGAAGAGTGTCAGACCATGAGATCTCGTGAGACGTATTCACTACCTCAAGAAGAGTGTCAGACCATGAGATCTCGTGAGACGTATTCACTACCTCAAGAAGAGTGTCAGACCATGAGATCTCGTGAGACGTATTCACTACCTCAAGAACAGTGTCAGACCATGAGATCTCGTGAGACGTATTCACTACCTCAAGAACAGTGTCAGACCATGAGATCTCGTGAGACGTATTCACTACCTCAAGAACAGTGTCAGACCATGAGATCTCGTGAGACGTATTCACTACCTCAAGAACAGTGTCAGACCATGAGATCTCGTGAGACGTATTCACTACCTCAAGAACAGTGTCAGACCATGAGATCTCGTGAGACGTATTCACTACCTCAAGAACAGTGTCAGACCATCAGATCTCGTGAGACGTATTCACTACCTCAAGAACAGTGTCAGACCATGAGATCTCGTGAGACGTATTCACTACCTCAAGAAGAGTGTCAGACCATGAGATCTCGTGAGACGTATTCACTACCTCAAGAAGAGTGTCAGACCATGAGATCTCGTGAGACGTATTCACTACCTCAAGAAGAGTGTCAGACCATGAGATCTCGTGAGACGTATTCACTACCTCAAGAAGAGTGTCAGACCATGAGATCTCGTGAGACGTATTCACTACCTCAAGAACAGTGTCAGACCATGAGATCTCGTGAGACGTATTCACTACCTCAAGAACAGTGTCAGACCATGAGATCTCGTGAGACGTATTCACTACCTCAAGAACAGTGTCAGACCATGAGATCTCGTGAGACGTATTCACTACCTCAAGAACAGTGTCAGACCATGAGATCTCGTGAGACGTATTCACTACGTCAAGAAGAGTGTCAGACCATGAGATCTCGTGAGACGTATTCACTACCTCAAGAACAGTGTCAGATCATCAGATCTCGTGAGACGTATTCACTACGTCAAGAACAGTCTGGGAGAAACCTCCCCTTGTGATTCAGTTATCTCCCGCTGGGTCCTTCCCACAACCTGTAGGAATTATGGGAGTACAACTCCAGATGAGACTTGGGTGGGGACACCGCCAAACCACGTCACCTCCCGTGAGGCCCACCCCTAAACCATGGGATCAGTTTATGTCTCTTGCCAACTCCCAAGCTGGGGAGCATGTGCCCAAGGGCCCCACTAGCAGCTCCCTGCCCTGGAAACAGCCTCCCGACCTTCCCCTTCCGTGGACAGAGGTCAGGCTCCGTGGGAGGCCAGCCCCACAGAAGGTGGAGGCACTGGCGGAACCCCGGGTCAGGACCAGGGAAGCTGCCTGTTTGGGCACAGAAGTTGGTGGCAGCACAGTGACAGGGCTTCAGGCAGTGCCTGCTGGTCCTTTTGCTTTTGGCGAAATGTGTGGCTGCCCAGGGTGCTCAGGGAACTGCCGGGTGGAGGAGTAGAGAGCAGCAGCAGGGGCCTCGTCACAGTCCCGGGGTCTGAAGGACAGAGCAGGCATCACTCCCGTCCCAGCATGACAGCGCCCCTCGACCCAGCCTAGCTCCCACGGGTGTCTCGGGGTACGGAGGTGGGACCACCAGAGCCACTGGAAAGACATACGCCAGAACATGTGGTGGCCCAAAGGTTTGTAAGTGAAACGTGTCAGGAAACGTGGCCCAAATGGAAACATTTTAAGCTACAACAAACAAATGTATAAGGACTGTAAGAATAAGACACAGCAGTCAGGCACCGCCTGGTCAGGCCAGGCCACCAGATTCCCAGAACTCTGCACTTCAGGCACTTGGTGGGAAAGGTGCAAGGCAGGGTGAGGGAGTTGGGTTTGGAAGAGCAGCCTTGTCACCTTGAGCACGTGTTGGGCCACTGAGCCAGGCCCTGTCCCAGAGGCAGCCCCACAGTGCAGGGCACAGCTCAGATGCACCCAGCAGACCTCAACCGCTTCTCCGGCGTCTCACGGGGGCCTGGCGTGCAGGGAAGGGAGCAAACCCTGCCTGCCAGGCCCTGTGTCCACACAGTCTCCCTCCCTCTCACTCCAGCCCTAGGAAGGTGGGAGTATTACACCCCCGCCCTTTTTTTTTTTTTTTTTTTAAACTTGAGACAGGGTCTCACTCTGTCACCCAGGCTGGAGTGCAGTGGTGCGATCATGGTTCACTGCAGCCTCCGTGTCCCAGGTTCAAGCGATCCTCCCACCTCAGCTTCTCTAGTTGCTGGAACCACAGGCACATGCCACCCCACCCAGCTAATTTTTTAGTTTTTTGAAGAGACAGGGTCTTACTGTGTTGCCCAGGCTGGTCTTGAACTCCTGGGCTCAAGCGCTGGGATTACAGGCGTGAGCCACCGTGCCCGGCCAACCCCTTTAACAGATGATAAAGCTGAGGCTTAGCGTGCAAAGTAACTCATCCACTTCCCAGCTGGTGAACAGGAGCTGAGCCTGGAGCCCAAGCCAGCCAGGCCCCCAAACCTCTGCCCTTTGCCAGTGGCAGGGAAGTAGGTGGTTGGAAGCCCCTGCCGCATCCCCCAGAGCTCCGTCAAACCGAGGTGGGGTGGGCCTGGGAGGGAGCCCCAGCCTCCCCTTGGAGATGGGCCTGGTGTGAGCCGCCGAGCTGCCTCCCTGACCCGGCTGGGTAGAAGCCCTTTGAATACTATCCTGGGGTTGCCGGCTGCACCCCCACAGATGCCACAGCTGCCTCCCTGCATCCCTGTGCACCATCCCAGAAGGAAACAAATGCAATTTTCAGAGACAAGAGCCTGCTGAGGTCAGCAAAGCCCCTCTCTGTCCATGCTTCTGTGTGCCTCTGGCTGTGCACGCGTGGCTGGGTTTTCTGAAAGAACCAGAGTGAGAGAGGGGTGCCATCTTGTGGAGGGACCCTCTGTGGCCAGTCTGCTTGTGTGATCTCTGTGGACTGACTGGGAGTTGTGGCAAATATGGCCAGAAATGGGGCCTAGTCTCAGACTGTGTCCCGGGGTTATGTGGATTTAGGGTCAGTGAGGGGCATGGCCACTCAGGAGGCCACGCTTGGTAGATGGGAGACGGGAGTCAGGATGATGGCAGGGCCTGAGCAAAGCAGGGTGGAGAGGGAGGCTCAGAGAAGGGGGAGCCACCTGGCTTCCAGGATGAGGACAAGAGAAAGTCTGTCCTGACAGAGGCCCCATGACAGCTGCCCTGGGCCAGGATGTTTTGGGGAGGGGAGATTGCATCAGCGTTGAGCCATCCTCACTCCCTCCATCTGGAGGTGTGGGGCCCGGGGGCTTCTGTGAAAGGGGCCATGAATGGGCCCAGCCAGGAGACCCAGGGGACAAGGGCATCTGCAGGCCCTGTCAGTTCCATGTCCCCGATTTCCAGTTCACACCGTTTGCTCTTCTCTGCCCAGGGCCTGAAGCCAATGGACCACAATGGGCTGGCAGACCCCTACGTCAAGCTGCACCTGCTGCCAGGAGCCAGTAAGGTGAGGGGTTCCACCCAGGCCTGCCCACCAGCTGCACCCGCCCACCACCTCAGGCAATGCACTCTGGTCCTTTTGCTTTGGGGCCTGGACTGGGCTGCGGGCACCCAGGGAGGCCCACAGCTGCCACTCCCCTCAGAGTCCAAGCAAGCTGATGGGACCTCAGCCATTCAACTGCACACAGAGCACCCAGTCTGCCCCACACCCTGTTGCCTCCTGGGGACCTCACGAGTCAGCGTTACCTACCTGCTGATCTGGGGAAACCCCTGGAGAATTTCCAGGCCAGCATTTTATAAGAAGCATTCTCAGCTGGAAGTTACTATTAGGTGCAAACAAAGGACTCTGTGGTTAAATAACATGGGGAAACATTGTTAAACAGGTTTCTGTACCACAGGACTTCTCAGAGCATCTAACGTGTTGATGGGCTGTTCCCTGACTCTCCGCAAGGGGGATGAAGTGGGCAGAATCTGCCCCTCATTCCTACGCCGGATGACCCAAGCGTCCGACCACACATGTGCTCAGGGCACCAGCACAACAGGTGCATCTCGGACAGGAGAGAGAAAAATTGCTGTTAAATAAAAGCATCAAGGTGACCTTGAGCCATGGAAAGTCAGAACTTAATTAGACTTCCTTCTGTGCATCCTACACTTCAGTGCTGTTTTATTTTTAATTTCATGGGGCAGAGTCTGAGTTTACGTGGAGGCCTAAATGGGTAGGCCTGGGGCCCACAGCAGCCCAGGAGGACCACCCCAGAAGGGGCCCTTCCCCCTTCTCTAGGGAAGGCAGGACTGTAGGAGAAATGGCAGTGCCCCACCACCTACTCCTGGGGAAGAAATGGGCTCCCCACACAGGGTCTTGATGCCCTTATGCTGCAAGAAGGGCTCAGGGATATGAGGGCCGAGGGCGAGTATGACCAGGGAAGTGTGCTCAGTGACCCTTCATTTGTGGGACTGGAGCCGGCAGTGCATGGCTGCCGAGTTGTAGGAAGTCCCCAGGACTTTCCCTAGTGTTTTATAAAGAGCAGTCTCCTTACAAACAGCTCCTGAAAGCAATGGGAGAGAGGGATTCCTGTGCCCTTTCCACAGTGGGGAACCTGATGCTGCCACAGAGCTGGAATTGGAAGCCCAGGCTGTCTGACCTCCCAGCCTGGGCCGGGTGTGGCAGGCATCAGACCGATTCAGACAAGGAGCTCAGAGCCGCTGGCACAGGAGGAGGGAGTGGCAGCAATATTCCAGCTCGGAGAGGCCACCCCCGAGGCAGACCCAAGGACGGGATGGGTTCCAGGCAGAGGGGACGGTCCACAAAGGCAGGGAATGCCCTGGGAAGGAGACTCCAGTTCCACACAGGCCTCCTGCAGAACCTACCCCGTGGCATCGGGCTGGAGGTGGGGTCCTCCTTGGATGAGCCTCCTACGGCTGCTGCAACAAATGACCACAAACTTCGTGGCTTAAAGCAGCGCGTTTACTCTCGGACTGCTCTGCAGGTTAGAAGTCCAGCAGTGGTCTCTCTCTGGGCTAAAATCAAGGTGTCGGCAAGGCTGCATTCCTTCTGGAGCCCGGGGAGCCCACAGTTTCCTAGCTCCTTCCAGCTTCTAGAGGCCATCGGCCCTCCTGGGCTTGTGGCCCCTTCCTCCACCTTCACAGCGGGCCCCATTGCATCTCTCTGGCCCCCTTCCTTGGTGACGTCCCTGACTGTCTTCTCTGTCCATTCTTCTGCTTTTAAGAACCCTGTGACCACATTGGGCCACCCAACAATCTAGGATAATCTCCCTATTCTAATGTCAGCTCATTACCAACCCTAAGTCCACCTGCAGCCTCAGTCCACTTGGCCATGTTGATAACACATTCACAGGCTCCAAGATGAGCACGTGGCCATCTCTGGGGGCCATTGTTCTGTTTGATACACACTTTGATGCTAATAAGATCATTTTTCTCTTCTCCAGGCAAATAAGCTCAGAACAAAAACTCTCCGTAACACTCTGAACCCCACATGGAACGAGACCCTCACTTACTACGGGATCACAGATGAAGACATGATCCGCAAGACCCTGCGGTGGGTGAGGGTCCCAGGCCGCCTGCTCCCTCCCCAACCCCTACTCCCACCCGGCTTTTCCTAATGAAGGCAGGACTGGAGGGTCAGATGGTCCCCTGTGGGTTCAACCTCATGCCAGCAACTCCAGCTTGGGGGCTTGAAGAAAGGCAGAAAGGTCTGCCCACGCCAATGGAGCCTGGTGGGTGGAAAAGGGTCACCCTGGCCCCAGTCCCCTGAAGGTGCTTCCTGGGGCCTCTCAGGGTGCTGGAGGTGGTTCCCTCCAGAGAACCGGCTCTCCCAGCCTCCTGGCTACTCCTGGCACTGGTTCTGCCTTCTCCTGTCCCCTCTTCCAACCTGAGGACACTTGTCCATGAGGACAGTGCCTGATATCGTGCCACACTCTGCCCCTGTCAGGGCCCAGGCATCTTGTGCGTCTCCCACCCCAGACCAGGGCAGGGCTTGGGGCAGGAGAAGCCAGGGCTGGCCCTACCTGCGCACACCTCCACCATGCCCAGTGCGTCTGAGGCACTGGCTGTGCCCCTCACCACCGCCCCCTCTAGGATCTCTGTGTGTGACGAGGACAAATTCCGGCACAATGAGTTCATCGGGGAGACACGTGTGCCCCTGAAGAAGCTGAAACCCAACCACACCAAGACCTTCAGCATCTGCCTGGAGAAGCAGCTGCCGGTGAGAGGATTGATTGAGCACCTGCTGTGTACCTGGCTCGGTGGCAGGTGCTGGGAAGGCAGAACTTCCTGCCTGTGATGGGACTCATGAGGGGCAGAGTGAGAGGGGAGGGGAGACCGGGGAGGTGAGCATGGAGAGTCAAGGGGGTGGAGGTGAGGAAGGACCCTGGCTTTCACTCTGAGTGGCCACGGGAGGGTGCTAAGCTGAGGGATCATGGGGGATGACATTTTACCAGGCTCGCTGGCCTGGGCTCAGGATGGCTTGAAGAAGAGGGAGGAGAGGGCAGGAGGCCTGGGGAGATGGGGAGAGATGGGCACAACCCTGGCCTGACCTTGGCAGCGGTAGGAGGGCTTGATTCTGAACCAGATGTGCAGGCAGCAGATAGGACGTCCTTGGGTGAGGGAAGGGCAGATCCGAGGTTTGGGGCCTGAGCCACTGAAGCCTGAGGGGCTGTTTGCTGCACTCAGAGGACTCAGCAGGGACCACGGGTGGACAGGACGCGCAAGGAGCACGCTTGGAACATGTTAGACCTGAGTGCCTGTGAGATACGCAGAGGAGACAGCAGAGTATCCTTTCCTAGAAATGGCATTTGTCTCAACGTTATGTCAGAACAGATTTGCCCTCGGCCTGCTCCAGCAGCTACGCCCTCTGAGTCTTGGTCTCTATGTCCCTCTTCCCTCCCCCATCCTCCCTTGTCTATGGCCTCACCTTCACCTGGTTCATAGGGCTGGTGAAGCCAGGAGTCCCCCGTGCCACTGGGGTCAAGAGAAATCCTGGGGCCTCAGCCTCCCAGCGTTCAGGACACAGGCGGAGGCATGGTCCCCTCGATGGCACGTTGTCCCCCTAAGAGGACTGGGCAAGGGGCAAGTTTGGGAGGACAGAGCCCGGCGGCTGTCCCCAGTGTACCCAGCCCCAGTGGGGCCCGGGGACGTGGACTCACCTCGAGCTTAGCCCAAGTCAAGCCCCGGGGGCGAGTCAGCCTGAGGCCACGGCTTCTTCCCAGAATCCCAGTTACTTTTGCAGAATTTGATCCAATTTTATTCCTTGTCACATTCTCTCCCCCTCAGACATTTGTGTGATGGATATAACCTTTCCTGTTTTATTGTTAGTCACTAACCACAGGTAACCCGGTTTTTCCACATGGTCTATGTCACTTAAGAAAGGCAACATCTTAGGAGGCCAAGGCAGGTGGGTCATGAGGTCAAGAGTTCGAGAGAGCCTGGCCAACATGGCGAAACCCCGTCTCTGCTAAAAATAAAAAAATTAGCCGGGTGTGGGGGTGCATGCCTGTAATCCCAGCTACTCAGGAGGCTGAGGCAGGAGAATCGCTTGAACCTGAGAGGCGGAGGTTGCAGTGAGCCGAGATTGCACCGTTGCACTCCAGCCTGGGTGACAAGAGCAAGAGCAAGACTCTGTCTCAAAAAAAAAAAAAAAAAGCAACACCAGCCCTGCCTTAGTGTTCCTGAGTTTTCATCACTGGCATAAACAAACAACCACGTGGGTATGTACGTGGGGTGTCAGCGTGTGTGTGTGTGTGCTCGTGTGTGAATTGTGTGTAAGAGCATATGTCAGTACGTGTCTGTGTGCGACAGTGTGTGTGTCCACATGTGTGGTGTGCGTTCGTGAAAGCATGTGCGTCCCTGTGCGTGGCCATGATCAGGGCGTTGCTGGATGCGCTACCGGCCCATTGGTGCCGTTCAGGGACTCACAGTGACCGCAGGAGTGCAGCTGGGGATGCACCCCTGACAGTACAGCCACATTCTGGTGGTACTTTTATTATTATTATTTTTTGAGACTGAGTCTTGCTCTGTCATCCAGGCTGGAGTTCAGTGGCAAAATCTCTGTTCACTGCAACCTCTACCTCCTGAGTTCAAACAATTCTCATGCCTCAGCCTCCCGAGTAGCTGGGACTACAGGCGTGTGCCGCCACGCCTGGTTAATTTTTGTATATTTGGTAGAGATGGGGTTTCACCATATTGTCCAGGTGTCTCAAACTCCTGACCTTGAATGATCCACCTGCCTCAGCCTCCCAAAGTGCTGGGATTACAGGTGTGCGCCACCACGCCTGGCTAATTTTGGTATTTTTAGTAGAGACGGGGGTTCGCCATGTTGGCCAGGCAAGTCTCAAACTCCTGACCTCCAGTGATCCTCCTGCCTCGGCCTCCCAAAGTGCTGGGATTACAGGCATGAGCCCCTGTGCCAGGCCTCTGGCGGTAGGTTTTAGAATTTACAGTCTGCGAACATTATCTGTTTTAAGTCAATACTGAGCAAGACCCAGTGGTCTTCATATGAAACAACCCGAAGTACAATGTCCCACCCCTGAAAAAAGAGCTAAAAATATGCCTGCTGGTTGGTTGTTTTTTTTTTTTTTTTATGAGATGGAGTCTATGTCGCCCAGGCTGGAGTGCAGTGGCGCAATGTCGGCTTACTTCAACCTCCGCCTCCCGGGTTCAAGTGATTCTTCTGCCTCAGCCTCCCAATAGCTGGGATTACAGGCATGCGCCACCACACCCGGCTAATTTTTGTATTTTTAGTAGAGATGGGGTTTCACCATGTTGGCCAGGCTGGTCCTGAGCTGCTGACCTCAGGTGATCTGCCCGCCTTGGCCTCCCAAAGTGCTGGGGTTACAGGCATGAGTCACTGTGCCTGGCCCCTGCTAGTTTATATTGTTTAATTTTCACACCACACACACTGACACAAGCAGCACAGGGCATCAAGGCCCTCACACACAAAGCTCTGCCTGAGCGGCAGATAGCGAGATCTCGCAGGCCTGGCCTGATCCACCAGGAATGGCTGCCTGAGCACTGTGTTGAAAAGGATTCTGAGGTGGCATTGGAGCCTAGGGCAAATGCTAGGATCGATTAGCCATGTCTGCTCTGGGCGTGGGAGGTGGCGAAGGTGGCTGGTGGGGCATGTATGTCTTCCCTGCTCAACATCCCTGCTCACCTCACAGGAGTCTCATCTCCAGAAAGGGTTAGATGTAGCCAGAGGGACTCACTTTGGTGTTAGGCAGGGCACGGTTGTGGGCAAAAGGAGGTGGCTGGGGCTGCTTGGGAGAGGAGCCTGGTAGAGTCCTAAGGGGATCCAGGGGGACACAGGGCTCAAGCTGGGCGTGTGTGGGTGGGCTCAAGCTGGGTTTGTCTGGGGGGGCTGAGGGCCTAGGAGAGAGGGTTTGGGGTGTGCAGCAGCCAGAAGGAAGAAGCCGGGTAGTCTCGGGAGGGCAAGGAATGGAGAAGCATCAGGCTGGCTGGGGATGGGGAGGCCTGGAGCTGAGATCTGCCTTGAGAGGCAGGCACTGGCAGCTGCTGAGGCAGGGAAGGCACTGGATGGGCTCCCTACTTGGCTCCCAGCTTCTCCAGGGTGAGGAATGTACCAGAACTCTGTCTTCGGGGTTCTCCTGAGGGAGCCACATCCAGCACCCTGAGAGGCTCCAGGTAGCACCTTCAGGGAACTGGGGCCACGGTGACCCTTTTCCATCCACCAGGCTCCATTGTCATGGGCAGACCTTTCTGCCTTTCTTTGAACCTCCAGGCTGGAGTTGCTTGTATGAGGTTGAACGCACAGGGGACCATCTGTCCCTCCATTCCTGCCTTCACTAGTACAAGCCTCCAGTGGGCCCTTAGTGCCAGGGCCTTGCCCAGCCCTGAGGTATTAAAGATGACGCAGGTATTATCTGGATGCGGTGGCTCATACCTGTAATCCCAGCACTTCAGGAGGCTGAGGTGGGTGGATCACTTGAGGTCAGGAATTCGAGACCAGCCTGGCAGACATGGCAAAACCCTGTCTCTACCAAAAAATAGAAAAATTAGACTGTAGTCCCAGCTACTCAGAAGGCTGAGGCAGGAGAATCGCTTAAACCCGGGAGGCAGAGGTTGTAGTGAGCCAAGATCATGCCACTGCACTCCAGCCTGGGTGACAAGAGTCAGACTCTGTCAAAATCAAAATTTACAGGTAGAGTTCCAACTTCAAGGAACTTAGAGGCTGGGGCAGAGCCCTGAGGAAGCAGGGGGCCACACCAGGCCATGACAGGATAAACCCGAGGCAGTGGGCGCGCAGAGGGGACGGCCAACCCACCCTGAGGGTCAGAAAAGCCCCCCAGGCCCAGAAGGACCAGGAATTTATCAACGGTGAACACTGAGGAGGTCAGAGGAGGGTGCTGGAGCTGTGGATTAAGGGTGCGCAAAGGTGTGGAGGTGGGACCCGGCTTCAAAGCCAAGGGAAAGTCCGGGCGGGCTGTGAGGAGGACCTGGTGGAAGACCGTCCGCGGAAGCCGAGCGCGCCAGGCCGGGGGCTGCAGACCCGTGAAGGGCCGCTTAGCGCTAATGTTAGGCTCTGTGTGCCTCGCAATCTGTGGCCACCATGCAGCTCTGTCCTTAGGGCAAAAGCAGCCATAGAGAAGCATCACGGAGCTGGCAAGGCTGCGTTCCAACAACACGGTGTTAATGGAAGCTGAAGTGTGAATTTCATGTCATTTTCATGTGTCACAAAATATTTTTCATTTCATTTTTCTTTCTGCCATTCCAAAAAGTAAGAACCAGCTGGGCACGGTGGCTCATGTCTGTAATCCCAGCACTTTGGGAGGCCAAGGTGGGAAGATCCCTTGAGCCCAGGAGTTTGAGATCAGCCTGGGCAAAATAGTGAGACCCCTGTCTCTATTTTTTTGAAAAAGAAATTGTTTAAGATAAGGGTAAGAGCCATGCTTAGCTCACATCCCACACAGAGCCAGGCGTCGGGCCTGATCTGGCCCCCGGGCTGCAGTTGCCAACCCCTGGGCTGGCCCTTGCTGGGCTGTGAAGGCCACCGTAGGCCACATGCAGCCAAGAACAGGGAGGGTGTGGGTCAGATCCAGCCCTGGAAGAGCCCTTGGGAGGGAAGAGATGACAGAAGGGCTGTGAGTTCACAGTGAGGCCACTCACCAGGGACCGTGACCAGGCCCGGCTGCAGCAGCCGGATGGGCGGGCTCAGGAAGAGGAGGCCAAGGACGGCCAAGAGAGGGGTGGGAGCAGGTGAGGACTGAGTGACCGTCCCGTCCAACAGGTGGACAAGACTGAAGACAAGTCCCTGGAGGAGCGGGGCCGCATCCTCATCTCCCTCAAGTACAGCTCACAGAAGCAAGGCCTGCTGGTAGGCATCGTGCGGTGCGCCCACCTGGCCGCCATGGACGCCAACGGCTACTCGGACCCCTACGTGAAAACGTGAGTGTGCCGTGCGCGTGACCACCTGCCACGTCTTCACCTCCAAGGACGGGGGTCCGTGTGCCGGCTCCGTGGTCCCAGGTGGCAGGCACCCAGGGAGTGCCTGAGGTACAGGGGCGCTGTGTTCCCTGATGGGCTACCTTGGCAACTCCAGGGGTTAAGCATGGCCAGCCCATTTCACAGATGGGGAAACTGAGGGACAGAGAAGCTGAGTGGCTTCCCAGGGTCATGCAGGTATTAGTTATCACCTGATGCTATGTCCAGGCCTCTCTGTGACTGAGGGGCCCAGGAGGGGCCATGAGTTGCAGGAGGGGACAGAAGGCGGGGCCAGTGCCGGGGGTAGCCAGGAGGCTGGGGGAGGATGCAGAGGAACTCTGCCAGGCCTTTGCAACTGCCCACATTTGCCCAGCCCTATAATGGTGCTACAGATGCGGATAAGAGTCCACCCAGCTCTACCAACAGGGCTGATGGTGGGCCTGGGGAGAGACACTAACTCAGGGGGCCATGCCAGGTGGCCTGGGCCGCAGAGCTGTGGAGCTGTGAGCCTGGTCAGGAGAGGCTGTGTAGCTCTGAGAGCCAGGCAGGAGCTGGCGACCCTTTGGAGAGGGTGCTACAGGTGCCACAGTGACTACCGTCAGTGCTCGGGGCTCTTCAGAAACTAGGTAGGTATGAGTGTGAGCTCACAGGGAGACTCTGGAAAACTGAGACTTGGGGAGGAATTTAGTTCAGCAGAAAGGAGGGGCAGGTGCTTCAGGGAGGGGGAATGACAGAGGGATGGCCCTGACCTAGGGGACACCAAGGACCCAGGTGACTAAGGCCTCAGGGACATCTTGGCACCATGAAGAGGCCAGTACTCCTCGTGGCACAGCTCTAGGGGCACCATTCCCATGGCCATGATCATATTTCTGTCACTTTAAAAATTGTATGTGGCAGGTGCAGTGAGTTACACTTACATTCTGAACACTTTGGGAGGCCAAGGCAGGAGGATTGCTTGAGGCTAGGAGTTTGAGACCATCCTGGGCAACATAGTGAGACCTCCATCTCTATAAAAAAATTAAAAATTAGCCTGGTGTAGTGGCATGTCCCTGTAGTCCTAACTACTTGAGAGGATTGCTTGAACCCAGGAATTTGAGACCAGCCTTGGCAACATACTGAGACCTTGTCTCTACAGTTAAAAATAGTAATAAATTAGGCTGAGTGCAGTGGCTCGTGCTTGTAATCCCAGTACTTTGGGAGGCCGAGGCGCACGGATCACCTGAGGTCAGGAGTTTGAGACCAGCTTGGCCAATATGGGGAAACCCGTCTCTACTAAAAATAAAAAAATTAGCTGGGTGTGGTGGCGGGCGCCTGTAATCGCAGCTACTTGGGAGGCTGAGGCAGGAAAATCACTTCAACCTGGGAGGTGGAGATTGCAGTGAGCCGAGATCACACCACTGCACTCCAGCCAGGGTGACAGAGCGAGACACTCTCAAAATATAATAAACAAATAAAAATAATATGAGAATAATGGGATGGCCACTTTGGGAAGCAGCTGATAGTTCCTCAGAAAGTTAAACACAGAATCACCATTTGATCTGGCAATTCCACTCCTTGTTATATACCCAAGAGATAAGAAAAACATGTCCATCCTAAAACTTGTGCAGGAATGTTCATAGCAGCACTATCCACAACAGCCAAAAGTGGAAACACCCCAAGTGTCCATCCACTGATGAATGGATACACAAATGAAGTCTGTCCCTGCAGTGGAATATCAGCCCTAAGAAGGAGTGTAGCAGGTGCGTGGAATATCAGTCATAAGAAGGAGTGTAGCAGGTGCGTGGAATATCAGCCCTAAGAAGGAGTGTAGCAGGTGCGTGGAATATCAGCCCTAAGAAGGAGTGTAGCAGGTGCGTGGAATATCAGCCCTAAGAAGGAGTGTAGCAGGTGCGTGGAATATCAGCCCTAAGAAGGAGTGTAGCGGGTGCGTGGAATATCAGCCCTAAGAAGGAGTGTAGCGGGTGTGTGGAATATCAGCCCTAAGAAGGAGTGTAGCAGGTGCGTGGAATATCAGCCATAAGAAGGAGTGTAGCAGGTGCGTGGAATATCAGCCCTAAGAAGGAGTGTAGCAGGTGCATGCTACACTGTGGGAGGACCTTGGAAACAAGATGCTAAGCGAGAGAAGCCAGACACAGACGGCCACGTGTTGCAGGACTCTATTTCTATGACGTGTCCAGAATAGGTCAACCCACAGAGGCAGAGAGTAGATTTGTGGTTGCAGGAGCCAGGGGAAGCTTGAGGGGACATGGGCAGTGTGTAGAATGTGGTACTATGAAGTTAAAAATGAATAAATTTGAACTAGAGGAATTATTATAACACGGACAGCTGTCGAAAACACAACAAACGACACACACAGTAGGATACTGGTTTGCGTATATATATGTTTTTTCTTCTGATTTGTCATTGACTTGAATTTCACGCGTATATATCCTTGCAGGAGGATATGCAATCTGAAGCCAAAATGGTGTGATTTTTTTTTTTTTGAGACAGAGTCTTACTCTGTTGCCCAGGCTGGAGTGCAGTGGCGTGATCTCAGCTCACTGCAACGTCTGCCTCCCAGGTTCAAGCAGTTCTCATCCCTCAGCTTCCCAAGTAGCTGGGATTACAGGCATGCGCCACCACGCCAGGCTAATTTTTGTATTTTTAGTAGACGGGGTTTCACCATGTTGGCCAGGCTGGTCTTGAACTCCTGACCTCAAGTGATCCACCCACCCTGGCCTCCCAAAGGGCTGGGATTACAGGCGTGAGCCACTGTGCCCGGCCTATGGTGTGACATTTTTAAACCAGTTTCAATGCCCACCTGCCAGATGGACAGGAATTCCAGGGTCACCTGCTGGGTTGCCCAGAAAGCAGAGTCTTACCTGCTGTGACAGATGGTCTGGTCAACTTCCACAGGCAGGCGGGGGGCCATCTGGGCAGGGCCTGTCCACTGTACCACAAGCTCCTCCCTGCCACAGGTGGCTGCTGTGGGTGCTGCTGGACCCCTGCAGCTGGGTCCCACCTGCCAGCCGTGGGCCAGGTCACGTGGCCTTTCAAAGACAGGCCGAGCTGTGGGCCACTCCCTGTATCTGAGCCACGCCTCACCCGAGACCTCCACATCTGTTTCAGACACCCTGGGTGAGACACGACGGCTGCTGCTCGGGGCTCCTCAGGGGTCCCCGTCTCTGAAAGGCCCCTTCATGGACCAGGGGCCTCTTCCTCACTAAAGCAGAGGAAATAAGGGCACAGATTAGATGGTAAGAGGGGCACCCCTCAGCTGCATCCTAGACCTGGAAGAGAGTGTGACCTGTGCCCCAGAAGAAAGGGAGGGACGTATCTAGCGGTTGATGCTGAGGGCCAAAGCTAGATGGGTCAAGGCCTTTTGTCTGCACTATTATTTTTATTTGTTTTCTTTATTTCTTCCTTTCTTTTTTGAGACAGTGACTCACTCTGTCACCGGGCTGGAATGCAGTGATGCGATCACAGCTCACAGCAGCCTCAAACTCCTGGGCTCAAGCAGTCCTTCCCCCTCAGCCTCCTGAGTAGCTGGGACTACAGGTGTGCACCACCACGCCTGGCTAGTTGTTTTTTGTATTTTTTGTAGAGACTGGGTTTTGCCGTATTGGCCAGGCTGGTCTCAAACTGCTGGACTCAAACGATCCTCCTAGCTCGGCCTCCCAAAGTGCTGGGATTACAGGTGCAAGCCACCATGCCCAGCTAGCACCATTATTTTTATAAAGCTCATCTCTGGTGATACTTGCCCCAGTTTCCCCAGGCCGGAAGTTGACCCCAGGCCCAGCTCTTGAGGGTTTGATGGAAAACCCCAGGAGTAGCAGTGCCTGTGACAATCGCTGACATGTCGAGTTACACGTAATATCCCTGAGCTGCGCGATGGCTGCGTGTGACGCGCTCAGCAGCCTGTGCGGTCGCTCCTGTTGTTATCTCCATTTCATGCCCGTGAAAATGGCAGTAACTGGCAGCAACGTGCTGTGCCACCCTGGGCAACTCCCTTCTCTGGCTGTCTTATGTATAACCAGAAGGGGTTTCTTCTCAAAGCCACAGGCAAGCAGAAGGCACTGTGCAGAGGGCTCAGAGGTACACGGCACAGGGCGGCTCCGTGAGCCCCGGTGGCCAGGACCACTGTCCTGACAGCAAGGGAGGGAGAGACGCCACAGGGCGGGCCTCAGGGGCTTTGCAGGGTGGGCTTGTGCCAGAGTAGGGTATGCTCAGGGAGGGTGCTGAGGGATTTCCCCAGAGTGGTCAGGTGAGGAGGGAAGGGCACTTCTGGTAGAGAAAACAGCAGAACAGAGGGCAACGCTGGCGGAACTGTCCATGGCTGAAGGTGCCGAGGCTGGAGCCTGTCGTGGAAGTCTGGTGGCTGAGTGAGGGGTCACCAGATGGGCACAAGTTGTCCAGGCTGAGGGTGCAGAGATCCCAAAACAACTTTCCTTCCAGGGGCTTGTGAAGGCAGGGCACGCAGGACCCTTCTGTCCCTGCTCCTCACCCGTCACCAAACAGGCCAAGGACAGTTCACAGCAGACACAATATACCAATACCTAGAGAAATGGCCAAGGAGCATAGTAAGTAACTAAGGAAATCCGCTGTCTCCGGGTGGCGGGCTTAGGGGAATCCCCCCAAACTTTTTTAAAATCAGGTTTATTGAGGTACAGGTTGAGCGTCCCAAAGCTGTAAATCCAAAACCCCAAACATTCCAAGCACCGACATGACGCTCAAAGGGAATGCTTATTGGCGCGTTTGGGATTTCAGATTTTTGAATTTTTGAGTTAGGGATGCTGAACTGGTAAATATACTGCAAAGATTACAAAATATGAAAAAATCCAAAATTCAAAACATCTGGTCCAAGCATTTCAGATAATGGATCCTCAACCTGTATCATTCATATCCAGTGAGTTTTTCTTTTCTTTTCTTTTTTTAGAGACAGGGTTTTGCTCTGTTGTCCAGGCCAAAGTGCAGTGGCGCAATCATAGCTCATTGCAGCCTTGAACTCCTGGGCTCAAGCATCTTCCCACCTCAGCACTGTGAATAGCTGGGACTACAGGCATGCACCACCATGCCCAGCTAATTTTTAATTTTTTGGTAGAGATGGGGTCTCGCTGTATCACCCAGGCTGGGACAGTCTTGTTTCCACCACCAGAATCAACACAGAGAATATGACCCCAGAAAGTTCCCTGGCCCCAGGCAACCACTCACCTGTTTTCTGTCTCAATGGTGTTGCCGTTTCCAGACTTTCCCATGAAACAGTCAGATAGTGTGTTGCCCTGTGAGTCCGGCTTCTTTCACACGGAGGAATGCGTTTGAGATTCATCTGTCAGTTGCATGTACCAGGAGTTTGGTCCTTTTTGTTGCTAAGTGGTCTTCCATTGTGTGGGTAAACCACAAGTTTGTTGTTGATGAGTTCCCCAGTTGAAGGGCGTGTGGTTGTTTGCAATTTTTGGTGATGGTAGAAAGCTGCAATGAACAGGTTTTTGTGTGGACATATGTCTTCATTTCTCTCTCCTAATCCCAACTTTTGTCCACATGCATTTTCTAGTGCTTCTGTAATAAACCAGTATTATTTATGCCATGAAAGTCACAATTTTAAAATATGCAAAGTAAAGCAACTATGAGATATCATTTTCTGCCTCTCAAACCAGCAAGGAGTTTTTAAATGATAGCATTCAGCTTTGTCGCAGGCACTGTGTGTCAACCATGCAGCCTTTCTGGAGAGGAACTGGGCAGAATAAGCTGGACATGGGCGTGTCTTTGGGCGGTGCCTTCACTTCTAGGGATGCAGGTTAAGCTGGACATGGGCGTGTCTTTGGGCGGTGGCTTCACTTCTAGGGATGCAGGTATTCGCTGGACAGATGTTTGTTAAGCTCCCTGGTGCCAGGCCCAGGGAGTTGGTCGTGGGTGAGACCCCAGAGACCCCAGAGCACATTCAGCAGGGACAAGGCAATTGTCATGCAATTATCTATGCAGGAACAGGGTGAGAAGCTTTGCAAAGAAGTTGGGGACCTCTTGTCCCCTTCTCCAGCCTGCACATGACCTCCCTGTCATAGAGAAAGGAGTCTGAGCCTGGCTTTCAAGCACCACGCTTGTGCTTGCAGGCTGTGTGACCTTGGGCAAGTCACTCCCCCTCTCTGAGCCTCAGAGGAAGACAGCTGTTCTGCATCAGAGCCTAAGGCCTTAGTGGCTGTGGAGGGAAGAACATCTAGGTGGCCTCCGTGTGACTGCACAAAAGGTCTTGTCCTTCCTCAAAGCTCCAATGGAGGTAGTGGTGATGGATGTACAACTCTGGGAGTCTACTAAAGGCTACTGCGTTTTACACTTCAGAAGGATGGATTTTATGGTATGTGAATTATATCTCAATAAATCTGCTATTTTATAAAAGAAGCTTGAGGCCGGGGGTGGTGGCTCACGCCTGTAATCCCAGCACTTTGGGAGGCCGAGGCAGGTGGATCACCTGAGGTCAGGAGCTAGAGACCAGCCTGGCCAACATGGTGAAACCCTGTCTCTACTGAAAATACAAAAATTACCTGCGCATGGCGGCACATGCCTGTAGTCCCAGCTACTCTGGAGGCTGAGGCAGGAGAATCACTTGAACCCGGGAGGCAGAGGTTGCAGTCAGCCATCTGAAAAAAAAAAAGAAGTTTGAACAAGAGACCAACTCTGCTAAAAACTCTGTTCTGGTGGGAAATGTGAGCTTTATGAAAATTAGACTTCCAGAAATGAGGAAAAACCCCTTTCCTAGGGGGATGGAGGGCGCCCCCCAGGGTTAACTTCAGGAATGTGTGTGTGAACAGAAGTGCGGTGGATGAAGGGACCACTTGCTTCTCGAAAACAACGTCTCGCCTTTGCCACAAAATAGCGTTGGGAAAATCCAATGATTAGGACAAAAGAAGGGCCCAGGAATCTCTCTCCAGGGACAGAAAGCTCTTTGAATACCTGCTGGCTTGATCTATACCCCATAGCATGTCCCCATCCTCTGCCTGTCCGTTGGATGTAATTCCAGATACCTGAGGCCAGATGTGGACAAGAAATCCAAACATAAGACAGCGGTGAAGAAAAAAACCCTGAACCCGGAGTTTAATGAGGTATGAGGGGCTGGTGAAGCTTCATGAAGGCCATTCCTCTGCCCCACAGCAGTGGGGGTGTGGCTGGGTTTTCAAAAGGTCATGGCGGGATGGGGAGGGTGGTCAGAGACGGTGGGGAGGGGCCGCACCAAGCCACAGACACAGGGGAGCTGGGGGACCCCTGGAAAGCTCTTGGCAGGACTTGTCGGATGTAGGGCTGGGGGGAGGGAAGTGTTGAGGGGAGTCCTCGGTTCCTCATGGAGGCAACAGGGCAAAGAGGGGGTGAGGAAGATGGGGAGAAACTCTGTGTGGGGCAAGGGGACTCGAGACACCCTGGGGCCCCAGGAAGTCTTCCGCCCAAGGCGGCAAGTACGGCTGGAAATGCGGATTCCCCCCAAGGAACAAGAAGGAAAGAAGAGCAGAGGGGCCTTGGGTAGAGCCCACACCACACCAGTGATCCAGAGGCAGGCAGGGGAGGTCAAGATGCTTCCAGAGAGTGAGGGGAACCCCGGATGGAAGGGAGGGTCCCACAGAGAAGGGAGGGGTCAGCAAAGCCAGGCCCCAGAGAGGCCCAGGATGACAAGGACTGTGGGGCGTGCAGTGCCTCTGCAGTCAGGAGGCTCCCGGGGTGTGGGGAGAGCAGGCTCAGGGACAAGGAGCAAGCGGGCGAGGGGACAGGGGCCCTGAAGACCCCAGTGGAGCTCAGGGGGAAGTGGGCGAGACATGTGAGCATCCACCCATCATCCACTCTGAGCACTGATCACCCCCATCCCTCCTCTGTCCCTACACCTCATACCCCTCCTGGCCCCCGGCGGAGGCCCAGGCCCAGGCATCAGCCCTAACACTCCCTTCTTGCCAGCAGGAGTTCTGTTACGAGATCAAGCATGGGGACCTGGCCAAGAAGTCCCTGGAGGTCACCGTTTGGGATTACGACATTGGAAAATCCAACGATTTCATTGGTAAGGGGGCATAGTGGGAACACCGTCTCACTGTGTGCCTGTCCTGGATCAGGCCACAGCCCCTCTTTCCTGGTCCATGGGGAAAGCTGGAGCCACGGACCACCTGCCCCTAGGTCAGGGGCCTCAGACCTTCTCCAGCCTGACCCTTGTGCCCCAGGAAGAGACAGGCCCAGGGATGGAAGGAGTTCTGGGAGGGTCACACAGCACTCTGTGGTGGAGCACAGACAAGAGACAATGATGGGCAGTGCCTCGGGCTGGACTCTGAGCCCTAGAGGCCCCAAATTCCCAGTGGGCCTGGTGGCTGCGCATAGTGGGGCTGCCCGGCCCTTTCTCCCCTCTTCAGGCCCCCATTCCTTGACCCCTGATGCTGCCTCTGCACCCTGCCCCTATCCCTGCCCTGGTGGAAGAGAGACAGGATGGCTGGGCCCTGACGGGGCCAGAGTGTGGCATGGAGGTCAGGTCCTGTTCATGCTCAGAACCCAGCGGGCAGTGGGAGAGGCTGGCCTTCGAGCACAGAACCTGGGAGGGGGCATGGGCCCCACGCCTGGGAGTTGGGGGTCCCTGTGCCCCAGCTGCCCCTCCTGTCCTCCTGCAGGTGGTGTGGTTCTGGGCATCCACGCCAAGGGGGAGCGCCTGAAGCACTGGTTTGACTGCCTGAAGAACAAGGACAAGCGCATCGAGCGCTGGCACACGCTCACCAGCGAGCTCCCAGGGGCTGTGCTCAGCGACTGACGCCCACCCGCCACTGCTACCCCTGCCGCCACCTGCGCCCAGCACGGCCGGCCCCGGGCTTCCCCAGCAGCCACCAAGGCCTGTGGCCCCCACACTGGGGGAGATCCAGAACCCCTGCTTGGACACAGAGCCACTGCAGTCCCCGCTCGGAGGATGTGGAGGGCTCAGCCACTCTGGGACGGGGAGGGCAAGGAGCTGGGGTGGGGGGCTCTCAGCTCTCTGGGGCCCAAGAGGCCGGTGGTGGAAAGAGACCTCAGCACCTGCCCAGGGGAAGGGGACACGCCCATCTGGGAGCAAAGACCCTTCTAGAGGCCAGCCCCGGCTGAGAGGACAGGAGTGTGGGGGCGCCTTGGCGGACAGTGGGAACAGAGGAGGGAGGTGGTGAGCAGACAGACAGGTGGAGGATGGGACCTTGAAGACTGGCTGCTCCAGCCCAAGAAAGCCTAACTGCATCCCTCATCTCCTTCGCTGCTGGACAGATGGAAGAAGCGGGCCTGCCGGCCGAAAGTCTGCCAGAGTTCCCGGAGGCTCCTGATGATGGGTAAATTGGCACATGCTTCACTCAATGATTCCACAAGCCCTGGGGGTGAATGAGACACAGGGCCTGCCCTCAGGGAGTTCCCATCTAGTCAGGAAGCTGGGAACAAACCATTCCAACTGGGGTGAGAAATACCAAGACCAGCTTGGCCAGTCTGCAAGTACCGTGGGCTCTGCTGACTCTGCCGGGAGGTCAGGGACGGCTTCCTGGAGGAGGCGGTGCTTCCGTAAGGCCTTGGAGGGTGAGTGAGGGCTTCTAAAAGCAGTCCAGGCAGTGGGAGTGGTCTAAAACGCCTGGAGAGAGAAAGCCAATGGGGCCGGGGTGCTGTGGACCCAGGGTCTCCTCTCCAGGGGAGGGTTTGTTAGGAAGGTGTGAGGCTCGAGGCAGGAGGTGGGGGACGTGATGGAAACACCATGGAGAAACTGGTGTAGGCTCAAGTTCAGACCTCAGACCCAAGTCTCCCACTCTGATCTCTTTCTACTCCTGAGGGACCTCAAGGACGGAGCCCGCCCCTCCTCCTTCCTGGCATAAGCATCAGGTCAGCTGCAGTGGAGAAAAGGGTCCCTTGTGCTTGGGAAAAAAAGCAAGCATTCCTACACGTCCTGACTCTGCCCTTTCCCCTCCCCTCCACTCCATGGCTCACACTGGGGGCCTCCGGGTGCTTGCTCGTGGCATCTTGGTCCCACTACCGCCACAGATGTCCCTTTTGGGAGTAATCAGTGGCCGTCCAGGGCCTTGTCTCTGGGGAGGCCTGTGGGGCCAGCTCCACCCTCCAGGAGCTGAGCAAGAATCACCCTGGCTGGTGGGCCTGTCTGCTCCCCTGAGTGAGACTCCCCAGGAGGCTTGAGAGTATCTGAATCTTGGGGCCCATGCCTGAAGCCCACAAACTTTCTCTGCCTACCAAGGGCCCCTCAGGAACGCTGGGTGAACAAATGCAGAGCCAAGGAGTTGCACAGCCAGAGTCCCAGTGTGCTCAGCCCATCAGTGTGTGATGGAAACAGGCCCAGAGAGGTCAGGTGACCTGCCCAGGGCCTTCCAGGCCCCACACAGCTGGAACCAGGATCCACAGCCCCCAGCCCAGAGTGCTGGACACCACGCTTCAGGGGAATTGGCGTGCTGAGCTCACACCAGAGAGGTCCTGCTAGCTGCCAGCCTGGGGCTCCCCCGCCTGCTGCCCACCCCTTCAACACCGATAGAGGGACTCACAGGCACGACGGTGGGACCTTCCACTGCAGACACAAAGCACACCACCACCTGAGGTCCAGGGTTATGATTTGAATCCTACCAAGTGCCCATCAGGCCTTTCCCAGGTTGCGGGGAAAACAGGACCCCAGCCCCCACACAGTCCCTGGCCACCTGCTGCTCCTGGAGACTTGTCTCCCTGCCTTTAGGAAGGGTTTTTGTGTGAAGGTTTTTGCATGCACTGGTCTGAACGCATGTTCACAGCCCTGCAAGGTGGGTTTGATTCTCATCCCCATCTTGCAGGTGAAACAGGTTCCCAGAGTCTGAGTAGTTTGCCAAGGCCACACAGCCAGGAAGGGGTGAACCAGGACTCAAACCCAGGTCCTCTGACTGCCGCTTTCTCTCTCTGGGGGTCGGTACCCCCAGTCCCTTCCCTCTTGGTCTGTCGGAGACTCAGCAGAGACACCAGGTGAAGGCTCAGTAAGCTCAGGTGCATGATGGAGACCTGGGGTCTTGTCACTGTCCTGCCACCTCATCCGCTGGCTTTGAAACCATCCGTGCTACTTCAGGCTTCCCCAGAGGTGTCTAACCTGGCCCCAAAACTCAGCCACCCCACCCTAGCCTCTGGGGGCTGAGGCAAGGGCTCCTCTTTTCTCCACACAGAATGGGCACCCTCTGGGGGCCTAAGGTAAGAGGTGGTCTATTTCTAAAAGGCCTGGTGTCTAGTTAAGCTCTGGGTATCTTCTTAGCTTTGCTTTTTTGGGGGTCTCATTCAGAGAGGAGATTTGACAGCCTCTCTGAAGACACAGAAGTGAATGGCAAAGCGAGAAGAGGCTGTACCCCCCACCTACCATGACTTCCTTATTAGGCACATGGGGAATGTGAGGCCCAGTGGGTGAAAGGGGCCTGAAGGGGCACAGCTGGGACAAGAACCCAGAACTCCAGCCCCCCAGTCCAGGGCCCTCTACTGCCCAGGCTGTGCAAATGGGGCTGGGACCGAAAGATGGGGACAGTCAGGCTGGGAGGCGGGCTTACTGGCCAGCCAGCCCAGGGGCAGCACAGGCACTCGGGCAGGAACTCCCCAGGAAGTTTGGATCCTTCCTTCCCTAGGATCTCAGCACCCTTTTAGATCCCGTGCAGATTGTCTTTCTGTTAAAGCGTTTTGAGGCACGATGGCTCACGCCTGTAATTGCAGCACTTTGGGAGGCCGAGGCTGGCGGATCACCTGAGGTCAGGAGTTCGAAACCCGCCTGGCCAACAGGGCGAAACCCCATCTCTACTAAAAATACAAAAATTAGCCGGGTGTGGTGGCGCACGCCTGTAGTCCCAGCTACTCAGGGAGGCTGAGGCACGAGAATCGCTTGAACCCGGGAGGTGAAGGCTGCAGTGAGCCAAGATCGCGGCACTGCACTCCAGCCTGGGCGACAGAGCAAGACTCCGTCTCAGAAAAAAAACAAACAAACAACGCTTTGAGAAGCTGCAGAAGCGGCTCTGCCTTTGACCCCGAATGGGCATCTTTACTCGGGTCCATCATCCCCACAAAGACAGGAAATCTGATGCCAAAAAAAAAAAGTCATTCCAGGTGTCAGTAACCAGGCGCTGCCTCCAGCGCCGCCCCGCCCGCCGCCCCGCCCGCCGCCCCGCCCGCCGCCTGCGCCAATCCCCGACGGGCCCGTCTTCCAGCCCCGAAGCGGTCACCTCCTGACCTCTAGTGGCGAGCGCGGGGAACTGCGCCCCGGCCCGTCCGCCCGCCGAGCCCGGGCCGTGCATGCCGAGCCCGTTGTTCCTTCGCAAACCGAGTGAACCTCCCGATGCATGGACTCTGGCTGTCGTCGACGCAGACTCTCGTGCACTGCTTAACCCCGTTTTGCTGCCATGTGACGGCTGCAGACACTGTCCTCAAACTGCAGTCCCACAGACAAGTTTTGTATTTTGGTCTGACCTACCCGAAGGTGTCCTTTTTAAGTCTTATTTGTTAATATTTATAATGACATATAATCCAAAGTAAATGGAAACGTCATATTGCGATCTCATTGCCTTGGCGAGACTCTCACCTTTTAATAGATTTGAAGGGGTGGGGGCGGTGGCTCACGCCTGTAAGTCCTAGCACTTTTGGAGGTCGAGGTGGGAGAATTGCTTGAGGCCTGGAGTTCGAGACCAGCCTGGTCAACATGGAGAAACCACGCCTCTACACACACAGAGACACACACAATGACAATTAGCCTAGCGTGGTGGCACACACCTGTAGCCCCAGCTTTTCAGGAGGCTGAGGTAGGAGGAGGAGGATCGCTTGAGCCTGGAAAGTGGGGATTGCAGTGAGCCGAGATCACGCCACCGCACTCCAGCCTGGGCAACAGAGGGAGACCTTGTCAAAAAAAAAAAAAAAAGATTTGGAAGGGTAGGAGGGGAGGGTGGAAAGACGGAGGAAAAGGCAACTGAAACCTACTCCGGATATAGTCTTGTTACTCTTCACCAGGGACCCATTTGAGGTAGGCCCTCAAGTTACAGATGGGGAAACTAAGGCCCAGAGAGGTTAAAATACTTTTACAGAATCACACGGCTGGTCGATGGCAGAAGCAGGATTCAAACTGAGGCAGCCCAAGACATTTTGCACCAGGACCTGTCGACCATGCTGTTGTCCACTCATCCAACAAACAGCCGTGGAGTATTGACTAACGCCAGCCCGTCTGAGGCTCCAAGAGTCTTACGTTTTGGAAGGTAATTTAAGACATGTACTGCTTAGGTTTGGAGGGAAAAAAATAAACCTTCCTAACCACAGATTAGTGTATTAGGACTAGTAGCAATCCCCACACTTTATATTTTCATTCCACCTTGTTAGAAAATGTTGATCAATTGTTGAATACAGTTTATTGTACATCATTCTTTAGGTCAGAAATTTCTCGAGATAAAAGCCTTTGCTTTCTAACATCGACTAACGAAGAAAATGTATGTCATTGAATATGCAAACCTCTCAATCTCTTTCCTCTATGTCCCCCTTCAGGGTCAGGGTCAGGGTTTAGGGTCGGGGTTAGGGTCTAGGATCAGGATTAGGGGTTAGGGGTTAGGGTTCAGGCTTGGGTTCGTACTAGGTCCAGGTCCAGGTCCGGGTCAGCGTTTCGCATTTAGTCAGGGTTGGGTGTTCGGTTTTGGCCGGGTTAGGGTGGGTTAGGACTCGGGTCATAGTTTTGGGTTGGTGCGGTCGGCATCCATGCTGGAATTTCCTTTCCGGCTGTCACCGTGACCGTAACCTGAATTCTGGTTCCACTGCTCTCCCCTGTCTAGTTATCAGGGCTCTTTTCACCGCTGGCTCCATTCATTGCTCGCTCCTCCTGCTTATCTCTCCTGTCCAATCTGCAGAGCTCGCCACCTTCTTGTTCCGCCCTCTTTTCCCTAACATCCAATAGCAGCCTTCTCCGCAGTCCTTGCTCCTACCACTCCTGTCTCTTGCCCAATCAGCAGGCTTTACCAATGCTTACTCCGCCCACTTCTCTCTCTTGTCCAATTGGCAGGGTCTCCTCAGTGCTCGCCCCACCTACTTCATGCCCGTCCAATTGCAGGATCTCAGTGCTAGCCCCGCCCGCTTCTCGCTCCTATCCAACCAGTAGAGACTCTACCAGTGCCCACCCTGCCCACTTCTCTTTCTTATCCAATGACAGGATCTCCTAGTGCTCACTCCGCCCACTTCTCTCCCCCATCCAATCAGCGAGCTCTGCCAGTGCGTTGCGTTCCTGTCCTTGGGGGAGGGAGTCCGGGGTCTCTCGGGGAAACGGAAACGCAGGCTCAGATGTGCGGGTCCAGTTAGGGTCAGGGTCAGGGTCAGGGTCAGGGTCAGGGTCAGAGTCAGGGTTAGGGTGGTTAGGGTTAGGGTTAGGCAAAAGGAGCATGGAGAGAAAGGCCTTCCTCTCTCCTCATGGGCTTACAGAATTGGGGAGAGGTCCCCCACTCTAAACTCTAGAATGTGGCTCTGTGGGATGACAGGTTCTAGATTCTGTCTATGTGACCAAGACAATGGCTTCTGCCTTTGATCCCCTCACCAGATCTCACCACCAGGTCCCCCCAACAGGACACCCCTATAAGTCCCCCTGACCATGTTCCCCTCACCGTGTTCCCCTCACCAGGCTCCCCTCACCATGTCCCCTCACCAGGTCCCCTCACCAAGGCTCCCCACCCATGTTCCCCTCACCAGGTCCCCTCACCAAGGTCCCCCCCATGTCCCCTCACCATGTCCCCTCACCAGGTCCCCTCACCAAGGCTCCCCACCCATGTTCCCCTCACCATGCTCCCCTCACCAAGGTCCCCCCCAGGTCCTCCTCACCAGGTCCCCTCACCAAGGTCCCCCCCATGTCCCCTCACCAGGTCCCCTCACCAAGGTCCCCCCCATGTCCCCTCACCAGGTCCCCTCACCAAGGTCCCCCCCATGTCCCCTCACCAAGGCCCCCCTATGTCCCCTCACCAGGTCCCCTCACCAAGGTCCCCCCCATGTCCCCTCACCAGGTCCCCTCACCAAGGCTCCCCACCCATGTTCCCCTCACCAGGTCCCCTCACCAAGGTCCCCCCCAGGTCCTCCTCACCAGGTCCCCTCACCAAGGCCCCCCTATGTCCCCTCACCAGGTCCCCTCACCAAGGTCCCCCCCATGTCCCCTCACCAGGTCCCCTCACCAAGGTCCCCCCCATGTCCCCTCACCAGGTCCCCTCACCAAGGTCCCCCCCATGTCCCCTCACCAGGTCCCCTCACCAAGGTCCCCCCCATGTCCCCTCACCAAGGCCCCCCTATGTCCCCTCACCAGGTCCCCTCACCAAGGCCCCCCTATGTCCCCTCACCAGGTCCCCTCACCAAGGCTCCCCACCCATGTTCCCCTCACCAGGTCCCCTCACCAAGGTCCCCCCCAGGTCCTCCTCACCAGGTCCCCTCACCAAGGTCCCCCCTATGTCCCCTCACCAGGTCCCCTCACCAAGGTCCCCCCCATGTCCCCTCACCAGGTCCTCCTCACCAGGTTTCCCTAAGTTCCCTCACCAGACCACCCCTCACCAGGCCCCCTCACCATGTTTCTTTCACCAGGTCCCCTCAACCAGGCACCCACCCATGAAGTCCCCCTCACTGGGTCCCCTCACCAGGTCCCCTGTAACCAAGTCCTCCAGGGCCCCCTCCCTAGGGCTCCCTCAGCCAAATGGAAATCCAGGCAGATACCATGTAGGCAGGTGGGACAGAGCACAGAGCCGACAGCACCGCATGGCCCCCTTGCCAGGCTCAGACAGGACAGAGGTGTGGAGAGGAGGGCCGGGGCAGTGAAGTGTCAGGGCTCAGCACCCAGGGTGGCCAAGGATGGGGCGGTTCCACTCAGCTGTGCCCCCAGAAGAGACCATAGATTGGGCAGCTGAAATGCTGGAAGGTTCTGGCTGTGGGAGAGTCTGGGATCCAGGGTCAGGATCAGGGTCTGTGCTGGTTGTGGTGGGTGTGAGTCAGTGTGGGCGCTGGGGCTGCCCTGGCTGACCTCAGAGGCTGCTCACCTGCGGCTCCCAACCCCCTTGGACATGGGTGTACCTTTTTCTTGGCCTTGTCAGGGGTCCTCTTGGGGCTCGACACCAGCTTTCAGATGCTGAGCACCCCCGCCCTGACCTAGCCCATGGGCGACATGGGGTCTGTGTCCACCCAGTCCTGGACACTTCCTCTTTCTGGGGCTCCCGCCTCATACCGCTGCCTCTGCCGCCCGTCTCCCTCCGGACGCCCCCTCCAGACGCCCCCTCCGGACGACCACGCAGTGTTGTCTGGCTCTGTGCTCTGTCCACCTGCCTGCGTGGCGTCTGCCTGGATTTCCATTTTGGGTCTTGCCTGTGGTGTGCCTGCTCCTGTGTGGACCCTGTGTGTACCTCTGTGGGGACTTTCACACGTGTGTTCCTTGAGTGGGATCCTCTGTATGTGGGTCTGTGTGTGTGGCTGTGGCCCTGTGTTCCTGATGTCCCCACTTGTGTGCCCCTCTGTGGGGACTTTTGCACGTGTGCTCCTTGAGTGGGATCCTCTGTATGTGGGTCTGTGTGTGTGGCTGTGGCCCCGAGTGTGTTCCTGATGTCCCCATTTGTGTGCCCCTCTGTGGGGACTTTCGCACTTGTGCTTCTTGAGTGGGATCCTCTGTATGTGGGTCTGTGTGTGTGGCTGTGGCCCTGAGTGTGTTCCTGATGTCCCCATTTGTGTGCCCCTCTGTGGGGACTTTCGCACGTGTGCTCCTTGAGTGGGATCCTCTGTGTGTGGGTCTGTGTGTGTGGCTGTGGCCCTGTGTTCCTGATGTCCCCACTTGTGTGCCCCTCTGTGGGGACTTTCGCATGTGTGCTCCTTGAGTGGGATCCTCTGTGTGTGGGTCTGTGTGTGTGGCTGTGGCCCTGTGTTCCTGATGTCCCCATTTGTGTGTCCCTCTGTGGGGGACTTTCGCACGTGTGCTCCTTGAGTAGGATCCTCTGTATGTGGGTCTGTGTGTGTGGCTGTGGCCCTGTGTTCCTGATGTCCCCATTTGTGTGTCCCTCTGTGGGGACTTTTGCACGTGTGCTCCTTGAGTGGGATCCTCTGTATGTGGGTCTGTGTGTGTGGCTGTGGCCTCGAGTGTGTTCCTGATGTCCCCATTTGTGTGCCCCTCTGTGGGGGCAGAGACAGGAGCCTGAGCTGCGGAAGAGGCTTTATTGATTAAACGGTTTGAGGATACATTTCCATGTGGGAGGTGGTAGTGGGCGTTGTGTCCACGGCTGCTTGTGTGGCAGGTCCTATGGCTGAGCCATGTCTGAGGTCCACTTAGGCACCGTCCTGACTGCCCAGCACTTGCACCTGGAAGGCAGACACATGTGGACTAAGAGGGCTGTGCTCAATAAGTGGAGAGCCACAGCTCCATCAGGCAAGCAAGGCCCTCAGTGGGGGGGGGGTCTGGCATATTGCTGCCTATCTCCTCCCAGCAGCTGGGAGGTGTGTGTGCACATGTGATGGTGTGCACACATGTATGTGTGTGCATATCCCAGTGTGAGCATGTGGGTGTGAACGTGTTTATACATGTGTGCACGCAGTGTACATTTCATGTCTGCACCTGTGTTTGGATCTCTGTGTATGTTCACATGTGTGCATGGAGGAGTATCCCACAGACTGGGGAGGAGGTCTATGGAGTCTGGGGGCTGCTCGGTGGACAGGAGGTCTGGGGTGTCCACCTGAGCTGGCTGATGCGGGTGCAATGTCTGTGGGTGGTGGATGTCTGTGGGTGGGGTAGGCTGTGTGGGTGCTGTGTTGGGTGGTCTTGGTAAGGCTGCAGATCTTTAGAAAATGGGGTGCCCGCCGCCCTCATACCAGCAGCTTGACCAGCTCCGCCTTGTGCATTGGCTGCAGGCCATCTCTGCAGGACTTGAGTTCAGTCATTGCTGCCTTGGCATCTTCGTTGACATTGTACTTGCCCAAGGTCCCCTCATAGAGCTCCTCTGGGGTCCCCACCAGTAGTGTTTGCAGGAAGTCCATGAAAAACTCATCGTTGTCCTCCCCCGTGGCCATCCCTGCATCACGAGCGAGATGATGCCAGGACAGGACAGGGTGACTCTGGTGCAACCACAGCCCTGGACCTGCCCCAGGGCTCTAACCTCCATGGTCTCCAGACCTTCCCCTTCAATGCTCACCTCTCCTCCCCAGGGCTTCCTCCACAACACCTCCAACTCCACCTTGCCCGAAGACCCCTCCACATCCCCCTTAATCTTAGCTGCTCCAATTTCCACTCAGCATTCCCTGGGATCACCAGGGAAGGAAAGTTAAGCTCCTGGTGTGGGGGAAATTTCCCCTGATGAGAGGCTATTATGACCAGAGGCTTGAAGGGTCAGGTCAGGCTGGACTGGGCTGGGGTAGGAGACACTGGGCTGGTGTTGGGTCAGCTGGGCTTTGTCCTTGGTTGGGGTGGAGTAGGGTGGGCGCGGGTTCTGCAGGGTCCTTGCCCACTTCTGTGACAGAAGCAGGTGGAGTGTTCACTGCAGAGGCCCGATGCCAGGATTTTACCTTCTCAGGTACCCCCCACTCCCCCCCGCCCCTGAATGTTCTGGAAACCCCAGTGGCACAGACTCACGGCAGATGCAGAACAGGGTGAGGGCCACCAGCAGGAGGGCACGGCTCCCCTTCATGCCGGCAGTCTCAGGAGCTGCCTCCAGCCAGAATCCCGGGATTTTATGCCTCACCGGACAGCACCTCTCCTAGAGGGCGGACCGGACCTGCCCATTAGGACCCGGCAGCCAGCTTAGATGAGGTTTGTTCACATCCCTGGCCCCCAGTGGGTGCCAAGCAGCAACAGGCATGGAGTGGCTGTGTGACAGGTGGTTGGCAAGCGGCTTTAGGGTGTGTGAGAGAGAGAACAGGTGTGTTAGGAGGGAACACTGGTGAGAGGCCATGCCAACTGATCGGTGAAGAAGGCAGTGGGTCCTGGCCACCAAGGGCCTCTAGTCATGCCTGCCCTTGAGGCCGAGAGTGGTGGGATCTGGGGTTGGTCCCACGCCTTTCTTTTAAGGTGGGAATCCCTCCTCTTATCAGTGTGCTGTGTGATCTGGGTCTGCATCTGGGGGTCTCCAATCAGGCAGGGGCCCCTTACTACTCAGATGGGGTGGCCGAGTAGGGGAAGGGGGTGCAGGCTGCACGAGTGGACACAGCTGTAGGACTACCTGGGGGCTGTGGATCTATGGGGTGGGGAGAAGCCCAGTGACAGTGCCTAGAAGAGAGAAGGTGGCCTGAGAGGGTCTGAGGAACATAGAGCTGGCCATGTTGGGGCCAGGTCTCAGCAGGAAGTGAGGAATGGGACAGGCTTGAGGTACATCTTCCATCAGTAGCCAGGATAGCAAGGAGAGGTTGAAGGCCCTGGGGGAGATGGTCCCAGGACATATTACAATGGACACAGGAGGTTGGGACACCTGGAGTCACCAAACAAAACCATGCCAAGAGAGACCATGAGTAGGGGTGTCCCAGTCCAGCCCTCTGACTGAGCTGCATTGTTCAAATCCAAAGGGCCCCTGCTGCCACCTAGTGGCTGATGGCATCCACATGACCCTGGGCCACACGCGTTTAGGGTCTCTGTGAAGACCAAGATCCTTGTTACATTGAACGACTCCTAAATGAGCAGAGATTTCCACCTATTCGAAACAATCACATAAAATCCCATCCTGGAAAAAGCCTGGGGGATGGCACTAAGGCTAGGGATAGGGTGGGATGAAGATTATAGTTACAGTAAGGGGTTTAGGGTTAGGGATCAATGTTGGTTAGGAGTCAGGGATACAGTAGGGTCACCGGTAAGGGTTAGGGGTTAGGGGTAGGGGTTAGGGTTAGGGTTAGGGTTAGGGTTAGGGTTAGGGGTTAGGGGTTAGGGTTAGGGTTAGGGTTAGGGTTAGGGTTAGGGGTTAGGGGTTAGGGTTAGGGTTAGGGTTAGGGTTGGTTAGGGGTTAGGGGTTAGGGTTAGGGTTAGGTTTTGGGGTGGCGTATTTTGGTCTTATATGCTGTGTTCCACTGGCAATGAAAAGAGTTCTTGTTTTTCCTTCAGCAATTTGTCATTTTTAAAAGAGTTTAGCAATTCTAACAGATATAGACCAGCTGTGCTATCTCATTGTGGTTTTCAATTGTAACCACATTGTGGTTTCAATGTGTTTACTTGCCATCTGTAGATCTTCTTTGGTGAGGTGTCTGTTCAGATGTGTGTGCATTTTTAGTTGGGCTGTTTAACTTATTGTTTAGTTTTAATAATTTTTTATATATTTTGAAGACAAATTCTTTCTCAGATGTGTATTTTGCAAATATTTTCTTCAATATGTGGCTTGTCTTTTTGTTCTCTTAACAAGGTCTCTTCCAGAGTATAAACTTTAAATATTAAGAAATCCACACTGTCACTTCTTTTGTGTATATCTACCTTTTGTGTCATTTGTTAAAATTCATTACCAAACCCAAAGGCAGATAGCTTTTCTTCTATTGTTTCTTCTAGAAATTGTATAGTTTTGCATTTTTAGTGTAAGGATGATTTTGAGTGATTATTTGTGTAAGTTGTAAAGTTTTCGTCTATATCCATATCATTTCTTATGGTTTCCAATTAATCGTTCCCTCACTATTTTTGGGAAAGACACAGGATAGTGGGCTTTGTTAGAGTAGATAGGTAGCTAGACATGAACAGGAGGGGGCCTCCTGGAAAAGGGAAAGTCTGGGAAGGCTCACCTGGAGGGACCACCAAAAATTCACATATTAGTAGCATCTCTAGTGCTGGAGTGGATGGGCACTTGTCAATTGTGGGTAGGAGGGAAAAGAGGTACCTATGCAGAAAGAAACACTCTAGAACTCCTCTGAAGATGCCCCAATCATTCACTCTGCAATAAAAATGTCAGAATATTGCTAGCTACATGCTGATAAGGCCAAAGGGGACATTCTTAAGAGAAACCTGGCACCATAAGTACAGATTAGGGCAGAGAAGGACATTCAAAAGAGGCAGGCGCAGTAGGTACAAACGTGATCGCTGTCAGCGTGCCTGGGATGGCGGGATGGAGGCTGCTGCCAGAGTGGATTCGTATTGATCACCACACATGTACCTCAACCAACAGTGAGGAGGTCCCACAAGCCTAAGTGGGGCAAGTTGGGGAGCTAAGGCAGTAGCAGGAAAACCAGACAAAGAAAACAGGTGGAGACTTGAGACAGAGGCAGGAATGTGAAGAAATCCAAAATAAAATTCCCTGCACAGGACTCTTAGGCTGTTTTAATGCACGCTCAGCCCACTCCTCCCTATTTTTCTACAATAAACTCTTTACACTGTGTTTCTTTTCAATGAAGTTATCTGCCATCTTTGTACTGCCTCTTGGTGAAAATGTTTCTTCCAAGTTAAACAAGAACTGGGACATCAGCTCTCCCCAGTAATAGCTCCGTTTCAGTTTGAATTTACAGAACTGATGGGGCTTAATAACTGGCGCTCTGACTTTAGTGGTGCAGGAGGCCGTCACACCGGGACCAAGAGTGCCCTGCCTAGTCCCCATCTGCCCGCAGGTGGCGTGCTGCCACGACACCGACAGCAATAGGGTCCGGCAGTGTCCCCAGCTGCCAGCAGGGGGCGTACGACGACTACACTGTGAGCAAGAGGGCCCTGCAGTGTCCTCAGCTGCCAGCAGGCGGCGTACGGGCACCACACCATGAGCAAGAGGACCATGCAGTGCCCTGGTTGCCAGCAGGGGTCGTGCTGCCACTACACTGTGAGCAAGAGGATCCTGTCGTGCCCCCAGCGGCCAGAAGAGGGCGTGCCCCGACTACACTGCAAGCAAGAGGGCCTGGCAGTGTCCCCATCTGCCAGCAGGCGGGCGTGCGGCCACTACACTGTGAGCAAGAGGGCCCTGCAACGTCCCTAGCTGCCTGCAGGCGGCGTGCCGCCACTATATTGCGAGCAAGAGAGCCCTGCAGTGCCCCGGCGCCAGCAGGGGGCGCTGGCCACCACTGTAAGCAAGAGGGCCCTGCAGTTGCCCTAGTCGCTAGCAGGGGGCGCACTGGGACAGCACCGCGGGCAAGCGGGTCCTGTAGTGCCCGGCTGCAAGCAGGGGGCGCCCGAGCCCGGCTTTTTGGATTACTGAGGTTCAACCCGTCTCTGCGCCGCGCCCCCGGGGACGTGAGTCTGTGCGCCTACAACGCTCCACCCCCGCGCTCTCATCCCGGTGGCGCGTGACTCTGCGTCTGCACCACCCACCTCCCCCCAAACCCACAGCCTAACGACGTGCGTCTCTGCGCCTGCGCCGCGCCTCCCCCCGCCCCCCAGGGGACGCGCCACTGTGCGCCGGCGCCCGCGCGCCGCGCCTCTGTGCGCCTGCGCCGGCGCGCCGCGTCTCTGTCAATTTAGAAAGCTTATTTTGCCCAGATTAAGGACACGACCATGACACAGCCTCAGGAGGTCCTGACGACGTGTGTCCAAGGTGGCCAGGGTAGAGCTTGCTTTTGTACATTTTAGGGATACATGAGACGTGTAAGATGTACAGTCATTTGGCCCAGTAAGGCGGGACAACTGGAAGCAGGAAGTGGGGGTGCTTCCAGGTCAGAAGTAGGTTAGAGACAAAAGGTTGCATTCTTTTGAATCCTTCATCAGCCTTCCACTGAATACACAATTTAGTCTGGCTCAATGAATCTGCATTTTTACATAAATAATAGGGCAGAGGAAGCAATCAGATATGCATCTGTCTCAGGTGAGGGATGACTTTGAGTGCTGTCTGTCCTTTGTCCAAAAGGAAATTCTTTGTGGGCAAATTGTGAGTGAGGTATGTAGCTTTTTATCTTTGTAGCTATCTTAGTTAGGAATAGAATGAGGGCAGGTTTGCCTGACATAGCTCCCAGCTTGACTTTTCCCTTGGCTTAGTGATTTGGGGGTCCTGAGATTTATTTTCCTTTCATGGTATCAGAACAGAGAAAAGGTAATGCGTTGAGCCATGAGCTTATGACAAGATGGCTAGGAAGGAATTTTTCAGCTCCATTTTTATCTCATGGGACCACCATCATATGTATGCAATGCACGAGTGTAAAATCACATTTAGTTAAGTCAGCTTACACTAAGCTATGGACCCAGATGGTCCTGGGGCCTTTTTCCACTGGGAGATCTTTAAGGACCTTTCTTAGCTTTTCTATGCTAATTGGTATATTCATAGTTGCCTTATTTCAGGGCCCATTTTGTTAATGTGTATTTTTACTAGGAAATCACCCATTTTTTCTAGGTTTCCAGTTTGATGTAATTATTTGACTTTTAATTTCTCCTCTGTTTTTAGTTTTGTACATAATTTTCCTATCTACTTTTGCACTCTTTTTTCCATCAACAATATTTTTAAAATATACTTTTTAGCTTTTTTTGAAGAATTGTTATGTTTGACAATTTTTTATGACCTAATCATGACCGTAAATGATTTTTAATTAATTTCAGCTTAATGTCTTTTGTAGGGCACAACTGTTAAAATACAGAATTACAACAAATGTGGGTTTGCAGATCTTAATTGGCTTTTTTTTGTGGTTCTAGAATCAGGCAGCAGTCCAGACCAAAAATGGTTCAGAATGATCTGCCACACAACATGTGCGGGTTATATTTATAGCCAGAGGAAAAAGGTGACATACAGAAAACAGAAGTGAGGTATAGAGGTGGCTGGATTGGTTACAGACCTGGTTACAGCCCGGATTTGCCTTCTTGGAACTTGTTTTGAACAGCTGGCTGCCGGCCATTGACTGACACTCGGCTGATGTGATTGGCTGAACCGCCGCTATTTGTTACCATGATACATTCCCAAGTCAGATTTTCAGTTTGTTTCTATACTAAATTAGGTTGCGATTCTTCTTGTTCTTCTTCTTTTTTCTTTTTTGAGGCGGAGTCTCGCTCTGTCGCCCAGGCTGGAGTGCAGTGGCGCGATCTCAGCTCACAGCAAGCTCCGCCTCCCGGGTTCATGCCATTCTCCTGTCCCGGCCTCCCAAGTAGCTGGGACTGCAGGCTGCCGCCACCAAGCCCTGCTAATTTTTTTGTATTTTTTTTTTTTAGTAGAGACTGGGTTTCACCTTGTAAGCCATGATGGACTCGATTTCCTGACCTCATGAGCCACCCGTCTCGGCCTCCCAAAGTGCCGGGATTACAGGCGTGAGCCACGGCGCCCGGCCGCGACTCTTTACAAGGACTCCTCGGGAGGCTTCCAGAGCCCAAATGTTGTTTGATGTAAGAATTCCTCCCTTTTGGTCAGCCTCTCAATTTTGAGATATTGATCAAAACTTTGGGCATTGGTGTCACTCTTTGTTATCGTTGTAAGTTGAGTTATTAGGACTTATTTGCTTTCAGTGTGGCATTTTCAAGTTTTATTTGGTCTCAGTGCCCTCTGGGCAATAGCAGAACACTGTGTTGTGTAAGGCGGAAATAGAGCAATAGAAAATAACAACTGATTTGTTAATATCAGATTACTTCAAGTTACTTGTTTTGGTAAGAATTAAAGCAGAGGGGACTTCTTTATGCTGACTCAGGTAGACTGGAATCTCTTCAGGGAAAAAGGGAGCTCTTTTGGGATCTATCTACTTCCTTAGAGTTTCAGCTTCGTTGTGTGTCATTCAGCGTGAGTGTCTCCATTCTGGTTTTGCCTGCTCAGTGTGGCCTAGTGCGGGAGTGGTGACCGAAACAATGACCTCCCGTAGTTTGTTCCACAGTTCTCCCCTTTTGATTGGGTTCCTGCCTAGGTGAGGGTGTGACTAAAACCTTAGGGCATTAGCGGTATTCTCAGTAACTATCATTTTAGGGTTCCGGTCTTAGGGCATTAGCAGTATTCTCAGTAACTATCATTTTAGGGTTCCGGTCTTAGGGCATTAGCAGTATTCTCAGTGACTATCATTTTAGGGTTCCGGTCTTAGGGCATTAGCACTATTCTCAGTGACTATCATTTTAGGGTTCCGGTCTTAGGGCATTAGCAGTATTCTCAGTGACTATCATTTTAGGGTTCCGGTCTTAGGGCATTAGCGGTATTCTCAGTGACTATCATTTTAGGGTTCCGGTCTTAGGGCATTAGCACTATTCTCAGTAACTATCATTTTAGGGTTCCGGTCTTAGGGCATTAGCACTATTCTCAGTAACTATCATTTTAGGGTTCCGGTCTTAGGGCATTAGCAGTATTCTCAGTAACTATCATTTTAGGGTTCCGGTCTTAGGGCATTAGCACTATTCTCAGTAACTATCATTTTAGGGTTCCGGTCTTAGGGCATTAGCAGTATTCTCAGTGACTATCATTTTAGGGTTCCAGTCTTAGGGCATTAGCACTATTCTCAGTAACTATCATTTTAGGTTTCCGGTCTCAACACATCATTTAAGAAGTCAGTAAAGCTTTCTTCTACTGTGACAGCATATTTAATACTGAGAAAGAAAAGAAAATTTTTATCTTGCGAATGTGAGCTTCCTCTAAATTATCAGGTCCAGAGAGGCGTGGGAATGAGGCAGCAGTCACGTCCCATTTCCCGCTTAGCTAAGTAATCATATCTTGAAGCTGCTTGCTATGTAGACTAGACTGACTGTCATCAGCTATAGATTAACCTAAGAGTGTCTTTGAATATTTTTTCCAGTGGCAAATATTTGCTTCTGTTGTATCGTAGCTGAAAGGAATGCTGGGAAACAAAATAAAGACAAGCATTCATTAGAATAAGTGATCCAGTCACAATGAATCAATTTGAACTTTTTTTTTTTTCACAAAGTCATACTTTGAAAATGTCCAGCCATAAATTGAAATAGTCTCCAAAATGTGAATTTTTTTCCCTGGTTCTAAGATGACCAGCTTTCTTAGAGAGTGAACTACACCATAAGAAAAATGATATGACCATGTTTACACATATATGTTATCTTAACATAAAACATGTAAAAGGGGCATTTCTTTGAAAGTATATATTAGTCTGTATAATTTACTTTGCAGTATCATGAATGCTCTTATTTTTAAAAGTAGGAGTAGTTACTGTCAATTACTAATTTTTAGTACAAATAATTTAGCAGATATCTGAAAAAATTACAATTTTTAAATAGAGGTTTTATTTTAAATTAGTTTTAGATTCATACAGAAATTGGGAAGAAAATGCAGATTTCCCATGTAGACGCAACCTAGTTTCCCCTCTTTTTAACATATCAACATGTATCAGATAGGTTTAACATCTTTTTTTTTTTTTCTTTTTTCCAGACCAGTTTTTTTTTTTTTTCAACCAGGCTGGAGTGCAGTGGCATGATCTCGGCTCACTGCAACCTCCGCCTCCCAGGTTCAAGCGATTCTCCTGCCTCAGCCTCCTGAGTAGCTGGTATTACAGGCGCCTGCCATCGTGCCCGGCTAATTTTTGTATTTTTAGTAGAGATGAGGTTTCACCACGTTGGCCAGGCTGGTCTCGAACTCCTGATCTCAGGTGATCTGCCCGCCTCAGCCTCCCAAAGTGCTGGGATTACAGGCATGAGCCACCACTCCTGACCAACATCTTACATCATTTCTTGTCATACTTAATGACTGGATATTACTATATTATTAAATAAGCTCACATCTTATTTGGTTTCCCTTAGTTCTGCCTTTTTCTCTCCCAGGATCCTATCTAGGATCCCATAGGACATTTAGTCATCATGTCAGGCTCTTCTTGGCTGTGACAGTCTCTCAGACTTTACTTCTGAGGACCTGGAACAGTGTTAGGAGGATTGGTCAGGTATTGTGTAGAATGTCCTCCATTGTGGTTTACTTGGGGTTTTTCTCATAATCAGCCTGGGTTTAGGGGTTTGGGGGAAGCAGAGCAGATGTGTAGTGTGTCCACAAAAAGAGTCAAAGACTGTAAAATATTTGAAGAGATGTATTCTGAGCCAAATATGAGTGACCATGGCCCTTGACACAGCCCTCAGGAGACCCTGAGAACATGTGCCCAAGGTCGTTGGGGTGCAGGTTGGTTCTATACATTTTAGGGAGGTAGGAGACATCAATCAAGTGTATTTAAGATATATATTGGTTCGGTCCAGAAAGGTGGGACAACCCAGTGGATTAGGGTGGGGTGGGGCTTCCAGGTTATAGGTACACTTAAAATTTTTCTGATTGGCAGTTTGTTGAAAGACTTACTATCAATAGAAAGGAGTGTCTGGGTTATGATAAGGGGTTAAGGAGGCCAAGGTTTTATCATGGAGATGAAGCTTCCAGGTAGCAGGCTTCAGAGAGAATAGATTGTAAATGTTTCTTATCAGATTTAAGGTTGTGTTGATGTTAAATGCTGATTGGCTTTTCCTGAATTCCAAAAGGGAGGAGGGCATAATGAGGCATGTCTGACCACCTCTTTCCCATCATAGCCTGAACCAGTCTTCCAGGTTAACTTTGGTGTCCCCTGGTGGAGAGGTGGTTGTGGGAAAGATCTTTGAATTTTATTTTTGGTTTGCAAGTGCTAGTCTAGTCACTTCATGCTCTCAAGATGTGTTATCACCATTAATGTTAACTTTTATCACTTGGGTGAGGCAGTGTTTTCAGGTTTTTCACTGTGAAGTTACTTTTTTCCCATGTCTATATTGTATGTATGCTTTTGGAGGAAGTCATCATGCAGAGCTCATACTTAAAGGAGTGGGGAGTTAGCCCCACCTCCTTGATGGCTGTCTATATCAGGTATTTGGAATTCTTCTGTGTAAGAGATTTCTATTCAGTCCATTTGCATATCTGTTTAATCATTTATTTATACCAGTATGGGTCCACAGATAGTTACTTTAATCTTTTGGTTGTTATCTAATTGTACAGTATTTTGTTGCTCTTTGTTCATACCTGTGGCCATTGGTAGCTCTTTCCACTGGCTCCTTTTACATAATTTCATGTTTTTTTTTTATAATTTATTTCTGTTACTTCAAAAGTACCCTGGCTCATATATTTTCTGTCCCAGTCCTAGTTTCAGCTATTTCTTCTAATAGCCCTGATTTCTTTTGTTAGAGAATGGTATGAAAAACTTACATCTGGCCACTAAATGTGGTCATTGCATCATGACACTTACAGCTGACAGTGCAAAGAAATATATGTGTGTCTTCTAACTTATATGTACCCACGTAATTATAAAGGTTTCTATGTGGAACCATCTATGTATATGTTAAGCTAAATGTGAGTTTATACTTACGTTGTATATATATATTCTGACTCATTATGACAGAGATCATTCTAGGCTTCCCTATTTTTTATCTGTAACTTCTTGCTGTAATAGTGAGGAACCTGAATGTGAGTTTATACTTACGTTGTATATATATATTCTGACTCATTATGACCGAGATCATTCTAGGCTTCCCTATTTTTTATCTGTAACTTCTCGCTGTAATAGTGAGGAACCTGAATGTGAGTTTATACTTACGTTGTATATATATATTCTGACTCATTATGACAGAGATCATTCTAGGCTTCCCTATTTTTTATCTGTAACTTCTCGCTGTAATAGTGAGGAACCTGAATGTGAGTTTATACTTACGTTGTATATATATATTCTGACTCATTATGACAGAGATCATTCTAGGCTTCCCTATTTTTTATCTGTAACTTCTCGCTGTAATAGTGAGGAACCTGAATGTGAGTTTATACTTACGTTGTATATATATATTCTGACTCATTATGACAGAGATCATTCTAGGCTTCCCTATTTTTTATCTGTAACTTCTCGCTGTAATAGTGAGGAACCTGAATGTGAGTTTATACTTACGTTGCATATATATATTCTGACTCATTATGACAGAGATCATTCTAGGCTTCCCTATTTTTTATCTGTAACTTCTCGCTGTAATAGTGAGGAACCTGAATGTGAGTTTATACTTACGTTGTATATATATATTCTGACTCATTATGACAGAGATCATTCTAGGCTTCCCTATTTTTTATCTGTAACTTCTCGCTGTAATAGTGAGGAACCTGAATGTGAGTTTATACTTACGTTGTATATATATATTCTGACTCATTATGACAGAGATCATTCTAGGCTTCCCTATTTTTTATCTGTAACTTCTCGCTGTAATAGTGAGGAACCTGAATGTGAGTTTATACTTATGTTGTATATATATATTCTGACTCATTATGACAGAGATCATTCTAGGCTTCCCTATTTTTTATCTGTAACTTCTCGCTGTAATAGTGAGGAACCTGAATGTGAGTTTATACTTACGTTGTATATATATATTCTGACTCATTATGACCGAGATCATTCTAGGCTTCCCTATTTTTTATCTGTAACTTCTCGCTGTAATAGTGAGGAGCCTGAATGTGAGTTTATACTCACGTTGTATATATATATTCTGACTCATTATGACAGAGATCATTCTAGGCTTCCCTATTTTTTATCTGTAACTTCTCGCTGTAATAGTGAGGAACCTGAATGTGAGTTTATACTTACGTTGTATATATATATTCTGACTCATTATGACAGAGATCATTCTAGGCTTCCCTATTTTTTATCTGTAACTTCTCGCTGTAATAGTGAGGAACCTGAATGTGAGTTTATACTTACGTTGTATATATATATTCTGACTCATTATGACCGAGATCATTCTAGGCTTCCCTATTTTTTATGTGTAACTTCTCGCTGTAATAGTGAGGAACCTGAATGTGAGTTTATACTTACGTTGTATATATATATTCTGACTCATTATGACAGAGATCATTCTAGGCTTCCCTATTTTTTATCTGTAACTTCTCGCTGTAATAGTGAGGAACCTGAATGTGAGTTTATACTTACGTTGTATATATATATTCTGACTCATTATGACAGAGATCATTCTAGGCTTCCCTATTTTTTATCTGTAACTTCTCGCTGTAATAGTGAGGAACCTGAATGTGAGTTTATACTTACGTTGCATATATATATTCTGACTCATTATGACAGAGATCATTCTAGGCTTCCCTATTTTTTATCTGTAACTTCTCGCTGTAATAGTGAGGAACCTGAATGTGAGTTTATACTTACGTTGTTTATATATATTCTGACTCATTATGACAGAGATCATTCTAGGCTTCCCTATTTTTTATCTGTAACTTCTCGCTGTAATAGTGAGGAACCTGAATGTGAGTTTATACTTACGTTGTATATATATATTCTGACTCATTATGACAGAGATCATTCTAGGCTACCCTATTTTTTATCTGTAACTTCTCGCTGTAATAGTGAGGAACCTGAATGTGAGTTTATACTTACGTTGTGTATATATATTCTGACTCATTATGACAGAGATCATTCTAGGCTTCCCTATTTTTTATCTGTAACTTCTCGCTGTAATAGTGAGGAACCTGAATGTGAGTTTATACTTACGTTGTATATATATATTCTGACTCATTATGACAGAGACCATTCTAGGCTTCCCTATTTTTTATCTGTAACTTCTCGCTGTAATAGTGAGGAACCTGAATGTGAGTTTATACTTACGTTGTATATATATATTCTGACTCATTATGACAGAGATCATTCTAGGCTTCCCTATTTTTTATCTGTAACTTCTCGCTGTAATAATGAGGAACCTGAATGTGAGTTTATACTTACGTTGTATATATACATTCTGACTCATTATGACCGAGATCATTCTAGGCTTCCCTATTTTTTATCTGTAACTTCTCACTGTAATAGTGAGGAACCTGAATGTGAGTTTATACTTACGTTGTATATATATATTCTGACTCATTATGACCGAGATCATTCTAGGCTTCCCTATTTTTTATCTGTAACTTCTCGCTGTAATAGTGAGGAACCTGAATGTGAGTTTATACTTACGTTGTATATATATATTCTGACTCATTATGACAGAGATCATTCTAGGCTTCCCTATTTTTTATCTGTAACTTCTCGCTGTAATAGTGAGGAACCTGAATGTGAGTTTATACTTACGTTGTATATATATATTCTGACTCATTATGACCGAGATCATTCTAGGCTTCCCTATTTTTTATCTGTAACTTCTCGCTGTAATAGTGAGGAACCTGAATGTGAGTTTATACTTACGTTGTATATATATATTCTGACTCATTATGACAGAGATCATTCTAGGCTTCCCTATTTTTTATCTGTAACTTCTCGCTGTAATAGTGAGGAACCTGAATGTGAGTTTATACTTACGTTGTATATATATATTCTGACTCATTATGACCGAGATCATTCTAGGCTTCCCTATTTTTTATCTGTAACTTCTCGCTGTAATAGTGAGGAACCTGAATGTGAGTTTATACTCACGTTGTATATATATATTCTGACTCATTATGACCGAGATCATTCTAGGCTTCCCTATTTTTTATCTGTAACTTCTCGCTGTAATAGTGAGGAACCTGAATGTGAGTTTATACTTACGTTGTATATATATATTCTGACTCATTATGACCGAGATCATTCTAGGCTTCCCTATTTTTTATCTGTAACTTCTCGCTGTAATAGTGAGGAACCTGAATGTGAGTTTATACTTACGTTGTATATATATATTCTGACTCATTATGACAGAGACCATTCTAGGCTTCCCTATTTTTTATCTGTAACTTCTCGCTGTAATAGTGAGGAACCTGAATGTGAGTTTATACTTACGTTGTATATATATATTCTGACTCATTATGACAGAGATCATTCTAGGCTTCCCTATTTTTTATCTCTAACTTCTCGCTCTAATAATGAGGAACCTGAATATGAGTTTATACTTACGTTGTATATATACATTCTGACTCATTATGACCGAGATCATTCTAGGCTTCCCTATTTTTTATCTGTAACTTCTCGCTGTAATAGTGAGGAACCTGAATGGGAGTTTATACTTACGTTGTATATATATATTCTGACTCATTATGACAGAGACCATTCTAGGCTTCCCTATTTTTTAGCTGTAACTTCTCGCTGTAATAGTGAGGAACCTGAATGTGAGTTTATACTTACGTTGTATATATATATTCTGACTCATTATGACAGAGATCATTCTAGGCTTCCCTATTTTTTATCTGTAACTTCTCGCTGTAATAATGAGGAACCTGAATGTGAGTTTATACTTACGTTGTATATATACATTCTGACTCATTATGACCGAGATCATTCTAGGCTTCCCTATTTTTTATCTGTAACTTCTCACTGTAATAGTGAGGAACCTGAATGTGAGTTTATACTTACGTTGTATATATATATTCTGACTCATTATGACCGAGATCATTCTAGGCTTCCCTATTTTTTATCTGTAACTTCTCGCTGTAATAGTGAGGAACCTGAATGTGAGTTTATACTTACGTTGTATATATATATTCTGACTCATTATGACCGAGATCATTCTAGGCTTCCCTATTTTTTATCTGTAACTTCTCGCTGTAATAGTGAGGAACCTGAATGTGAGTTTATACTTACGTTGTATATATATATTCTGACTCATTATGACAGAGACCATTCTAGGCTTCCCTATTTTTTATCTGTAACTTCTCGCTGTAATAGTGAGGAACCTGAATGTGAGTTTATACTTACGTTGTATATATATATTCTGACTCATTATGACAGAGATCATTCTAGGCTTCCCTATTTTTTATCTCTAACTTCTCGCTGTAATAATGAGGAACCTGAATATGAGTTTATACTTACGTTGTATATATACATTCTGACTCATTATGACCGAGATCATTCTAGGCTTCCCTATTTTTTATCTGTAACTTCTCGCTGTAATAGTGAGGAACCTGAATGGGAGTTTATACTTACGTTGTATATATATATTCTGACTCATTATGACAGAGACCATTCTAGGCTTCCCTATTTTTTAGCTGTAACTTCTCGCTGTAATAGTGAGGAACCTGAATGTGAGTTTATACTTACGTTGTATATATATATTCTGACTCATTATGACAGAGATCATTCTAGGCTTCCCTATTTTTTATCTGTAACTTCTCGCTGTAATAATGAGGAACCTGAATGTGAGTTTATACTTACGTTGTATATATACATTCTGACTCATTATGACCGAGATCATTCTAGGCTTCCCTATTTTTTATCTGTAACTTCTCACTGTAATAGTGAGGAACCTGAATGTGAGTTTATACTTACGTTGTATATATATATTCTGACTCATTATGACAGAGATCATTCTAGGCTTCCCTATTTTTTATCTGTAACTTCTCACTGTAATAGTGAGGAACCTGAATGTGAGTTTATACTTACGTTGTATATATATATTCTGACTCATTATGACCGAGATCATTCTAGGCTTCCCTATTTTTTATCTGTAACTTCTCACTGTAATAGTGAGGAACCTGAATGTGAGTTTATACTTACGTTGTATATATATATTCTGACTCATTATGACAGAGATCATTCTAGGCTTCCCTATTTTTTATCTGTAACTTCTCGCTGTAATAGTGAGGAACCTGAATGTGAGTTTATACTTACGTTGTATATATATATTCTGACTCATTATGACAGAGATCATTCTAGGCTTCCCTATATTTTATCTGTAACTTCTCACTGTAATAGTGAGGAACCTGAATGTGAGTTTATACTTACGTTGTATATATATATTCTGACTCATTATGACAGAGATCATTCTAGGCTTCCCTATTTTTTATCTGTAACTTCTCGCTGTAATAGTGAGGAACCTGAATGTGAGTTTATACTTACGTTGTATATATATATTCTGACTCATTATGACAGAGATCATTCTAGGCTTCCCTATTTTTTATCTGTAACTTCTCACTGTAATAGTGAGGAACCTGAATGTGAGTTTATACTTACGTTGTCTATATATATTCTGACTCATTATGACAGAGATCATTCTAGGCTTCCCTATTTTTTATCTGTAACTTCTCACTGTAATAATGAGGAACCTGAATTTTTTTATCTGTAACTTCTCGCTGTAATAGTGAGGAACCTGAATGTGAGTTTATACTTACGTTGTATATATATATTCTGACTCATTATGACAGAGATCATTCTAGGCTTCCCTATTTTTTATCTGTAACTTCTCGCTGTAATAGTGAGGAACCTGAATGTGAGTTTATACTTACGTTGTATATATATATTCTGACTCATTATGACAGAGATCATTCTAGGCTTCCCTATTTTTTATCTGTAACTTCTCGCTGTAATAGTGAGGAACCTGAATGTGAGTTTATACTTACGTTGTATATATATATTCTGACTCATTATGACAGAGATCATTCTAGGCTTCCCTATTTTTTATCTGTAACTTCTCGCTGTAATAGTGAGGAACCTGAATGTGAGTTTATACTTACGTTGTATATATATATTCTGACTCATTATGACAGAGATCATTCTAGGCTTCCCTATATTTTATCTGTAACTTCTCACTGTAATAGTGAGGAACCTGAATGTGAGTTTATACTTACGTTGTATATATATATTCTGACTCATTATGACAGAGATCATTCTAGGCTTCCCTATTTTTTATCTGTAACTTCTCGCTGTAATAGTGAGGAACCTGAATGTGAGTTTATACTTACGTTGTATATATATATTCTGACTCATTATGACAGAGATCATTCTAGGCTTCCCTATTTTTTATCTGTAACTTCTCACTGTAATAGTGAGGAACCTGAATGTGAGTTTATACTTACGTTGTCTATATATATTCTGACTCATTATGACAGAGATCATTCTAGGCTTCCCTATTTTTTATCTGTAACTTCTCACTGTAATAATGAGGAACCTGAATGTGAGTTTATACTTACGTTGTATATATATATTCTGACTCATTATGACCGAGATCATTCTAGGCTTCCCTATTTTTTATCTGTAACTTCTCGCTGTAATAGTGAGGAACCTGGCTCCTACTATCTGCCTTTCATTTCATCCCTTGTACCACTGGGAAGAAGGAATTCATTCTTGATCGAGATTCCAGGTTGGGACTTAATAAGAAATATATGTTTGGTCTGTGTCTGCAGTTCCTGGTACAGAGCTTGTAAAACTATTATAATTTCCTGAACAGTAGGGCTGCTAGGAGCTCTTGTGTTCTAATATTTGGTCTTTGGCCCTGGTTCCTGACGCAGAGTTCCTAAATCTCTTGGAATCTCCTGGATAATAGGAATGGCTTCTGTTCTAATAAGGACACTCTGTGGGTTCCTGGATGGTTTCAGGATGGGGATGGTCACCAGAAAGACCAAGCCATGATAAGAAGGTTGTAACTTTTAGCTTAACATGCAATCCTTTGAGGGTGTGAAGGGACTGGAAATTGAGTTAATAATCCGTCATGTCTACATGATGAAGCTTCCATAAAAATTCCTAAAATATGGAATTTGGTAAGTTCCAGATCAAGGCTGACAGATTTGATGTCTAGTGAGGGCTCATCTATCATAGATAGTGCCTTCTAGCATGTCATGACATGGCAGAATGGGGAAACGGGCTCCTAGATGCTTTTATAAGGGCACTGGTTTCATTCATGAGGACAGCACTCTCATGATCCGATCACCTCTCGGTTACCTCTGAATACCATCCCTTTGGGGATTACATTTCAAAATAGGAATTTGGGGTGGGGGTGTACACACATTGAGACCATAATAACTAGTAAACATAAGTAAGTATTTCCTAGTTCCATAAGCCATCATAGCAAATTGTCAAACCTGAAGAGGGGGTGTAGGAATGCCTAGTTTCTAGCCAAGTCATATAGAAGTTTGGGTAAACTGGGGATTCACAACTTGTGATTGGCATCTGAGGTTGTGGACAGTCTGGTGTTACTAAGCCCTTAACCTGTAGGGTGTAGACTAACTCCAGGTAATCAGTGTCACAGTTGAATTACAGGATACCCAATTGTTTTCCAGAGAGTTGGAATATTGGTTGGTATGGGAAACACCCCCCACCCCCCACAATTTGCTGTTAAAAGTGGAGTGTTGATAGTATAGAGGAAAATCATGGTTATTTTTCTTTTTACAGATATAGTAGTTTCAAAATTAACTATTATCCCTATGGGAAATAACTTTATAGAGTCCACTGTTCGTGTATATAGTACGTTTTGTTTTTAGTCTATGGATTCTACTCATTTCCAGCTCAGCACCTTTGGCCCACCACTTGCAACATACATTGGTAATACAGTTAGATTCTTGGTTTCACTCTGTATTTTGTCCTTAGATACTTCCACATCCTAAATAATTTAATTTGTGTAGATTGTGATTTGTTCTTTGTGCATTAAAATTCTGTGGGTTTTATCAAATGAATAGTGTCAGATATCCACTACTGAAGTAGCATACAGAATACTTCAAATCCCCACCCCAGACAGTCACTGATCTGACTATCATCTCTTTGGTTGTGCTTTTTCCAGAATGTTATATGAATGGAGTCATATAATGTATAGCATCTTCATACTGCCACCCTTTACTTAGCAACATAGATGCAAGATTCATTCATTTGTTTTCATGGATTGACAGTTCATTCCTTTCTGTTGGTGAATGGTATTCCATTGCATGGTTGTACTTCAAATTGATTATGCATTCAGCTATTGAAGAACGTTCTGATTACTTCAAGTTTTGGCCATGATGAGTAGAGTGGCTCATATATAATTACATGCTAGTTTTTGTTTGAACATAATTTTTCAAAGCAGCTGTCTAAACATACACAATTTAGGGGTGCATTTGTTGGATTGTAAGGTAAGACTTGTTTATCTTTGGGAAAAACTGTCAAACTATTTCCCAAAGTGGCTGTACCCATTCATGCATTCTGCCATTAATGAATGGCCGTACCTATTGTTCTTCAACTTCCAATTGTTACTGTTGAGCTTTTTTAAGAGTCCCACAGTTGTACTAGGTGTGCAGTGATATCTCAGCATTATTTTAATTTGCAGTCTCCTAATGAGATATATTGAGCATCCTTTTGTGTGATTATGTGCTATCTGTATATTTTCTTTTTTTTCTTTTTTCTTTTTTTTTTATTGAGATAGAGTCTCATTCTGTCACTCAGGCTGGAGTGCAGTGGTGTGATCCTGGGTCACTGCAACCTCCACCTCCGATGTTCAAGCAATTCTCTTGCATCAGCCTCCCAAGTAGCTGGGATTACAGGCACTCACCACCATGCCTGGCTAATTTTTTTGTATTTTTAGTAGAGAGGGGGTATCACTATGTTGGCCAGGCTGATCTCAAATTCCTGACCTCAGGTGACTCACCCACCTCAGCCTCCCAAAGTGCTGGGGTTATAGGCATGAGCCACCACACCTGGCCTGCTATCTATATATTTTATTTGGCTGGATGTCTGTTCAGATATTTACCCAGTTTTATGTGGGTTTTTAGTTTTCTTAGTGTTCGTTTGAAGAGTTCTTTGTGTATTTTCAATACAGTTTTTAAAATCATGTTTGTATTTTGTAAATATCTTCTCACAGTGTGTCTTGTCTTTTTGTTCTCTGAATAGGGTTTTTCATAGTAGAAAATTTAGTTTTATAAAGTCTGTTCTCAGTATTTTCACGAATTGGCACTTGATGCTGTGTGTTAAAACTCAACACCAGATCGAATGTCTCTTAGGTTTTCTTTTAGATTATTTATAGTTTTGCATTTGAAGTTGTAGTCTCTGGACTATTTTGAGTAGGTTTTTGTGTTTTAATTTGTGTATAGAGTCATTTCATTCTATATGGCTTCCAAATAATTCTTCCATCACCATTTATGGGAAGGATATGGATATAGTGGCCTTTATTTCGGTTTGAATTTCCAAAATTATGACACTGAATAAACTGAATATTGAATTTTATAGGTATTTCAGGACAGCCAGGAGGGGGCGCACATCCGCCGAGAAACTGTGAGCAAGAGCGTCTGTGCTGAACCATGGCGCCACCAGAGGGCGCGCGATCCCGCCGCAACCAACTTCCCGCTGAGGTGCCAGAAGCAGCGAGGAGCTTCGACTTCCTCAGGGCAGCACGGGGGTCGCGTTAACTTGGTGTTCTTCATTGGTGAGTAAAAAGCTCCTGTCCACGGCCCTGAGTGCCAAGGAGTGAGTCTTTAGAGCACTCAGCAGAGGAAGAAATTCATCTAGAAAAATAAAACCCCCAAATCTCACTGTTTGGACTACACCCTAATATCATTGTCAACGTCCAAGACACAGTGGCTGTTAATATATATTCTTACAGTGGCCTCTAATATAATAATCACACTGTGCCCTACATTACTATGATATCCACATCGTGTCCTAACACCTATATAATATTCACACCATGCGCTAACACTGATGTAATCCACAACATCGCTTCCAATACTAATGTAATAATATCCACACCATGCCCTATCACTGATCTAGTCCACACCATCGCTTCCAATACTAATGTAATAATATCCACACCATGCCCTATCACTGATCTAGTCCACACCATCGCTTCCAATACTAATGTAATAATATCCACACCATGCCCTATCACTGATCTAATCCACACCATCGCTTCCAATACTAATGTAATAATATCCACACCATGCCCTATCACTGATCTAGTCCACACCATCGCTTCCAATACTAATGTAATAATATCCACACCATGCCCTATCACTGATGTAATCCACACCATCGCTTCCAATACTAATGTAATAATATCCACACCATGCCCTATCACTGATGTAGTCCACACCATCGCTTCCAATACTAATGTAATAATATCCACACCATGCCCTATCACTGATCTAATCCACACCATCGCTTCCAATACTAATGTAATAATATCCACACCATGCCCTATCACTGATCTAGTCCACACCATCGCTTCCAATACTAATGTAATAATATCCACACCATGCCCTATCACTGATCTAATCCACACCATCGCTTCCAATACTAATGTAATAATATCCACACCATGCCCTATCACTGATCTAATCCACACCATCGCTTCCAATACTAATGTAATAATATCCACACCATGCCCTATCACTGATCTAATCCACACCATCGCTTCCAATACTAATGTAATAATATCCACACCATGCCCTAACACTGATGTAATCCACACCATCGCTTCCAATACTAATGTAATAATATCCACACCATGCCCTATCACTGATCTAGTCCACACCATCGCTTCCAATACTAATGTAATAATATCCACACCATGCCCTATCACTGATCTAGTCCACACCATCGCTTCCAATACTAATGTAATAATATCCACACCATGCCCTAACACTGATCTAATCCACACCATCGCTTTCAATACTAATGTAATAATATCCACACCATGCCCTATCACTGATCTAGTCCACACCATCGCTTCCAATACTAATGTAATAATATCCACACCATGCCCTAACACTGATCTAATCCACACCATCGCTTTCAATACTAATGTAATAATATCCACACCATGCCCTATCACTGATCTAGTCCACACCATCGCTTCCAATACTAATGTAATAATATCCACACCATGCCCTATCACTGATCTAGTCCACACCATCGCTTCCAATACTAATGTAATAATATCCACACCATGCCCTAAGACTAATGTAATATCTGCACCATTCCCTAACACCAATACAATATCCACACCATTCCCTAACACTAATCTAGACACCCATACCATGCCCTAACACTAATATATTGACACAATGGCCTCTAATACTAATAAATATAATAATATCTACTACGTGGACTCTGTTGACATTGAGACTTTTTTAAGGGTTTTACAGCTTTGGCTGAACTATAGCCTCTGCAATGGATTTTGATGATGTGTCTGCTTTCCTGGCATGGTATTGACATGGTTGTTTTAAAAAGTAACTTATTTTCCAATAATGTCATATTTCTAGGCAACTTCCAGTAGTAGTACAAAGTACAACTTGTTTCTTCCCTTAGATTCCCCAACAGTTATTGCTGTACCAGATTTGCAGTGTCCCACAAAATACTCCGGTATATTGTACTGAAAACATGGACACTCTCCCAGGTAACTACCACATAACCCCTAGATCAGGAAATCAGCATTGTTCCTACATGATAATTCGGTCCACAAACTCACTTCACTTTTACCTCATGCCACACTTGGGAGTATAATGTGTTTTTTTTTTTTTCATTAGGATCCAGTTTTCTTTTCCTGGAACTGTTCCCCAGACTTTCCTGCATATTTATGACCTTGACACATTTAAAGAGCATACAGGTTTTTGTTTGAACAGTTGTTTTCAGGTCTTTGGGGTATATACCTAGGAATGGAATCATTGACTCATATGGTAAATCTATTTGTAACTTCATGAGGAAACATCAAATTATTTTACACGTAGGCTGCACCATTTCATATTGTCACAAGCAGTGTTTAAGAGTTCAAGTTTCTGCACATCTTTGTCAACACTTGTTATTTTTTAGTATAACTATTCTTGTGTGAGTTAAGGGTTATCTCTTTATGGTTTTAATTATGGTAATGATGTTAAGCATCTTTTCATGTGCTTGTTGGTGAAGTGTGTATTAAAGTCTTTTGTCAATTTTTAGATTGGGTTGTCTTTGCTATGGAGTTGTAAAAGTTCTTTATACATTCTGGATAACAGACACTGATGAAGTATCTAATGTGCAGACATTTTCTTCCATTTTATAGGTTGTTGGAACGTAATAAGAGTTAATGTGTGGTCTCTGCTGCAGTGTCCTGAAACAGAGCGCTAAGCCTTGGGAATGTACGAAGTAATGTGTGTTTCGTATGCTAATGAAATGATTGATGGCTGGGGGCACCTGGACACCCTCAGTGGGGCTGGCTGCCAAGGGAAGCAACCTTGTCATGAGAGAATTTGAAATTTCTTCCCCCGTCCCGTCTCTGTGAAGGGGAGAGGTGCTGATGGTTGAGTTGATCACCTATGGCCACAGACGTAACCAATCTGCCTGTGTAATAAAGGACAGGGTTGGGAGAGCATCTGTGTTGCTCTCCCAACACAGGAGATACTGGGAGGATCATATCTGGCGAGGGCATGGGAGGCCTGCATTCCTTCCATGTACCTCACCTTGTGCCTCTCTTCATCTGGCTTTTCATTTGTAGTGTTTAAAAGATCCTTGGTAATGAGTCAGGAATAGTAAGTACACTGCTTTCATGGGTTGTGTAATGTGATGTAGCAAATTGCTGAACCCAATAAGGGTGTTGTGGGAGCCTCCAATCTGTAGCAAAGTCAGACAGAAGGTAACCTGGGAACCTACTGTTTCTGGTTGGCATCTTAAGTGGTTACAGTCTTGTAACTGAGTACCCATATTTTCTTAAAGAAGAAATGAATTAGTTTTACCATTTTGCTGTTCCTGCATTTAGCTCTTTAGGAATGCAATTATAAGCTTTACTGTCTCTCCACCAGACACTTCCTATACTGCAAACTTTTCCAACTGTGTGATTACTTGTAAGTTCCAGGGACCAAACCTTGAAACAAACTGGCACTTCCATATCTCTCCCCCACCAGGAGATTGGCAGCAGACAACAGTCAATTTACAACCTGGCTCTGCCCGTGATGGTGCTAGCAAGACCACCTAATGGAGAAAACATCAGAGCATGTCCCATAGACCCCGCACCTCCTCACCTCATCCCCTGCATGCCATTCTGGCAAGTCCGAAGGCCCCGCTTTCTGCCCAGAAAGTGGAAGCGCTTCCCTTAAGGCAAGAGCCTGTACGTTCCCTTCAGCTAAGCTCTGGCATAAAGTCACTTTCTTTTTACCATCCTTGTGTTTGTCATTTAAATTTGCAAGCAACAAGGGGCATGATGTGTATTCCTAGGACTGAGCCCTTAGCCTATGGGGTCTGATGCTTTCTCCATTTACTGTCACAATTGGATTGCACTGTAGGACACCCAGCTGGTACCCAAGATTTGGTCTGTGTGGGGAAAAAACCCATGTATCTGGTAACAGAAGTGTTCTGTGTTGAGTGTTGAGAGTATACTATAAGACAGTTGTTTTTCCTATTATAACATTTTGTCTTTCAACTTTTTTCTTCATGTCTTCTGAGACGTAAAAGTTGTAAATTTTGAGGAAATAAATTGATTTATTTTTCCTTTTGTGGTCTGTGCTTTTGGTGTCAGATGTAAGAAACTATTGCTACATGTAAGGTCATGAATGCTTAACTGTATGTTTTCTTCCAGAGTTTTTAGTTTTCACCTGTTTTGGTCTTCGATCCATTGTAAGTTAATTTTTTATGTGGTATGAGGTAAGGATACAATTTCATTTCCCTTTATGTGGATAGCAAGTTGCCTTACATCACTTGTTGAGGACAGGATTCTTTCCCCAATTTACTGGTAATGGACCTTGTCTAAAATCAGTTGAGCATAGAGGTATTGTTTTCTGTCTGGACTCCCAATTCAATTCAGTTGATCTTTCTGTTTATTCCTGTGCAAGGATCCCACTGTTTTTATTACTGTTCCTTTGTAATAAAATTTGAAATTGGGATGTGATCAGGATCAGCTTATCCACTTCTGTCCCAAGGCCTTTGGGATTTTTGTAGGAATAACATCGAATCCACGGATTGCTTTGTGTACTTTGGGAAACTTAACAATGTGGTCTACAAATCCACAAATAAGATACATTTTTACATTTATTGGAAGTTTAATTTCCTTAAGTAATGTCTTATAATTTCCCTCATCTAAGTCTTGTCGTTTCATTCCATTTATTCCTAAGTATAATATTGCTATTGGTATTGTTTAAGGTAGAATTTTCATAATTTGGTTTAGAGATTATTCATTCCTAGCATATACATATAAAATGGAATGTTTGGCCAGGCACCCGGGCTCATACCTGTAACCCAAGCAGGTTGAGAGGCTGAGGAAGGGTTAGGGTTAGGGTTGGGGTTGGGGTTGGGGTTGGGGTTAGGCTTAGGGCTTAGGGCTTAGGGCTAGGGCTAGGGCTAGGGCTAGAGTTAGGGTTGGGTTAGGGTTGGGTTAGGGTAGGGTTAGGGTTAGGGGTTAGGGGTTAGGGTTCGGGTTTGGGTTATGGTTAGGGTTCGGGTTCGGGTTCGGGTTTAGGGTTCAGGTTTATGGTTCGGGTTAGGGTTCAGGTTAGGGTTTTAGGGTTAGGGTTTTAGGGTTAGGGTTAGGGTTAGGGTTAGGGTTAGGGTTAGGGTTAGGGTTAGGGTTTTAGGGTTAGGGTTAGGGTTAGGGTTAGGAGCTAGGGTTAGGGTTGGGTTAGGGTTAGGGTTAGGGTTAGGGTTAGGATTAGGAGCTAGGGTTAGGGTTGGGTTAGGGTTAGGGTTAGGGTTAGGGTTTGGGTTAGGATTAGGGTTAGGGGTTAGGGTTAGGATTAGGGGTTAGGGTTAGGGTACTGTAAATAATTTCACATTATTACTAATAATAAATTATTATTTGTATTACACTATTACATAATGTAAAGGCTATTAAGACATGTTTGTCTTCAAAGAATGGCCTTGGTTTCTGTGGGCAGTGCCTCCTCATGGAAGGGTAATGCATTCCTGCTAAATCATGGACTAAACGGGCTTCCAGGAGCTACAGGCTGCAGCAGCAGCTTCTCCTCTACGTCCTTCACTGCCTCAAACTTTTGTTGACTTTGAAAGCTTCTTTCAGTCTAGTTTTATCAACAGAGCTAGTATTTCATGAGGTTCTACTACATACCAGGTTCCAGAAAGCTAAATGCCTTTTGTTTGTTATTATTCTCTAAATACAAATCACAACTCTCTCCTCATTACTCACACAACAAAATTTAGCTGCGGGAGATTGAGTGACTTTCCCAGGGTCACATAGCTACTAAGAGCAGAGTCGTGTTTAGATTCATGTGGGAATATTGAACACAGAAATGAACCAGTGGAAACATCCTACGTTCCAAAAGCCTACTCAAGCTATTTGTTCTTATTTTAAGGAAAATCTTTATGCTAATTTTAAACTCCAAATACTTACGAATGGCAGAGATCTACAGATTTGATTCTGATGTAAGAAATGATGGTCACCAGCTGGTTACTGCTACCACCCCACAACCCTGAGCATACTGGACGAATGTCTAAGCCTTGTGGTTAGTGGGGACAATGCTGGTGGAGTCTGAAGTTGTCATGCAGTGACTCATGCAAGCTTAGGCAGATTTGGTGATATATGACACAGAGATGCAAAGAAATGTTGTAGCTGACACACACAGGCTGGCTCTGGGAGATGCAGAAGGAGCACGTCACCCAAAATAGAGCCAGACAGACATCCTTAAGGAAGGAGCAAAGGGGCTGCATCTTAAAGAATGTAGAAAGGATTTGTCATGAGAGATGGGGCAGGAAGTTCTTGAGAGGCAGAGGGAGAGCATGAGAATGTTGGGAAGGGAGGAGAGATTCTTGCACATCTGGGAAGCTGACAATCCATCAGCATGGCCAGAAGGAAAATAAGGAGGAGGAGCAGAAATAGATGAGGCTGGATATAGAAGCAGGGCTGAAGCTGTGTCAATTGTGGTAAAGAGTTGTGATTCTATCCAGAACGCAATAGGTAGCATTCTAAACAGAGATCTTTTAAAACAAGAGTCAGCAAGTATTTTCTGCAAGGGGCTAAATGTTAAATATTTTAAGTTTTCCAAGCCATATGGTCTCTCTCTCAATGACTCAGCTCTTCCATTATACCATGAAAGTAGCCAGAGACATTATGTAACACATGTATTGGTTGTGTCCCATTACAACTTTACTTACAAACGCAGACTGTGTCAGACATGGTCCATGCATGGTAGTTTGCCACACTCTGTTTTAGAAAGCTCAGGTTTATGATGTGATGGAGAATGCCCACAAGAGCTCTTGTTTTAAACGGTAGAGTGAACATACACTGGAATTCTATCCTGCTTGACACAAGCTCTTGATAGCAAAAGGTAGAAAAGATAGATGGTAAATAGATAGATAGATGATAGATAAAGAAAATACATAGCTGTTCCAGAAAACAGAAATGGATAACTTCATGAACCAAAAGCAGAGTAATATACTTTAGAAAGGAAGCAGGCCGGAAAACCCACAGTTGCAAAACAAATAGAATTTCCAACTGCCTCTTGTAGCCCCTTCCTGGAAGTAGTCACAGCCCGGGGTGTTCAACTTCTTCCTCTGTTTTTTGTTTGTTTGTTGTTTGCTTTTCTGTGGGGTTTTTGTTGTTGTTGTTTGCTTTTAAAAAAAAAATTCCCTTTCCCTGCTTTTTTGTCACAGCAGCCTTTGTCACTTCAAACACCGCAAGTGTTCTTTAAAAAAAATTATATCAACCTTTCAATTCAAATGCAACATGTCTGAAACTTGGTATCTGGAGAGGTGAGTTGGACAAAGGAGCCCTTGTTACTGCACGTTTTCATTCTTCAAATTTCACCTTGCACGCAGTAACAGACAGTGCACAAAGCCACTTCCTTATGGACGGAAATTCTGAAATCCTTTTATGCCTGGCCTTTCCATCCTTCAACTTCCCCTCTCCCACGCTGTGAATGATTGTATTGGACATTTTTGTTTTAATGTCAGTGACAGGGGAACACAGGTAGCTCTAATATAGCTGTGACCCAGATGCTTCTGTTTCTAGCATGTATTTATTTTGTAGCAAACATTTACATCCATGATGTTTCACTGTCTTTTGAAAATAATTAGGCAATATCTCATCTGAGGTAGGATGTTTCTAGGGGTTGTGTTCTGAGGGAGGAAAACTAATCTGTTCTCTTTCCACTGCATTCTAGGAACAGTAAGAGGACCTTGTGCATGAATAATTTGTTTCCACACTACAGAGTGGGTAATAAGCAGATTAGTAAAAACAGTTCTGCTTCACTTCAATAACAGCCTCCTCCAACTCATTTTTTCTCAACAAACTTATTTTTCCAGCAGAAGAATCCCAGACTTCTTAGAGAACCCAGTGACTTTTTGCACCTTAAATCTGTGAAATCCTTATGTTTTCTTCTGCTGTATCCATAGTTCAAACAAAGATGAGGCAAAGCTAGACGCATTCCTGAAGGAACCCAAGAAATTCCTCTCTTTCTTTCTCTGGAATGAAATGAATTCTCTAGACCACCAGTTCTAACCTTCAAAAACCAAACCTGTTTGTGAGATCTCCTTCAAATACTACTGTAGACCCCAGTGTTTATTCATTAAATTTTTTAAATATTTGTTTTATTTGGAATCCATGTATTTGTAATTTTAGTGTTTGTATTAATATCAGGGAGAAATGTTTAAATCTGTCTTATGCCATATGTGCCTCTGGCTTATTGCCCAATTAATTGTAGTCTCAGGCTAAACTTTGGTTTCTGTCTTTAATTTTTGTCAGAAGAAATATAACTGATCTCAAAACATCTGCTTTTATTGTAGGGGCTTGTGCTGCCGTCTCCATTCTTCTCTCTTTTCTTGCAATCTGGGTGGAAGTTCTTTAATATGAACATTTCAACCACCTTCATTCTACCATGTCCACTATCAGCACATTCAAACTGATCCAGCCAAGGCTGTCATCTTAGGCCAGGGATTTTTTAGGAATCTATTTTGCTGTGATGCGGCTGGCACCCCTTTGACTCACTGTATCACCCCAGGGTTCTTTTCATTTCAGAAGCCCAAGAGGGCAGAAAAAGAAGTAGGTGAGCAATTAAACACTCTGAGTCAGGAGTGTCTCCCCTTGCGTTAAGCAATGTTGTAGAACATCGATGTTCTACATCGATGTTGGCAACCTTGGTACCATTTTGTCCACCTGATTGGAAAAGCCAGTCAATAATTTCAGGTCACTGTTGGCCTTAGAAGAAGAGCCCAAAGGCAACAAGCAAAGGCGCTGGTGTCCAGTCGCCTTCTAGAAGCATTTTCACTTTCCCTTAAGGTTTCCCTTGATGAACATAGAAGTACTGTATGTAGAATTGACCCAGTGCTGCCCTGGCAACTTTGTATATTAGGCCAAATTTACATTTCTTACCTTTATGAGAGGCACCCTGGTAGGCTAGTGGAGTTACACACAAAGTCTGATCTCAGCTGCACTGTCCAGAAATGCAACACGGTCCAATCAAATAACATTCTCTGAGCCTGTTTCTTTAGCTGTGAAAGAAGAATAACATACCCATCTAAAAAGGCAGCTTATTGTATTTGATTGGTCTTTTATTTTCTATGAAACTGTGTTTAACACAGTAATTATTTTCATTTGTGTACTACATTTGTGTTGTGTTTTTGGTTTTAGTTTTGTTTTTGAAATGGAGTCTTTTTTTTAGTGGTTTTTTGTTTTGTTTTGTTTTGTTTTGTTTTTGAGATGGAGTCTTTCTATTGTCACCCAGGCTAGAGTGCAGTGGCGTGATCTCTGCTCACTGCAACCTCCACCTCCCAGGTTCAAGTGGTTCTCCTGCCTCAGCCTCCTGAGAAGCTGGGATTACAGGTGCCCACCACCATGCCCAGCTAATTTTTAAAATATATTTTTAGTAGAGATGGGGTTACAACATGTTGCTCGGGCTGGTCTCAAACTACTGACGTCAAGTGATCCACCTGCCTTGGCTTCCCAAAGTGCTGGGATTATAGGCATGAGCCACCGCGCCTGGCTTGTTTTAAAATAAGGGTTTCTTGGCTAGGCATGGTGGCTCACACCTGTAATCCCAGCACTTTGGGAGGCCAAGGTCAGTGGATCACCTGAGGTCAGGAGTTCGAGACCAGCCTGACCAATATGGAGAAACCCTGTCTCAACTGAAAATACAGAATTAGCCAGGCGTGGTGGTGCATGCCTGTAATCCCAGCTACTCAGGAGGCTGAGGAAGGAGAATTGCTTGAACCCAGGGGGCAGAGATTGCAGTGAGCTGAGATCGCACCATTGCACTCCAGCCTGGGCAACGAGCAAAACTCTGTCTCAAAATAAAAAAAAGATTTCTTAAAATGATATTTTCAGTATTTTATAGATGATGTGTAAGCAGCAAGCTTAATAGGATGTTACCCGACACTTTGCGAGACTGGCAGCTGATTTGATCCAGATGTCTCTAATTCTTTTTTCTTTTTCTTTTTCTGTTTTTTTTTTTTTTGACAGAGCCTTGCTCCGTCCCCCATGCTGGAGTGCAGTGGCACGATCTCGGCTCACTGCAACCTCCACCTCCCGGGTTCAAGCGATTCTCCTGCCTCAGGCTCCCGAGTAGCTGGGATTACAGGCGCGCGCCACCATGCCCAGCTAATTTTTTGTATTTTTGGTAGAGACAGCATTTCACCATGTTGGCCAGGCTGGTCTCGAACTCCTGACCTTAGGTGATCTGCCTGCCTCGGCTTCCCAAAGTGTTAGGATTACAGGCGTCAGCCACTGTGCCTGGCCCAGATGTCTCTAATTCTAACATGAGACGTATTGCAGGATCATAGCAGAGTGAGTTGCTGATGTATCCAGAAGGAAACGAGCATGGAACACTCACGACAGCTGTCCTGAGAAGTGTGTGTGTGCTGTGCTTGAATATCTCACTGCTCATTTATACACAGGCTTTCTGGTGACTGAGTTAACAGTATCTGTTTCATAAATAATGTAGCCCTCTTTCTTTCTTTCTCTCTCTCTCTTTTTTTTTTTTTTTTTTTTTTTTTTTGAGACAGGGTCTTGCTCTGCTACCCAGGCTGGAGTGCAATGGTGCAGTCTCAGCTCACCGCAACTTCACCATGCCTGGCTAATTTTTTCTTTTTTTTTTTTTTTGAGACGGAGTTTCGCTGTTTTTGCCCAGGCTGGAGTGCAATGGCACAATCTCGGCTCACCACAATCTTTGCCTTTTGGGTTCAAGGGATTCTCCTGCCTCAGCCTCCCGAGTAGCTGGGATTACAGGCATGTGCCACCACACCCGGCTAATGTTGTAGTTTTAGTAGAGACGGGGTTTCCCTATGTTGGTTAGGCTGGTCTCAAACTCCTGACCTCAGGTGATCTACCCGCCTCGGCCTCTCAAAGTGCTGGGATCACAGGCATGAGCCATCACTCCTGGCCTAATTTTTGTATTTTTAGTAGAGAGAGGGTTTCACTCTGTTGGCCAGGCTGGTCTCGAATTCCTGACCTCAAGTTATCTGCCTGCCTCGGCCTCCCAAACTGTTGGAATTACAGGCGTGAACCACCATGCCTGGCCAGCTCTATTTCTTTAAGCCTACATGTTTTGCACTTGTTAAAAGTATTTGAACATACAATTACTCAGCTTCCCTTGTTTACGCGTGAATTTTGTAGAATCTTAAATATTTTTTCCAATCTAAGCTTTATTTTATCCCGTTTCTTCTATATTTGTATAACTTTAGGCGGCTATCTTCATTGAAAGTTTTTTCTCAAAAGCCTTAAGATAGAACGTAGTTCTTGGCAGCAATTTGAAAGTTATTTGAGGAGAAGGGGAGACTTACAATGATGATTCAAATGAAGGAAACTAAAAAGTAATGAAGCAAGGCAGAGGAAAAAGCAGTACTCACTTGAGCACATCCCAAAAGAAAAACATTTCAAATGTAACTAGAAAAAAATATGCTGAAGTTCGCAATACAGAAATAATTATTAATAAGATAGCTTTAAAGCCCTGCTCAGCTTTTGAATGTTGGGAATTGACCCAGAGGTGGCTGTAACCTAAGATGGTTCCTTCAGTAATGACCATTTTTTCTTTTTCAAGATGATGATTATTCCCCACCTTCTAAGAGACAAAGACCAACGAGCCACCACAGCCACCAGTCCCAGAACCCGCCAATGCTGGGGAACGGAAAATGAGGGAGTTCAACTCTGGTAAGTTCTCAGCGAAATCCATGACCTTTTCCTTTATCTTCTGGACTCTCAGTGTGACTGATGAAAGTTACCACATGCTCTGCAGGGGGAAATGGTTTAGCATGTGTTACTACATCTTAATCACATCTTTGTAAAGCCAGGAGCATTTTACAAGTCACGTTACAGACATTGTTTAAACATAGTCTGTATTTACCAAAGTATAGGACATTGTATCATCTCATATTAATTAGTTAGTTGGCTCAAAATTAGTGCTAATGACTTAGTAATTCAGTGATTTCTGTTAGCTTTAAAACCTTTATTTCAGAACTATTTCACCTCTTGGTTTTCATTTTTGCGGTGTGTCACTGCCTGCTGGCTGCTAATTTATTAACTCCCAGTGAATCATGTCCTGTGAAGGGACTGAATATTAGTGGCAATGTATGTTGATGATTTGTATTTTGAATAAATAGTTTGAATACATAGAACATTAAGCTTGTATACATTTTGAAAATAGTATTTTAATATTCTACTGTGTCATAGTTACAATGATTGGATATATATTGAATTTATATGTACTTTAAGTTGTTCTATGTTTATGGTCTTTAGCATTCTAACGTGCAATTGTATATCTGTTAAGTCTTTTTTTTTTCGAGATTAGACTGATTTATTGAGGCGTCTGTTTGATGCCACATGAAGTGGCCCAGGCTTTGTGTAGGGGTTGAGGTTAAAGCAGGAAGAAGGGTGGTGAGAGGCGGGGCACCAGGGTTAGGTTGGAATACCTGGGGGTGCTCTGAGGCTCCCCAAGTTTCCCTGGTCTTGGCCGGCTGTGCTGCTGGCCTGGGCATCTGATGGGCCTGCAAGGGTGGTCCAGGGGCTAGGGCAGGGACTTTGGAGTCACGCCGTTGGCTTTGAATCCAGACTCCTACACTTGGTAGCTGTGAACTCTCCATGCCTCAGGGACCTGCAGAACTGAGCTCTGTCTGAGCCAGGTTCCATCCAGGCACTGCGCATCCATCCAGAGGGGCACTGCCTCAGGCTGCTCGCTGTTCACTGCCTTCTCAAGCAGACCCTTGTCTCCTTCTAGGCCCTCACAATCCAGTGGAGGAGACGAAACTCATCTGCCTCTGTCCCTCTGGGCACGCCTCATGCCAGGTGCATCTGTGGACAGGGGCCATGCTCCTGGGCTTCCAAAGTTGGAGAAAGCTGCCAGGCTCAGGTGGGTACATCACAGCAGCTGCTGCCCTCTGAACACAGTGACAAAAGAACACTCTGGGCCTGGAGCCCTGGTCTGGGGCATTGGGCAAGGCTGTTGCACTTCTCTGATCCCATTTCCCCATCTGGAAAGTGCGCTGATTGTATCTCCCTGTGGGCACTGAGGGCTCAGTGTTAGTTTGAGAGCCAGCATCTGGGGTTTGGGCTGTAATTCCCCGTCAGCCCCATAGCTGCGGGGAACCAGGGACTTTGTTGGGATTACCCTAGGCATCAGTTTAGCTTCCTGCCCCTGGCTTGGGCTCAGCACCTGAAGTAGTCTAGGGGGTAGGTGGTGCTGGTGGGGGCTGGGGCTTTTACCCAGACTGAGGTCACACCCAGAGCCAGAAGTCTTGGTGCCTGCTCTGGGCAAAGGTGCCAGCCTGTGTGACAAGAGCGAAACTCCGTCTCCAAAACAAAAACAAAAAACCTTGCATCATTTCAAGGGGCTCACACCTCCCTAAGGGCCTGGTAATTGGCGGGCTCTGGCCTGCATCTGGCCCCGAGGGTGTAGGTAACACCCCACCTTACCTGGTTTCTTCCTGCCAGGGCCAATCTTCAGACCTCAGGACTTTACAGCCTATCCCACCTCCCCTCTGGCCAGCCTTGAGCCCTTGTGGGTCCAGCACTTTTTCCAGGCTGTCTCCTGGTTGTCCTTCTGCCTTGAGGCCTGGCTCATGCTGCTCCCCCTCCCACTCTCCAAGACCCACAAGGACCACTCCACACCCAGCTCAGCCCCATCCCCTCAGATAGTCCTTTCTCTTTCCTCAGGTGGCCAGGTGCATATCTTGGTGTGAGGACCTTCGCTGTATCTGGGAATGCCTACTGGTTACCTTGGTAACAGAGAACAAGGCATTTACCTGATATGAGTGTCTTGGTTCACTGTCTACATGGCTAGGGAGGGAATCAATAATAGGCTTTTCACTTGCTGCAAGGGCCGGTTCTCCTGGCCCCATGGCTCTAGGGATGGAGGACGCTGCAGGAGATGCAGCGCTCACTTCCTAGCTGAGGACTGTGGGTCATCTCAGGGCGATTTCACAGTCCCCACATGCCCCACCCCCTCAGCTCTGCAAATACCAAGCAGTGCAGCCTGCCTAGGGGATGATGGGCTCGAGAGTGCCCAGGTAGTGCCCAGAGTGCCCTTGGCAGGCCCCTCACCTGGCTGCTTCCACAGCTCTGTAGCAAGAGTTCTAACCTTTTTTCACCGTGAAGCCTGCTGAGAATAAGAGCTGTGGACTGTTTTCCCAGAAAGGCATGTACATGCTCTCCACACAAAACCTTTCATTGTGGCCAAGCACAGTGGCTGATGTGATCCCAGAACTTTGGGAGGCGGAGCCAGTCGGATCACCTGAGGTCAGGAGTTCAAGACCAGCCTGCCCAACATGGCGAAACCCTGTCTCTACTAAAAATACAAAAAATTAGCCAGGCGTGGTGGCAGCCACCTGTAATCCCAGCTACTCCAGAGGCTGAGGCAGGAGAATCACTTGAACCTGGGAGGCGCAGGTTGTAGTGTGGTGAGATCACGCCACTGCACTCCAGCCTGGGCGACAGGAGTGAAACTCTGTCTCAAAAAACAAAACAAAACAAAACCTTGCATCCTTTCAGGGGGCTCACACCTCCATAAGGGCCCAGTAATTAAACCCTTTGGGCCTGAGGGTGAGAAACTTTGTCCCAGTTCTTCCCCAAGTGATCAGCCCAGGGGTAAGGAAGGAGAAGCCAGAAAGCAGGACCCATGAGAAGGGCCCCCTCCTGGAGTTTGAGGCCCACTCCCTCCTACCCCTGCCTCTCCTCTGTCCAGGACTCCTCCCTGCTCTGCCCCACTCCTGGGGCCATAACCATGGGGAGCTGTGGTTTTCTACAGGCCCCTGGGCACAAAGTGGGCAGGCTCACCTGGAGGCGATCAGAGTAACATGGCAGGAAGTGAGGGGGAAAGCCGCCCTGGAACTGTGCCTCTCTGCCCCCTGACGTCACTGGCGTGCACTCCTCCCTCCCCTCAGGCAGTGGCATGAGTTCCATGTGAGCGCTGTCCTGCTCCCTCTGCTGCCTCTTTTTTTTCTTGGGGCTGCCATAACACTTTCCCTTCCCCAGCCCTGCCAACCTGGTGGGACATTGGGCTTCCCTCTCACAGGGTCCTGGGGACAGGCCCATCCTTTATCATACACACAGAGAGACCGTTTTTTTCTTCAGAACCTGGGGAGCAGCCAGGTTCCATGAGTTAAATGCAGATCTGAACCAAGCTGGGATTGGGGTACACACTCTCCTCTACTGAAAAGTAGCTAGGGATTCCAACTAGGTGAGAAGGAGAGTGGGGCAGAGCCAGACCAGACAAGGACTGATCACCTGGAAAAAGCCTGCCATCAAAGGTCTTGGCAAATGCTGGGTGCAGTGGCTCACTCCTGTAATACCAGCACTTTGCGGGGCTGAGACAGGTGGACTACTTGAGGCGAGTTCGAGTCCAGCCTGGGCAACATGGCAAAACCGCATCTCTACTAGAAATACAAAAATTAGCTAGGCATGCTACACTCCTGTCATCCCAGCTACTCAGGAGACTGAGGCAGGAGAATCACTTGAACTGGGGAGGCAGAGGTCGAAGTGAGCCGAGATTGTGCCCCTGCACTCCAGTCTGGGAGACAGAGTGAAACTGGCCTCAAAAAAAAAAGAATATGGCCTTGGCAGAGAGGGGCCAGCCCAGTAGTGCCTTCCCTTGGGTTTCTCCTGGGTAGGCCTCTGCCATGAGGAGGTGCTTCCTTCTGCCTGTCCATGGCCCACAGCAATGGAATGTCTGTTTCTGGGGGTTGGGTGGGAGAGTGCTGGCAGAACTGGAAACCTTCAGGTGGGGTTTTTTTGTTTTGTTTTGTTTTCGAGATGGAGCGTCGCTCTGTCACCCAGGCTGGAGTGCAGTGGTGGAATCTCAGTTCACTGCAACCTCTGCCCCCCTGGGTTCAAATAATTCTCCTGTCTCAGCCTCCTGAGTAGCTGAGATTACAGGCATGTGCCACCATGCCCGGCTAGTTTTTGTATTTTTTGTATAGATGGCATTTCACCATGTTGGCTGGGCTGGTCTCGAACTCCTGACCTCAAGTGATCCACCCATCTCGGCCTCCCAAAGTGCTGGGATTACAGGCATGAGCCACTGAGCCCAGCCCCTTCAGGGGGGTTTTGAGGCTTCACTACAATACTAGTTTCCTGTGGCTGCTGCAACAAATTACCACACACGTAGTGACTTAAAACAACCAAAATGTATTCCCTTACAGGTCTGAAGGCCAGAATTCTACAGTAAGTCCTACTGAGTCAAGGTGGGAGCAGGGTCGGTAGCTTCCGAGGCTCTGCGGGAGAATCCGTTTCCTGGCCGTAGAGGTGGCCTGCACTCTGCAGCTTGTGCTGCCCGTCTCGAATGACTGGAGTTTCCTGCTTCTGTCACTACACCTCCCACCCTCTCCATCACCTGCTCTGCTCTTACAAGGATCCGAGTGAGTACATCAACCCCAAAAGCCAAAGACCCTTAACTTCATTATATCTGCAAAGCTCCTTTTGCCATATAAGGTCATGTTCACCAGTTCCCGGGATTAGGATATGGGCATCTTGGGGGCATCAGCCTGCTACAGCTAGGCTGCAAAACTGTTACACCCTCCTGGTGTTTCAATGATTGGGAGAAAAGGGGTTGGCATTTTTTGCTTAGGGGTCCCTCTTAAACTTGTATCTGTAAGGTCGGGGGTCCCTCTTAACCTTGTGTTTTTGTTTTTGTTTTTTTTGAGGTGGAGTCTTGCTCTGTCATCCAGGCTGGCAGTGGCGTGATCTTGGCTCACTGCAATGTCTGCCTCCTGGGTTCAGGTGATTCTCCTGCCTCAGCCTCCTGAGTAGCTGGGACTACAGGCGCCCGCCACCATGCCCTGCTGTTTTGTATTTTTGGTAGGGACGGGGTGGGGGTGGGGCTAGGGAGGGGGGTTTTGGCTATGTTGCCCTGAGCTCAAAGTGATCCGCCTGCCTGTGCTGCCAAAGTGCTGGGATTACAGGCCTGCACCACTGCACCCGGCTGCTGTAAAGTCTTATTTCACACAGCTGAGACATGTTTTAGGAAGTTTGCTAAAAGACCCCTGGAGACCGCCTCATTGTGACCTCCCTGTTATTGTGTTTAATTTGATTGAACTTTTCTGCCCTCCTGCTTTTCAGCTTCTCTAATAGTCTCCCATTAAACCAATTCTAAGAACCACCAAGAAGGGGAAATTTTTTCTTGAAAGCAGTAAAATGATATGGACTGTTAGAATGTAAAATATATGAAATCAGTCATTATACGTTAGTGCTGCTCTGACATAGGGACGTGTTATTGAGAAGCAACTTTTGCTTGGTTTTCAGAGAAATGGAATCATCGTATCGCTGATCTACGTAAACAAACTGAAGAATTGTCTGAAAGAAAATATGGTATGTCTAAACTGGAAAAGTCTTGTAATCTTATGTTCATGGGCGTTTACACAGTGGAGTTACTGTTCATCATGGGGGTACCGTGGACAAGCCCAGGGCTGCCGGCGAGTCATGCCATCCTTACATGTTTCTCCTTGTAAGGTGCTTTGTAGTGTCTACACACTTTGTTTCTAGATTGCTGCAAAGCTGAGGAAAAGTTGTATTTCTTTAGTTATTAGTTAGCATTTCTTTTAAACTTTCAGTATGGAGATTGGATATTTATTTACATATTTATTGCAAAGCCCTGGATCTTAGGAATTTCATTGAATTATTTATTTATTTTTTTTGAGACGGAGCCTCACTCTGTCGCCCAGGCTGGAGTGCAGTGGCACGATCTCGGCTCACTGCAACCTCCGCCTCCCGGGTTCAAGCAGTTCTCTGCCTCAGCCTCCCGAGCAGCTAGGATTACAGGCACCAGCCACCACGCCTGGCTGATTTTTGTATTTTTAGTAGAGACGGGGTTTCATGATCTTGGCTAGGCTGGTCTTGAACTGCTGACCTCCTGATCCACTCACCTCAGCCTCCCAAAGTGCTGGGATTATAGGTGTGAGCCACCATGCCTGGCCAAATATTATTTTTTTAAATGAATTGTTTCTCTTAGTCTGCTTTGTTAAATTTGGAATTCATCTGGGCACGGTGGCTCACACCTGTAATCCCAGCACTTTGGGAGGCCAAGGCAGGCAGATATCTAGGTCGGGAGTTCGAGACCAGCCTGACCAACATGGAGAAACCCCGTCTCTACTAAAAATACAAAATTAGACGGGTATGGTGGCACATGTCTGTAATCCCAGCTATTCGGGAGGCCAAGGCAGGAGAATCGCTTGAACCCAGGAGGCAGAGGTTGCAGTGAGGCGAGGTTGGCACCATTGCACTGTAGCCTGGGCAAAAAGAGCAAAACTCCATCTCAAAATAAATAAATAAATAAAATGTTCAGTACTCACCAAGGTGCCCCTGTTGTCTCTACTTTTATCTTGATGCATCACTGAATTGATGTTAGATTTCAAATTCATCATTGCGCTGATACTATTCTATCCTGAAGCCACCTTTATATAGTGATGAAAGAAATTAGCGATTTGTTATTATCCTCTCTCTGTTGATATACATCAAATACTCACCTAAAAAAGAGCAACAACCAGTGGAAAACATGATGTTTTTATTTGGGTGACTATTTACTTGTAACCTACTAGCAAACTACAAAATTGTATGATATGCAGAATTTTAACTGAATTGCTTTAAGTGAACATTTAAACATGATAAACAATATTGATGGTATTTATGTTAATATACTTAAAATGAACATTTTTCTTCATCATGAGTAATATAACCTACTCCTCAATGAAAACCTAGCACTAAATTTGCTAATGAATTCAATAACATTTCCGTAATATTTTTAGTTACATGCTTAAGGTTCTCTTAGTGTTTCTCCCACTTTTTAATAGCTTATGCCTTTTTCACCTTTGGTTTTTTTTTGGTTCATTTTAAAGCAAAAATCTCACAACATGTGATATCTGGAAACACTGTAACCTAGTGGTAAGACCATAGGCCCTGGGGACACAGGCTGGCCACGTCTCTTCTCCTGTCTGAGCTTTAGTATCCTCTTTTGTGGTCATGAGAACTGAAGATCTGTCCCGAAGATTTGATAAGATAGTAAAGTGCTTCACATAATACCAGACATATAAATACACAGTAAATGCTTCCTCCTTATATTTTTATTGATTGATTGATGGAGACAGAATCTTGCTCTCTTGCCCAGGCTGGAATGCAGTGGCATGATAATGGTTTCTGCAACCTCCACCTCCTGGGTTCAGGCAATTCTCCTGCCTCAGCCTCCCGAGTAGCTGGGATTACAGGTGCCTGCCACCATGCCCAGCTAATTATTGTACTTTTAGTACAGACGGGGTTTTACCATGTTGGCCAGGCTGGTCTCGAACTCCTGACCTCATGATCTGCCTGCCTCGGCCTCCCAAACTGCTGGGATTACAGGTGTGAGCCACTGTGCCCAGCCTGTCTTTTCTCTTCACACCCGCAGTTCATGATGAAATATTAAATATGTACTAGTGGATATTACTTTGCTGAATATTGCCTAATGAATATTAAGTATTTATTCTCACCTTTCAGACATGAACTTATGAATTCAACAGGTGAAGATTTACAACTTGATAAATCAACTTTGTCAGGTACGTCTTCAGTCAAGTCAGATTAGAAGATTATGTGAGGTAATTAACACTTAACATTGATTTAATGGTAGCTTCCACATGAAATAGTATGCCTCTAAGTATTAATTATGTCCTAGGACAGGAGAATTCATGTTGTCAAAATTCTCATACTCTCTAGAACAATAAACTCATTTTCTTTTTATTAGTAAATATTGCATTTATGGGTAGACAAAACTGAAAGAACAATATTTGTTCTACTTTTGAGATGCAAGATTCATCTGGCATAATGCATTGAACAGGTTATTATTGAAGTCTACACCAGTCAACTGAATAAGCATTCATCAAATGTCCATGATATGCAGGACATAAGTTTTCTTTTAGAGTATGGAACCATGCATATTATCTTTTAATTAGATGATTTAGTTAGATATGTTTTTAAAGAACTAGAAATATAATTGATTTTCTTGTTTTGGCTCTGGAGTGGAGTGGGGACGAAACAGAATGGATTCACACTTGTTTAGATTTACTAAAATGGAAAGATTGCAGCAAGATCATATCCCTAGTCTCCCTACTCCCTATAGCAAATGTCACCTGCTAGCTGTTTTTTTTTTTTTTTTTTTGGAGGTTGAAGTTTTGTTCTGTCACCCACGCTGGAGTGCAGTGGTATGATCTCAGCTCATGGCAAGCTCACCTCCTGGGTTCAAGCAATTCTCCCTGCCTCAGCCTCCTAAGTAGCTGGGATTACAGGCCTCTGCCACCACGCCTGCCTAATTTTTGTATTTGTAGTAGAGTTGGGGTTTCACCATGTTGGCCAGGCTGGCCTTGAACTCCTGACTTCAGGAGATTCACCCGCCTCAGCCTCCCAAAGTGCTTGGGATTATGGGTGTGTCACTGCACTTGGATTTAATGGGATATTTCACTACAGACTTCGGTAAACAGAATATTAGCATTTTTGGTGTTCTTTTTATTTTACTCATACTGTTTTTCTTTGGACTCAATCACAATAACAGAATTAAAGATCAAAGTGTAAAAGTTAAAGACCAGTACAGATTCAATAATTATTCTTTTCTACATACCGTGTTTAAATGATATCCCTTTTTCTTTTTGTTCTTATAGCTCGAGCTGTAAAAGCCAAAGGTCCGGTGATGATCCCATACCCTTTTTTCCAGTCTCATGTTGAAGATTTTTATGTAGAAGGCCTTCCCAAAGGAATTTTTTTTTTTTTTTTTTTTTTGAGATGGAGTTTTCACTCTTATCGCCCAGGCTGGGGTGCAATGGCGCAACCTTGCTGGTCACTGCAACCTCTGCCTCCTGGGTTCAAGAAATTCTCCTGCCTTAGCCTCCCAAGTCACTGGGATTACAGGTGCCCACCACCACACCAGGCTAATTTTTGTATTTTTAGTGGAGATGCGGTTTCACCATGTTGGCCGGGCCAGTCTCGAACTCCTGACGTCAAGTGATCTTCCCGCCTCGACTCCTGATATCAAGTGATCTTCCCGCCTCGGCCTCCCAGAATGCTGAGATTACAGACGTGAACCCATGCCTGGCCAGGAATTTTGTTTTTTAGGAAGGCTTTCTACTAATGGAATTCCTGGCCTTGAGAGGATGTTACTTTAGAAGGAAAGGATTTTTTTGTTATTAAAAGGTAAGATTCCTGGATTCTTATTGGACTGTTATCTCTGTTATGAGTAATCCATCTTTAGTCATTCACCACTAGGGTTGTATTTAATTAAGTCTGAGTTATTTTATGGTGGTTTTGTTTTGTTTTGTTTTGTTTTTACTGAATTTTGTTCTCATTGCCGTGGCTTGAGGGCAATGACGTGATCTCAGGTCACCACATTCTCTGCCTTCCAGGTTCAAGCAATTCTCCTGCCTCAGCCTCCTTAGTAGCTGGATTTACAGGCATGCGCCACCATGCCTGGCTAATTTTTTGTATTTTTAGTAGAGATGGTGTTTCACCATGTTGACCAGGCTGGTCTAGAACTCCTGACCTTGGGTGATCCACCCGCCTCGGCCTCCCAAAGTGCTGGGATTACAGGCATGAGCCACTGCGCCCAGCCTGGGCCTGCTTCTTTCTCTTTTTCTTTTTTTTTCATTAGCAGCTTAAAATTGGTGCCTTATTCAGACACAAGCAGAAGGACATTAGCCCAGCTTTGGAAATAGGTGAGAGCCCATATATGATTTTCCTAGTTTCTCCTCCCCCTTTGCTTTTTGCTCTCTTGTTAGTATATTAATTGTTTTCACTCTCTGAATCTTTTTTCCCCATTTCTTTGGCAGTCATTTTTACTTGTCTTGGAAGAGTAGGTGAAGAGCTGTTTTTAGGACTCTTTGAAAGGGTACAGTATGGGTGACAGTCTTGGCTAATGGTAACATCCAGGGAGCTGGGGTCAGCGTGAGCTGGAATCAGTTCAAATTAGCAAAGCACTGGCACTCAGTGGCAGGAATACAAGTGACTGCAAAGTGTTAAACACATCTGGAAAGGGATAATGACATCATCCTCAGAATCTGTGGGGAGTTCACATAGCCAGTTAGGACCCATTCTTCTTTGACCCTATAAAGATTCTTTAAAGAATAAATACCCTTAGTGGTTTTCTAGCCAGCTTGCCTGCTCATTTATCTTTGAGGACGACATGCCTTGTGGAGCTCCACAGGCCCCAGAGGGGTATGGATTCTGCATTTAAAAGTGCTGAAGCTGAGAGACTGGGTCTTGGTGGACCCCGAGAGGTCTGTTTCTCCTCTACTCATTGTTCCTTTTTTTCCCAACAGCTGGCATTGCTGTTTAAATGGGTTGTTCTTTGCTGTTTTAAGTTGTTTCATAGTGGTGTGTCAGGATTTGGGTTTTCTTAATACTTTCCAAGCTGGTGACTTGAGTGGTGGTTAGGGAGGAAATGTTTTAGGGCTGTTCTGGAGCTATTGAGGTCAGGTGTCTAGATACTCCCAGCTTGTCTGTTGAGGAGAATGCTGTTCTCATTGTGCTGCCTTTGGTGGTGCTGTGTGTGGCTCTTTAGATGTGCATGGAGGTGAGCTGGGGGAGTTAATGAGATCTTTTTTAGGTGCTTTTGATAAAGTAGCCTGCACTACAGGATTCACTGTGACTTTTTTCCTTAACCTATGCATTTCTCTCTGCTAGCTTTTGCTGTCTTTCTCATGCCTTTGATTTTCCCAGCTCCTCTTAGTTGAATTAACCTAAGTGCTCTGCTGTGGTTTAAATGTGTCCCCCAAAGTTTATGTGCTGGAAACTCAATCCTCAATGCAACAGTTGGGATGTGGGGCCTAATAAAATAGGCTTCATGAATGAGTTAATGTTGTTATTGTGGTAATAGATTAGTAATCACAGAGTGGGCTTATTATAAAACAGAGTTCAGCCCCTTTTGCCCTCTTGCTTTCTTGCACTCTCTTTTCCTTCTGCCTTCTGTAGTGGGATGATGCAGCAAGAAGACCCTTACCAGATGCAGGCCCCTCAACCTTGGACTTCCTAACATCCAGAACTGTTAAGAAATAAAATTTATTCCTTTCCTTTCCTTTTCTTCCTCCTTTCCCTTCTCTTCCCTTTTCTTCCCTTCCCCTCCCTCCCTCTCTCTCTCCCTCCCTCCCTCCTTCCCTCCCTTCCTCCTTCCCTCTTTCTCTCTTTCCCTTCCTTCCTTTCCTTCTTTCCCTTCCTTCCTTTCCTTCCCTCCTTCCCTTTTTCCCTCCTTCCCTCCTCCCTTCCTTTTTTCTTTCCTTCCTTTTTTCCTTTTTATAAATTATGCAGTCTGTGGTATTCTTTTATAGAAGCATGAAATGGACAAAGACTCCATTTTCAAGAGCAAGCACTTTTGTAGTTTCTGAGCGAACTATGACTGCAAAGGAAGTTCTATAGGTAGCCTCAGATCCACTACCTAGGAAGCATGCTACCAAGCAGACCTAGGATCTAGGATTTGATCAAGTGCTGGGCAACATGATACCTCTGCAATTTAGCACTTCCCTATATACCTCCAGTTGGCTCAGCCCATTAGGGCTAAAACTACCCCTCATATCCTAGTGTCTCTTGTAGGCAGAAGCCTTGCCTAAACCCTAAGCTGCTTGGCTCACATTCTGTCTTGTGCTTTTTTTGTAGGGGGTTCAAATATACACAAAAGAAATATGTTGAACCTCCATGCACCCAACCCGCAGATTAAGCAGTTACCTCCATTTTTCCAGATTTGTTTCATCTGCTTCAATCTCCCTAAAAATTTATGTTTGTACAGGAAAGACTGAATAAATAGCTAATTCTCCACCCTACCTCTCATCTTAAGTCACTTTTCAGAGTAGTAAGTTAGTGACCTAGTAACCTTCCCTCTAATGACCAGTAGTTTTTTTTTCTGAATACCATTATGAACTCATAGATTATTGTTTGCATTTGATGTATTTCAGGCCATTGCAGTCTTTACTGTTTTGGATGCTTACATTGTCTCATCTAGGTTAATAATTATCTCTTCAAGTTGACTTTCATGTCTTTTTGACGTGATCCTGTTGGACTTTGATGGCTTCCTTGCTTTCTGGCAAAACAGATGTTCCAGGATCAATATACTGCACCATGCATGGAGTCAGCCGTTTCTCTAGGGAACCTTGATTCCTTTTAGTAGAGAACACAGTTTGAGGTCTTGGACTGAATGACTTTTGTGAACCTCCTCTCCTGAGACTACAGCCTGCATCCCTGCATATAGCCCGTTTGGAGCTCTTGCTGGGCACCAACAGATCTCCTAAAACTGCTATATAGTTCTGCCTCACTCTTACAAAGATTCATCTCTTGAGAGTTTTGTGCTCTACCCCCAGATGTGGTCTTTCTGGTTCTGAAGCTTTTGCTTCAGTCACCCTGAATTTTGCCAGCCCTATGCATGCTATACCTTGGATTGCCAACTTGCCCTCACTGAAGCCAGTTTCTCTGGTTAGAATAGTTGCCCAAACCCATGCCTAATACTCTAGTAAACAAGGTTCTACCTGGGCTTAGGTTAACTTTTGCTCCTTTGGGCCCTGTGTTCTACCAGCATTCCATTTATCTGAAACTCTCCCTCACCTTAAGAACTTATCTGTTCTTTAATGATTTACTGCTGCTTCCTGGGCTCGAAAGAACCCAGTTCAGGAGTTTCTGTTTTAGTTTGAGATCTTATAGGCCTGTCTCATCAGGTTGGTGTCAGCCCAGCTAGGATTAGGCAGAATTGGGTGGGGGCTGTAGTGCATTTTTGGCACAGCATGTACCTGTCTGACTAATTCTCTGTCTTTTCTTTCCTGTTGCAATTCATGGGTCTTAGCATCTTCTGAATGGTGTTTAGTAGGTCATCCTGTTGATTTCCTGCTAGGGAGTAGCATACTCTGGCTCTGTACCATTGGCCAAGGGACTTAAGGATAGATGAAGGGCTGCAGTTTTGTTAAATGGAACAATATGAAGAGATGGCATTGTTAAAAAAAAAAAAAAGGCTTGGCAGCAGGGCCCATTTGAATGGTTGGTCCTTGGCTCCTTTGTTGATATAGGCAGATCCTTGATGGGAATTTGGAATGATCCCAAATATTGTAGATCACTGGTACATCAAGTCATCCTCAAGGTTGTCTGTGTAACAGTCTTGAATGATATTTTGTCAGTCTTTGGAGATTCTCTGTATAGGGTTTAATCATTTAGTTATTTCAGTTGAGCCTGTTTAGTTTCTTTGCAAGGAGATAAGAAATGTGAAAGAGATGCAGACATTAGGGAAAAAAAGTCAGGAGCCTTGTTTCCCCATCCTCTACTTGGGTTCTGGAACTAGACTCATAGGTGAGTAGTGAGGAGCTGGGCCCAAGCACATTAATCCTAGATCTAGCTCTGCTTTGCCCTCGCTCCAGTTCTTGTATCAAATTCACTTCAAGCCACCCAGAGTAGTATGTAGAGGAGTCATTCAGGACCATGCTCATACTTCGTTGTATCAAATGGGAGATCCAGTAATTTATAGCCTATTGTTTCTGGAGCCTGGAGATGGCTCTGCATAAGATTTGCCGAAGCAAATTTTATTACATTAGAAGAGAACCTAGCTGGCTGCATCCTACACTGGAAGCTTTTAGATGCTAATAAGGAGGTCATGTAAAGGTCACAGAATGACTCTGGAATCCATTCCCCGCCAAGAAAGAATAATGACATTCTATGTTGGCCTCTTTTCATTTCCCTTTGGTTTTGAGTAATAAATTCTCTCCTCACTTCCCAGTCGAACTGTTTGGGAGTCTCTATTCCCTAGAAAGACTCTGGTCACATACCCATCAGATTAAATTAGGTGAAAACTCTTTGGCCTTCATGAATGTTGAAGGATTTCAAAGGGCTAATGGAAATTCTTCTAGAAGTAACTGCAACCTCCGCCTTCCGGGTTCAAGCAATTTTCCTGCCTCAGCCTCCCAAGTAGCTGGGATTACAGGTGTCCACCACCATGCCCAACTAATTTTTGTATTTTTAGTAGAGACGGGGTTTCACCATGTTGGCCAGGCTGATCTAGAACTTTTGACCTCAGGTGATCCGCCCGCCTCAGCCTCCCAAAGTGCTGGGATTACAGGCGTGATCCACCGCGCCCAGTTAAACTTCAGTTTTTCATGTTCCATGCATTGGTCAGGGTCTTAGGGAGTGATTCATTCTAGCAGAACTCCCTGGATTTTAAGGCAGATGTTCCATTTATTAATTGACAAAGGAGGCATATTTCTCCCCTGGTAACCCAAAGATTTAGGTCATTTTCCCAGAGACTCCATTTCCACTGTGAGGGTTCTTGGAAAACTAAGCAGAGGATGAGGAAAAGTCTGTGAACAAGCTTGCTGGTCTCTCCCTGTCCTACAAAAGAGCATACCTCTTCTGTAACCAGAAGGCCCTTTTGATTAGTCAAGGCTGGACAGAGTGAGATTGGGTGTGTGTGTGTGTGTGTGTGTTTGTGTGTGTCTTGAGACAGGGTCTCACTCTGTCACCAAGGCTAGAGTGCAGTGGTGAGATCAGAGCTCACTGCAGCTTCCACTTCCTGGGCTCAAGCGATCCTCCTATTTCAGCCTCCAGAGTAGCTGGGACTATACGAATGTTTTACCACACCCAGTTCATTTTCTAATTTTTTGTAGAGATGAGGTTTCACTGTGTTGCTCAGGCTGGTCTTGAACTCCTGGCCTCACGGAATCCTCCTGCCTTAGTCTCCCAGTGGGCTGGGATTATAGGTATGAGCCACCTCACCTGACCTGCGACGATTTTTCAATGATGTAATTTCTCTTTTACAGAGCCACCTAAGCTGAAGATTCCCTTGAGAACAAGTACTGTCCCTAGTTTCCCAGTGCTGGAATATAGAAAATGGATGGACAAGTAAATCCCACTCAGCACCCATAGTCCAGGCATGGGGACCTCAACACACCTGAGCCCCAGACATCACCTTTCATTGCGAGTAGCTCTGAGATGACACTTCTGCTGTTCCCAATTCCAGCATTAATTGGATTAGATAGTTATTTTATGAAGAATTTTCATATGCCACAATCCTGACCATATCTTCAAGTGAACAGAAAAATTCTATTAAAAAGTCAACCTTCTGTCTCACTCTGTTGCCCAGACTGGAGTGCAGTGGTGCAATTATGGCTCACTGCAGCCTCAACCTCCTGGGCTCAAGCAATCCTCCTGCCTCAGCCTCACAAGTAGCTGGGACTACAGGTGCTTGTCACCACACCTCACTAATTTTCCCATTTGTGTTATATGTGGATTCCACAGGACTGACTTCGAAAACTTGAGTATGCGTGGATTTTGGTATACACAGAAATGGGAGAGCTGGAACTAATCCCCCCATATACCAAGGGACAAATTGTATCTGTTTCTACAATTATACAGTAGGAGACATTATGTTCCATGACAATGGTAATTTTTAACGACAGTTTTTAATTGAGTGAAATTACCATAAAAATAATAATAGTAGCAGCTAATATTTACTGAGCTGTTACTAGGTGCCTATAAATAGCATAGATTTTTAAATTCTCCATAATTCTTCCTTATTTCACTTAACCACCCTATCTTAAATTACTCATGCTTGCCTCAGTAGCACACATACTTAAGTTGGAACAATAGAGAGATTGGCACGGCCTCTGTGAAAGAATGACATGCAAATTTGTGAAGCATTCCATATTTTTTAAAAAAAAGAGAAAAAAATTACTCCCAGATTTTCACTGTGTTTGTGCATATGACCTTTTGTTTAGGTTGAATTATATCCAAAGGTGAAATTTCCAGAAGTGAGATTACTGTGAGTCACAGGGCATGAGCATTCTTATTACCCTCAATGTAAATTGCAAAGCTTTCAGGCATGGTGGCTGTCAGCCTGCAATTCCAGCACTTTGGGAGGCTGAGGTGGGAGGATTGCTTGAGGCCAGGAGTTGGAGGAGGCAGTATAATGAGTCACTGTCTGTAGGATTTAAAAAAAATTTCCAAGCTTTATGCTGGAAGGCTTATATACATTTTAAACACCACTAATACTACAAGAAAATGGCCATTTCACTGCACCTTCGCCCACACAGGTATTATAATTTAACAAGTTATTTTCTGTGTGATAAATGAAAGACCTCCTATTATTACTTTGTCACCCATTCTTTTTTCTTTTTTGAGACACAGTCTCGCTCTGTCGACCAGGCTGGAGTGCAGTGGTGTGATCTCGGCTCACTGCAACCTGTGCCTCCCAGGTTCAAGCGATTCTCCTGCCTCAGCCTCCTGAGTAGCTGGGATTACAGGAATATGCCACCATGCCTGATTAATTTTTGTATTTTTAGTAGAAACGTGGTTTCACCATGTTGATCAGGCTGGTCTCGAACTCCTGATCTCGTGATCTACCCGCCTTGGCCTCCCAAAGTGCTTGATTACAGCTGTGAGCCATGTGCCCAGCCTATTTGTCACATATTTTATCTTCCCTTATGTTAGCTTATTAGCTTTATTTCTTTATTGTCCTTTTTTTTTTTTTTTGAGATGAAGTCTCGCTCTGTCTCCTAGGCTTCAGTGTAGTGGCACAGTCTCAACTCACTGCAGCCTTGACCTCCTAGGCTCAGGTGATCCTTCCACCTCAGTAGTTGGGACTATAGGCACATGCCACTATGCCTGGCCAATTATTTTTATTTTTTTATTTTTACTAGAGAGGAGGTCTTGCTTTGTTTCTTAGGCTGGTCTGGAACTCCTAGCCTCAAGCAATCCCCCCACCACCCCCTCCCAAAGTACTGGTATTATAAGCATGAGCCACCATGCCTGGGGTATCTGTGTCTTTTCCATTTATTTATAGAGTTACTTTGTCTTTTACTAATTCAATGATCTGTTTAATCTTTTATTAAATTATAAAAATGATAAATACTTTTAAATAAGTGAAAAATGTCCTTCACTCTTTAGACCCATAATCTTATCTCAGGAAATAATTGCAGTTGAGAAAATGGGCCATATCCTTCAAGATACGTACATGGTGATTGAACATCACTTCATATTTTCATATTTCGTGGACATTTGTGCCAATACCTATTGATCTATCTTAATCCTTTTCATGGTTGCATAATATTTTATTATATGGATGTATCACAATTTACCAGTACCAGTCAACTGCTGGAGGCATTTAGGCTTCTTCTAATATTTGCTTTGAGCTCTTTATATAATTAAAAATTAACCCCCTCAGCCAGGTGTGGCAGCTCACACCTGTAATCCCAGCATTTTGGAAGGCTGAGGTGAGAGAACTGCCTGAGTGTAGGAGATCACCACCAACCTGGTCAACATAGTGACACTTTGTCTCTACTAAAAATTAAAAAAAAAAAATGAGCTACACGTTGCAGTGCACACCTGTAGTCCGAGCTACTGGGGAGGCTAAGACTGGAGGATCACTTGAGTCTAGAAGGTTGAGGCTGCAGTAAGCTATGATCACACCATTGCACTTTAGCTTTGCTAAGAGCAAGACTGCATTTCTTAAACAAAATAAAAATTAGATGGGAATATTGCTCAAGCCCTGGAGGTTGAGGCTGCAGTTAACTGTGATTGCACCACTGCAGTCCAGCCTAGGTGATAGAGCAAGACCCTTTCTCTAAAAATAAAATAAAATAAAAATTAACCTTCTATCATATTTCCCAGTAACACCTTCCCTCCTACATTTCTCCTAGAAGCCCTTAAATTTTGTTTTTCACATATCGTTTAAAACTTTTAAGTGCTGATGTCTGTGTCATCCCTCTTTTTTTTTTTTTAAATGTCTTTTTGTCACTTCTAGCTGGACCTACCATGAAAGACTTCTGAATCCAGGAAGAGAAACTGACTGGGCAACATGTTATTCAAGTACAAAAAGACTTGGACTGTAACTCAAAAATGATCAAATAATAGTGCATGCATCAAGTGCAATCGGAAGCTCTTCTGGAGAGGGAGAGAAGCTTCCAGTTAAGGTGACATTGAAGCCAAGTCCTGTAAGATAAGGAAGAGTTGTATGAGAGTGGGGAGGGAAGGGGGAGGTGGAGGGATGGGGATTGGGCTGGGATGGGATGGAGTGAGCTGCCCAGGCAGGGAAACCAGCACTATACAGACCTGAACAATGAAGATGGCACATTTTGTTCAGGGAATGGTGAATTAAGTGTGGCAGAAATGCTTTGTAGAGACAGTAATTTGCTTGTATGGAATTTTGCCCAAGAGACCTCATTACAGTTTCTAATTTTTTGATGTTATCATGCATCACTGCCCTTGTCAGATAGTATCATGATCACAATAACATCAAGCATAATATTTCATTGATTCTCACAAAAACAGGTGGGTGCCACAGTTATCCCCATTATATGCACAAAATGATGAAGACTTGGGGTTAATGAGCGATTTGCCCAAGCTCACCTGAATATTAGGACTGAGTCAAATGTTAGTCTGGTCTGACTTTAATGCTTGCCTTGTTCATGAGCACCATGCATTGCCTCTCCTATTAAGTTAAGCAGGTAGACAGGTGAGAGAAGAGCCAGTGTGATATCGGGGGAAATTCACCCCTGATATTTCATGTAGGTTCTTTTCTATTTTCCCTGAGTGTCAGCCAGTCTGAGAAATAAAGGGAAAGAGTACAAAAGAGAGAAATTTTAAAGCTGGATGTCCAGGGGAGACATCACACGTCGGCAGGTTCCGTGATGCCCCCCAAGCCGCAAAACCAACAAGTTTTTATTAGTGATTTTCAAAAGGTGAGGGAGTGTACGAATAGGGTGTGGGTCACAGAGATCACATGCTTCACAAGGTAATAAAATATCACAAGGCAAATGGAGGCAGGGCAAGATCACAGGACCACAGGACCGGGGCGAAATTAAAATTGCTAACGAAGTTTCGGGCGCGCATTGTCATTGATAACATCTTATCAGGAGAAAGGGTTTGAGAGCAGACAACCCATCTGACCAACATTTATTAGGCGGGAATTTCCTTGTCCTGATAAGGCTGGGAGCGCCACGCGAACCCAGGGCTTATTTCATCCCTTATCTATGACTGTAAAAGACAGCCGTCCCCAAAGCGGCCATTTCAGAGGCCTCCCCTTAGGGATGCATTCTCTTTCTCAGGGATGTTCTTTGCTGAGAAAAAGAATTCAGCAATACATCTCCTATTTGCTTTTGAAAGAAGAGAAATATGGCTCTGTTCAACCCGGCCCACTGGCAGCCAGAGTTTAAGGTTATCTCCCTTGTTCCCTGAAATTGCTGTTATCCTGTTCTTTTTTCAAGGTGCCCAGGTTTCATATTGTTTAAACAACTTGTGCAGTTAACGCAATTATCACAGGGTCCTGCGGGGACATTCATCCTCAGCTTATGAAGATGACCGGATTAAGAGATTAAAGACAGGCATAGAAAATCACAAGGGTATTGATTGGGGAAGTGATAAGTGTCCATGAAATCTTCACAATTTATGTTCAGAGATTGCAGTAATGACAGGCCTAAGAAATTATAGAAGTATTAATTTGGGGAACTAATAAATGTCCATGAAATCTTCACAATTTATGTTCTTCTGCTGTGGCTTCAGCCAGTCCCTCTGTTTGGGGTCCCTGACTTCCTGCAACACGTTTCTCTCTACTCACAGACTTCTGACCAACTGTGTGTGCAGAGTTTCTACACCAGTTCTCCAACTCTCTGGATACCAACCGCGTATCCCACAATTCCATTCTGACACTACCTAGAGTTAGCACAGAACCCACAGGTTAGGGGCTCAGTCCCACAAGACCACCCTCACTTCAGATGCCAGTTGCAAGTCCTAGGTTGTCACCTGTATTTTGACCAACCAGTTAGAAATCAGGGTTTCCCATGACCCTCTTGTTGAGTTTAATTATTTACTAGAACAACTCACAGAACTTAGAAAAACAAGTTTTTTTTCTTTTTTTTTTAAGAGACAGGGCCTCGCTCTGTTGTCCAAGCTGGTGTGCAGTGGTGCAATCATAGCTCATTGAAGCCTCAACGTCCAGGGCTCAAGTGATTCTCCTGCTTCAGCCTCTCAAGTAGCTGGAATTACAGGGTTCCCACCACCACATTTGGCTAATTTCTTTTATTTTTTGTATAGATGGGGTCTTCTTATGTTGCCCAGGTTGGTCTCAAATTCCTAGGCTCAAGTGATTCCGCCCACCTCTGCCTCCCAAAGTGCTGGGATTACGGGCATGAGCCAGCGCATCTGGCCACCTTATTTTCTATTACTGGCTCAATGTAATGGCTCCATCTCAGGAACAGCCAATGAAAGAGATGCACAGGACAAGGTAAGTGGGGAGGGGCACAGAGCTTCCATGCCCTCTGTTGGGCACACTACCCTCCCAGGACCTCCTTGTGTTTAGCAACACAGAAGCTCTCCAAACCCTGCTGTTTGGGTGTTTATGGAGGCATGATTGATAAAATCACTGGCCATTGGTAGTTAAGTCAATCTCCAGTTCCTTTTGCCTCCTGGAGTTCAGCAGGTGAGGCTGAAAGTTCCAAGCCTCAAAAAATGTTGTTGGGGCCAGGTGCGGTGGCTCACTCCTGTAATCCTAGCAGTTTGGAAGGCTGAGGCACATGGACCACTTGAGGTCAAGAGTTTGAGACCAGCCTGACCAACATGGTGAAACCCCGTTTCTACTAAAAATAACAACAGTTAGCTAGGCGTTGTGGCACATCCCTATAATTTCAGCTACTCGGGAGGCCGAGGCAGGAGAATTGCTTGAACCCGGGAGGTGGAGGTTGTAGTGAGCTGAGATTGTGCCATTGCACTCCAGCCTGGGCTACAAGAGCCAAACTCCGTTTTAAAAAAAAAATGTGGTTGCTTTCTCTGGCAGCTAGCCCTCCTCCTGAAGCAGTCTCGGAGCTTGCAGCCACCCTGTTAGCTCAACAGCATCCCACATGCATTCTTACCATGCTGCAGATCTGAAAGACCTTAGAGGCCCTTGTGTCAGGAACCTGGGACTAAGACTAAATATCAAAACAGAAAATGCTCCTATTACCTCTGTCACGAAGGGCTTTATAAGAGCTTTGGAAGCTCTATGCCAGGAACCAGGGGCAGAGACCAAATGTATATTTCTTTTCTTATATCGGAGACAGAGTCTCACTCTGCCACTGAGGCTGGAGTGCAGTGATGTGATCATAGCTCACTTCAGCCTTGACCTCCTAGGCTAAAGCAATCCTCCCACCTTAGCCTCTCCAGTAGCTGGAACTACAGGCATGCATCACCATGTCCAGCTGATTTTAATTTTGTAAAGGCAGGATCTTCCTATTTTCCCCAGGCTGATCTCTAACTCTTGGCCTCAAGCAATCCTTCCTCTTTGGCCTCCCAAAATGTTGGGATTACAGATGGGAGCCCCCATACCCACCAATCACAAGGATCTTTATAAGAGAATGAGGTAGGAGAGTCAGAATTAGAGAAAGTGATGTGGTAATGGAAGAAGAGGTCAGAGAGGGAGATTTGAAGATGCTGCACTTCTGGCCTTGAATATGGAGTCACGAGGTAAGTCAAGGAATGGAGGTGGCTTCTAGAAGCTGGAAAAGGCAAAGGAGCACATTCTGTCTAGAGCCTCCCCCAGAAGGAATGCAGCCTCTCTGACACCTTGACTTTAGCCTTGATAGACCTAGTTGGGCTTCTGGCCCCCAGAACTGTAAGATGGTAGATTTGTGGTGTTTGATGCCACTAAATGTAGGGTACTTTGTTGTAGCAACAACAAAAAATGAACATGAAGCTGGGACCTCATGTTACAGTTGCTCACGCCTGTAATCCCAGAACTTTAGGAGGCTGAGGTGGGAGGATCGCTTAAGCCCAGGAGCTTAAGACCAGCCTGGGCAACATAATGAGACCTCATGTCTAAAAAAAAATTTTTTTAAAGGCCAGGCGCAGTGGCTCACGCCTGTAATCCCAGCACTTTGGGAGGCCGAGGAGGGTGGATCACGAGGTCAGAAGTTCAAGACCAGCCTAGCCAAGATGGTGAAACCCCATCTCTACTAAAAATACAAACATTAGCCAGGTGTGGTGGTGGGTGCCTGTAATCCCAGCTACTTGGGAGGCAGAGAATCACTTGAACCCAAAAGGCAGACATTGCAGTGAGCCAAGATCGCACCCTTACACTTCAGCCTGGGCGACCAAGACTCCGTCTCAAAAAAAAAAAAAAAAAAAAAGCCATGTGTTGTGGCATGCAGCTGTAGTCTCAGTTCCTAGGGTGGCTGAGGCGGGAGGATTGTTTAAGCCTGGGAGGTTGAAGTTGCTGTGAGCTGTGATTGCACCAGTGTACTCCAGCCTGGGCAATAAAGCAAGACCTTGTTTCAAAAAGAAAGAAATAAATGAGCATGGTGGGAATGGGGACAGATGGCAGTGTTAAGTAGAGTGGTCAGGGTTGGCCTCATAAGTGAATATTGAGCAAAAGTTTGAAGCAGGTGATGGAGCTGGCCAAGGTGCTGAGGGAAGAGCATTGTAGGCTGAGTCAACAGGATAAAGGCATTAGGAGGAAACTCTCTGGTGTGTCTGAGGCTCTGGAAGGAGGCCAGTGGAGCAAAGAGATAGAGGGAGCGAAGTCAGCGAGGAGGCCAGGGAGTTGCTGGGCTGGGATCGGTACAGATCGTGTAAGCCCTGGGACGCTATTGCTGGGGCTTTGGCTTTTACTCTGACTAAAATGGGAACCACCAAGGGCTTCTGAGCAGAGAGGCGACATGATCCGTCTCCTGATTTAAAAGCACGACCTGGCTGCCGAGTTGAGAAAGACTATGGGAAGATTTGGGTGGAAGCATGGGGGCCAAGCTGTGGCAACATCCCGGTGGGAGATGATAGTGATCCTGACGGGGTTCATGGTGGTGGTGAGAGATGGTTAGAGCCTGGATACATGTTGAAGTCAGTCAGTAGGATTTCCTGACAGACTGGATGTGAGCTGTGAGAGAAGGCAGTGGTCAAGGTTGAGTTTGATTCTGATTGAATTATTAAGTAATTTTAAAAAACACTACTGCTTTTCCCAATCCTACCAAGTAAAGGATGCTAGATAAAAGAAATCCCAAGTCAGGCCAGGTACAGTGGCTCACACCTATAGTTCCAACAGTTTGAGAGGCAGAGATGGGAGTATGTTTTAAGGCCATGAGTTTGAGAGCAGCCTGGGCAACACAGCAAGACCTCCTCTCTACAAAAATAAAAAAAATAAATTTAATAAAATAAAATAAATATAGCCAGGCATGATGGTATGTACCTATGGCCCCAGTTACTCATGTGGCTGAGATGGGCAGATCTCTTGATTCTAGGAGTTTGAGGCCAGCTTGGGCAACATAGCAAGTCTTCTCTCTCTACAAAAATGAAAAAAATGCCTGACATGGTGGTACTTGCCTGTATTCCCAGGTATGGGGGCAGCTGAGGCAGGAGCATCTCTTGAGCCCAGTTGGTCAAGGTTGCAGTGAGCTATGATTATACCACTGCACTCCATCCTGGGTGACAGAGTGGGACCCTGTCTCAAAATACAAATACAAATGAAATCTCAAGTCAGACCAGTCCCTTCTAGGCTATGTAGGCCTTGTAACCATACAGTTGCATGATCGGGTTTGTGTGGCTGTGGATGAGGAGACCCCTGTCCAATTGTTGGCTATGTAATCAGTTTATTTTTCAATATAGTAATCAAATATATTTCATCATACTTGATGGTCTCAGATATGTGTGGATTTTGGAATTCCCCTTGGAACAGGTTGTAACATCTTATTGGCTCCATAATTCCATAATTTTTTTAATCTGATCAGTTTTTAATAAGATCGGAATTTATATTAGACTACTTAATCGGTTTTGTTAATGAGAAAATGAAATTGTGTTGTTTGCATTTTATCCAAGATGGGTGTCATATTGGGTAAATCTCATCAATACTTGAACAAATGCAAAATTAGAGCTTCTTTATCATGAAACACGATGTAATTCTTGAAGAAGATGCCATTTCTTTTTTTTCTTTTTTTTTTTAAGATAAGAGTCTTTCTCTTGTCACCCAGGCTGGAGTGCAATGGTGCGATTTTGGCTCACTGCAACCTTCACCTTCTGGGTTCAAGCAATTCTCCTGCCTCAGCCTCCCGAGTAGCTGGGATTACAGGTGCCCGCCACCATACCCAGCTAATTTTTGTATTTTTAGTAGAGATGGGATTTCACCATGTTGGCCAGGCTCCTCTGGAGCTCCTGACCTCAGGCAATCTGCCTGCCTCAGCCTCCCAAAATTCAAGGAGTACAGATGTGAACAACCACGCCCGGCCTCCATTTCTTTTTTGTAGTCTTTAATAAACAGCTGCTATCATTGCAGACTTGCTGTTTAGGCACTTAGGAATTTTTCACTAGAAGGCATGTAAATAAAGACCATGGGCAATTGTAATGAATTTCGCCTTCATTCTTTGACTACATGACTGTCCCCAGAGCTGTAACTTTATTGAATTTTTTAGAAGCCATTTAGCTAGCAACTGAGCCTAACCAGCCACTCACCGTCATTATTCAGTGCTCTTTTATTATTGTCTATTTCTCCTCCAACTTGGCTACACTCACAAAGTGATAAAAACTTGCATTTGTTTTCTTTCCTTTTCAGAGACAGCGTCTTGCTCTGTTGCTTAGGCTACAGTACAGTGACATGATCATGGTTCACTGTAGCCTCAAACTCCTGGGCTCAAGTGGTTCTCTCACTTCAGTCTCCCAAGTAGCTGGGACTACAGACATGTGCCACCATGTCCAGGTAATTTTTTATCATAGAGACGGGATCTTGCCGTGTTGCTCCGACTGGGCTCAAAACTCCTGACCTCAAGTGATCCTCCTGCCTCAGCCTCCCAAAGTGCTGGGATTACAGGCAGGCATGACCACCTGTGCCCAGCCCCCTATTATTATTATTTTAAATAATAGCTTTATTAAAATATTCACATACCATTCACTTTATTTATTGAAATCTGCAATTCAGTAGGTTTTAGAATATTCACAGAGCTGTGCATCGATCACCACAGTCACTTTTAGAACCTTTCATTACTCTATAGAGAAATCCATACCCCTTAGCCACTACCTCCTACTCTCCCCACCTACCTTTGCCCCCAGCCTTAGGCAACCATTGATTAATTTTTTTGTCACTATAGATTTGCCTAATCTGGACAAATAGAATTGTACAATATGTGATCTTTTGTGGCTTTTTTTCCCTCTTACCACAGTGTTTTCAAAGTTCCTTTATGTCATAGTGTGTATCAATATTTCATTCCTTCTATGGCAGTATTCCATGGTAGAGACACACTGCATTTTGTTTATCTGTTCATCAGTTGGTGGATATTTGGGTTGTTTCCATGTATTCCATGTATTGGTCATTATGAATAATGCTGCTATGAAGATTGTTGTACAAGTTTTTGTGTGGACATATATTTTTATTTTTCTGGGATATATGCCTAGGAGTGAAATTGTTGCATTATAGGATGACTGTACATTTAGCCTTTTGAGAAACTGCCAGACTGTTTTCTAACGTGGCTATACCAGTTGGGTGCAATGGCTCACACCTGTAATCCCAGCTACTCAGGAGGCTCAGCTAGGAGGATGGCTTGAGCCCGTGAATTCAAGACCAGCCTGGGCAAGATAGTGAAACCCCGTCTTGATTTTTTAAAAATCCAATTAAAATGACAAGAAAAGAAATACCCAAACAAAATGGTTACACAATTTTATGTTCCCACCAGTAATGTATGTGGGTTCCAATTCCTCCACATCTTCACTGACATTTTTTTTTCTAGATAGGGGCTTGCTCTGTCTCTCAGGCCGCAGTGCAATGATGCCATCACAGTTCACTGCAGCCGTGACCTCCCAGGCACAAGTGATTCTCTCATCTCAGCCTCCTGGGTAGCTGAAAATTACAGGTGTACGCCACCATGCCTGGCTAATTTTTAGATTTTTCTGTAGTGGTGGGATTTTACCATGTTGCCCAGGCTGGTCTCATACTCCTGGCCTCAAGTGATCTGCCCACCTCAGCCTCCCTAAGTTCTGGAATTACAGGCTGCCACCATGCCCGGCCTTCACCAACATTTGCCATTATCTGTTTTTTTTTTCTTCCTTTATACCTTAAAGCAGTATAAGAACAAGTGTCTTCAATTATAGGAAACAGTATAATCCCAGGGCTTTGGGAGGCTAAGACAGGAAGATGTCTTGATGCCAGGAGTTTTTTTTGTTGTTGTTGTTTTTGTTTTTGTTATTGTTGTTGTTGTTTTTGACAGTCTCGCTCTGTCACCCAGGGTGGAGTGCAGTGATGGGGTCCACTGCAACCTCCACCTCCCAGGTTCAAGTGATTCTCCTGCCTCAGCCTCCCGAGTAGGTGAGACTACAGGTACACGCCACTACTGCCCAGCTAATTTTTGTATTTTTGATAGAGTCAGAGTTTCACCGTGTTGGCCAGGCTGGTCTCGAACTCCAGACTTCAGGTGATTTGCCTGCCTTAGCTTCCCAAAGTGCTGCGATTACAAGCATGAGCCACCATGCCCAGCCTGATGCCAGGAGTTTTAGACTAGCCTGGGCAACCTAGCAAGACCTTGTCTCTACAGAATATTTAAAAATTAGCCAAATGTGGTGGTGCCTGTGTATAGTCTCTCTCCCTCTCTCTTTTTTTTTTCTAACTTTTTGTGACATGGTCTGGCTCTGTCACCCAGGCTGAAGTGCAGTGGTGTGATCATGGCTCACTGCAGCCTGAAACTCCTGGGATCAAGTGATCAATCCTCCCACCTCATCCTACCAAGTAGTAGGGACCACAGGTGTATGCCACCCAGGTCTTGCTATGTTGTCCAGGCTGGTCTTGAGCTCCTGGCCTCAAGCAATCCTCTCACCTTGGCCCCCCACAGTGCAAGGATTACAGGTATGAGCCACCATGCCTGGCCCCTACCCTGCCTACTGAGAACCAAAGGAAGGATCCAAATTCTCCTTAGCTCAACTCGAGCCATTTCCTGATTGCTTCATCAGCGAGGAGCTGGTTATTGGGCTGTCCAGGCCTCCCAAGCAGCACAGAAATGAGGTGAGGGAGTTTTCCTGTTGCTCCACTCTGTAAGGAGTTGGAGGGTGATGTTTACTCGTTTGCAGAGAGAGATGCCTTGTAGGCACCTCAGGATGGAGAGGGCCCTGATTCCAATGTCCTTTTTTTCTTCAGAAACAGGACCTTGCCCTGTCACTAGGATGGAGTTCAGTGGTCCTATCATGGCTCATTATAGCCTCAAACTCCCAGGCTCAAGCAATCCTACCATGTCAGCCTTCCCAGTAGCTGGGACTACAGGTAAGCATCGTGACACTCAGTGAATTTTGTTTTTATTTTGTTGTAGAGATGGGACCTCAGTATGTTGCCATGGCTGACCTTGAACTCCTGCACTCAAGGGATTTTCCTACCCTGGCCTCCCAAAGTATTGGTATTACAGGCATGAGCCATTGTGCCCACCGTCTCTGGTTCTTAACCTTCTGCCTCCCTCTTCCAGTTTTAAAGAATGCTTGTAATTACATGGGCTCTCCTAGATACTCCAGGATAATCTTGTTTTAAGGACAGCTGATGAGCAGCATTAATTTTATCTGCACTCTTAATTCCCCCTTCCTATGTAATTGTGCTGTGTAACATAGGACATGAGCAATTGGTGGCGGTGGGGGTTATTACTTTGGCCACCACAGTAACTATTTTATGCCAGGTACTCAGCTAAGCACTGGTGAATGAAGCATGAATAACACACACTCCCTAATCTCCATCCATTCATGGGAGGAGCACTTCACCTGCCATGCTCCTGAGAATCTCGGGAGTCATAGAAGTCTTCTATGAGGAGGTGATGCCAAAGCGGACAAGTGACAGAGGAGTCAAAGCTAGCTAGGAAGAGAGTAGAGGTTTAAGGGGAAGCATATTATAAGCAGAGGATATTACCCACTTCAGAGACTCCCAGAGGAGAAAGAGTGTGCGTTCAAGGGGCAGATGAGGCTCAGTTGGACTCCATAGCAGATGAAATGGAGAGGGGCAAGCAGTGAGGCTGCCTTGCAAGGCAGGGCAGAGCAGGGGCTGTTAAGGAGTTTGGACTTAATCCCTGAGGCAAGGAGAAGTGATGTAAATGGGGGAGTAACATGATGAGATTCATAGATTAGAGACATGGCTCAGGCTGCTGTAGAGAAGGCACCAGGAAGAGCAGATGGCTCAATGTGTGTGCAGAAGACCTCTCCCTGAGTTTAGGGAGAGGTTTTTAAAACAGAAGAAGTTTGAGTAATTTAAATGATGATGGGAAGGAGCTAAAAGTGGGGGATAGGTTAAAGATACAGGAAAGTGGGAGGAAGAACTGACAAGTGAGGTTCCAGAGAGGGCAGGAGAAGAGGAGATTCCCATAGGGGGATTAACACTTTCTTTTCTTTTTTCTTTCTAAGACAGGGTCTCACTCTGTCGCCCAGGCTGGAGTGCAGTGGCACAATCTTGGCTCACTGTAGTGTAGACTTCCCAGGCTCAAGGGATTTCTCCCACCCCAGACTCCCAAGTAGCTGGAACTACGAGTGTGCACCACCACCACACCTGGCTAATGTCTCTTTTTTTTGGTAGACACAGAGTCTCACTATTTAGCACTGATTGGTCTCCAACTCCTGGCCTCAAGCGATCCTCCTGCCTAGGCTTCCCAAATTGCTGGGATTACAGGCATGAGCCACAATGCCTGGCCTCTGCTAGTTCCGTATTCTCTAGAGTTGTCTTTACTTTGTGCTAGTGTGTCCCTCATTGTGCTGATCCTCTGTAAAAATTAATACCTTTTTTTTTTTTTTTTGAGATGGAGTTTCACTCTTGTTGCCCAGGCTGGAGTGCAATGGTGCTATCTCGGCTCAGCGCAACCTCCACCTTCTGGGTTCAAGCAATTCTCCTGCCTCAGCCTCCCGAGTAGTTGGGATTACAGGCATGTGCCACCATGCCCAGCTAATTTTGTATTTTTAGTAGAGATGGGGTTTCTCTGTGCTGGTCAGGCTGGTCTCGAACTCCTGACCTCAGGTGATCTGTCTGCCTTGGCCTCCCAAAGTGCTGGGATTACAGGCATGAGCCATTTTGCCTGGCCAAAATTAATACTTTTTATATTAAATTTACATATATATATATATATATATATATATATATATATATATATATATATATACGTTTTTTCTTTTTGATACCGGGTCTCACACTGTCACCCAGGCTGGAGTACAGTGGCACAACCTCTGCTCACTGCAGCCTCCACCTGCCAGGCTCAAGCAATTCTCCTGCCTCAGCCTCCCGAGTAGCTGGGATTACAGGTAAGTGCCACCACACCCAGCTGATTTTTGTGTTTTTTGTAGAGACGAGGTTTCGCCATGTTTCCCAGACTGTTCTCAAACTCCTGAGCTCAAAGCAGTCCACCCACCTTGGCCTCCCAGAGTTCTGGGGTTACAGGTGTGAGCCATCTTGCTCATTCTAGTTTAAACTTTTGAGTGGTTTGTGTCTCCTGATTGGACTCCTACAAATACAGAATTGATGCTAGGAAGGGTACCAGGAGATAGACGCACACAGATGGGATTTGGGAATAGGTTTGGTTATCCAAGGAGCAGTGCTGAGCTCCTTGCAATGGGATATGGGATGCTGGTGATTTCCAGGAAGTGAGCTCACAATGACTCAAGCTGCCACATACTGTTGATTGTGAAATGCCAGTTGAAGCATATGTCCTGCGAGCTTAGGGGTGCTACAAGTTGACCACTGCAGCAGTAAAGATGACTCTGAAGAATGGCGTGGGATGGTTCCTTTCAAATGCACTTGAGCAGCGGTCTCCAACCACAGGGCCACAGAGCTGGAGGTGAGCAGCAGGCGAGTGAAGGGAAACTTCATCTGTATTTCTAGCCCCTCCCATCACTTGCATGACCACCTGAGCTCCATGTCCTGTCAGATCAGCAGCAGCATTAGATTGTCATAGGAGCACAAACTCTGTTGTGAAGTGTGCATGCGAGGGATCTAGGTTGTGTACTCCTTATGAGAATCTAATGCCTGATATTCTGTTACTGTCTCCCATCACCCCAGGTGGACAGTCTAGTTGCAGGAAAACAAGCTCAGAGATCCCACTGAGTCTACGTTATAGTGAGTTGTAGAATCATTTCATTATATATTACTATGTAGTAATAATAGAAATAAAGTGCACAATATATGTAATGCACTTGAATCATCCTGAAATTATTCCCTCATTCCCAGTCTGTGGAAAAATTGTCTTCCACACATTCACTCTGTTTTTTGGTAGAGGCAGGGTCTTAATATATTGCCCAGTCTGATTTCAAACTCCTGGCCTCAAGTAATATACCTCTCTCAGCCTCCCAAAGTGCTGAGATTACAGGCATAAGCCACCACCCTCAACCAAGACTTTCTTAAACCAAATAAAAATTAAGTGAGATTACTTGAGCCCAGGTGGTCAAGGCTGCAGTGAGCCTGATTGCACCACTGCACTCCAGCCTAGGTGACAGAATGAGACTGTCTCAAAAAATAAAATAAAATACAAATTAACCCTTTATGACATTCCCAGTAACTTCCTAAGTGCTCCCCACAAGTCTTTGAATTCTGTTTAATTTTCACATGACATTTAAGACATTTAAGAACTTATGTCTGTCTGTGTCATCCCTTTATGTCAAAAGATGTCTTTTTGTCACTTCCAGCTGGATCTACCATGAAAGACTTGTGAATCCAGGAAGAGAGACTGACTGGGCAACATGTTATTCAGGTACAAAAAGATTTGGACTGTAACTTAAAAGTGATCAAATTATGTTTCCCATGCATCAGGTGCAATGGGAAGCTCTTCTGGAGAGTGAGAGAAGCTTCCAGTTAAGGTGACATTGAAGCCAAGTCCTGAAAGATGAGGAAGAGTTGTATGAGAGTGGGGAGGGAAGGGGGAGGTGGAGGGATGGGGAATGGGCCGGGATGGGATAGCGCAAACTGCCCGGGAAGGGACACCAGCACTGTACAGACCTGAACAACGAAGATGGCATATTCTGTTCAGGGAATGGTGAATTAAGTGTGGCAGGAATGCTTTGTAGACACAGTAATTTGCTTGTATGGAATTTTGCCTGAGAGACCTCATTGCAGTTTCTGATTTTTTGATGTCTTCATCCATCACTGTCCTTGTCAAATAGTTTGGAACAGGTATAATGATCACAATAACCCCAAGCATAATATTTCGTTAATTCTCACAGAATCACATGTAGGTGCCACAGTTATCCCCATTTTATGAATGGAGTGATGAAAACCTTAGGAATAATGAATGATTTGCGCAGGCTCACCTGGATATTAAGACTGAGTCAAATGTTGGGTCTGGTCTGACTTTAATGTTTGCTTTGTTCATGAGCACCACATATTGCCTCTCCTATGCAGTTAAGCAGGTAGGTGACAGAAAAGCCCATGTTTGTCTCTACTCACACACTTCCGACTGAATGTATGTATGGAGTTTCTACACCAGATTCTTCAGTGCTCTGGATATTAACTGGGTATCCCATGACTTTATTCTGACACTACCTGGAGTTAGCACAGACCCCACAAGTTAGGGGCTCAGTCCCACGAGGCCATCCTCACTTCAGATGACAATGGCAAGTCCTAAGTTGTCACCATACTTTTGACCAACCTGTTACCAATCGGGGGTTCCCGTAACTGTCTTCTTGGGTTTAATAATTTGCTAGAACAGTTTACGGAACTCAGAAAAACAGTTTATTTTCTTTTTTTCTGAGAGAGAGGGTCTTATTTTGTTGCCCAGGCTGGTGTGCAATGGTGCAGTCATAGCTCATTGCAGCCTTGATTGTCTGGGTTCCAGTGGTTCTCCCACCTCAGCCTCCCTAGTAGCTGAGACTACATGCCTGCACCACCACATCTGGCTAGTTTCTTTTATTTTTTGTATAGATGGGGTCTTGTTGTGTTGGCCAGGCTGGCCACAAATTCCTGGTCTCAAGTGATCCTCCCACCTCAGCCTCTGAAAGTGCTGGGATTACAGATGTGAGCCACCACATCTGGCCAGTTCATTTCCTATTACTGGTTCATTGTGAAGGATACATCTCAGAAACAGTCAATGAAAGAGACGTGCATGCTGGATGCAGTGGCTCATGCCTGTAATCTCAGCACTTTGGGAGGCCAAGGTGGGAGGATCGCTTAAACTCAGGAGTTTGAGACCAGCCTGGGCAACATGGTGAAAACTTGTCTCTATAAAAAATTAAAAAATAATAATAATAACTGGTGTGGTGTTGTGCACCTAGAGTTCCAACTACTAGGGAAGCTGAGATGAGAGGATACCTTGAGCTGGGGACTGGGGAGGCTTAGGTTACAGTAAGCTGAGATTGTGCCACTGCACTCCAGCTTGGACAACAGAGCCTGATCCTGTCTCAAAAAAAAGAAAGATACCCAGGGCAAGTTAAGTTCGGAGGGGCACAGAGCTCCCATGCCCTCTGTTGAACATGCGACCCTCCCAGCATCTCCTGTGTCCAGCAACCCTGAAAGCTCTGCAAACCCCTTTCAGGGTGTTTATGGAGGCTTTATTATGCAAGCATGATTGATAAAACCTTTGGCTGTTGGTGATTAAGTCAGTCTCCAGCCCCTCTTCCCCCTGGAGTTCAGTGCATGAGGCTGAAAGTTCCAAGCCTCTTACCATGTGGTTGCATGGTAATCAGCCCTCCTCTTGAAGAAATTTAGGAGCTTGCAGTCACCCAGTCATCTCAACAACATCCCCAAATGCATTCTTACCATGCTGGAGATCCCAAAGTTCTTAGAGGCTCTTGTGTTAGAAACCTGGGACCAAGACCAAATATTAAAACAAAAGATGCTCCTGTCACATCTATCACTGAGGTCTTTGTAAGAGCTTTAGAAGCTCTGTGCCAGGAACCAGGGACAGAGATTAAATATATATTTCTTTTCTTTTTTTTGAGACAGAATCTCCCTGTGCCATCCAGGCTGGAGTGCAGTGATGTGATCATAGCTCACTATAGCTTTGGCCTTCTGAGATCAAGCAATCCTCCCATCTCAACCTCCCAAGTAGCTAGGACTACACATGCATGTCACCCATGCCCAGATCATTTTTGTAGAGTCAGAGTTTCACCGTGGTGGCCAGGTTGGCCATGTTGGCCAGATGGGGTCTTCTTTTGTTGCCCAGGCTGGCCACAAATTCCTGGGCTCAAGTGATCCTCCCACCTCGTCCTTGTAGAGATGAGATTTAGTTATGTCGTCCAGGCTGATCTCAAACTCCTGGGCTAAATTGATTGTCTCACCTCAGCCTCTCAAGTATGTTATGAAGGTTATATGTTAGGAAGGGTCCCAGGAGGTAGACCCACGCAGATGGGATTTGGGCATAGGTTTGGTTTCCCAGGGGGCAGTGCTGAGCTCTTTGCCAGTGGGAAATGGGATGCTGGTGATTTCCAGTAGGTGACCTCACAGTGACTCAAGCTACCACTTACTGTTGATTGTGACGAAATGCCAGCTGAGGCACATGCCTTGGGAGCTAAGTGGTTGCTGCCCTTGACCACTGTGAAGACTGGCTTGGGAAGGGTCGCTTTGGATGCACTTGAGCAGGGGTCCCCAACCCCTGAGCCATGTAGCCGCAAGGAGCCACACAGCAGGAGGTGAGCTGTGTCGAGTGAGGGAGTGAGGGAAGCTTCGTCTGTATTTACAGCCACTCCCCTTTGCTCACATTCCCGCCTGAGCTCCACCTTCTCAGATGAGCAGCAGCGTTAGATTCTCATAGGAGAACGCACCCTGTTGTGAACCGTGCATGTGAGGGATCTAGGTTGCGCTGTCCTTATGAGAATCTAATACCTATTGATCTGTCACTTTCTCCCATCACGCTCAGGTGGGAACATCCAGTTGCAGGAAAACAAGCTTAACACGCCCCCTGATTCTACATTATGGTGAGTTCTATAATTATTTTATTATATATTACAGTGTAATAATGGAAATAAAGTGCCTAATAAATGCAAATGTGCTTACATCTTTTGGCCCAGCTCCTACCTCCCGGCAGCCTCTCCAGGCCCAGAACTTTCTCCAGTCAGCCTCTACAGACCAAGCTCATGACTCACAATGGCCTATTTAGGCCCATACCCTACGTCACGGCAGCCTCCGCAGATGAGCCTACTGCCTCACAGCAGCCTCCACAGGCACAGCTCCATCGTTACAATGGCCTCTTTAGACCCAGCTCCTGCCTCCCAGCCTTCTCTCCAGGCTCTGAACTTTCTCAGTAAGTTCAGGTAGCTGGGACTGTAGGTATACATGATGATACTTGGCTAATTTTTAAATTGTTTTGTAGACACGGGGTCTCACTTTGTTGGCCAGGCTGGTGTCAAACTAATGGCCTCAAGTGACCCTTCCACCCCTGCCTCCCATCCTCGAGGCATGTGCCACCACAAGGAGCACTTGTTCAATTTTCTAAAAAAGAAATTTCTAAAGTAAGGCTGTGGGATGATGGCAGGAAGATAAAAGAAAAACAGAAGAATAAGTTAAAATGACTTATTCACACATATTCTTTTGACAGCAAGAAGAACTTTTAGTATATACATTCCTTACAAACAAACAAAAGGCAGATAAACAATGTTGTATAGGAACTTCAACACACACTGTACAATATTCCCACTTTGCTGACATAAGTTATGGAAATTTCATGGTTTACTTGAGTGTCGCTACCAGTATTTTGCTTCTCTGATGATTTTTATCAACTTCCTCATCTGTTAACTTCTCTCCAAGGTATGTCATGTCACGACATACTGCCGCTGCACGAACATGGCCAGTGTCTTCCTATTCAACATGTAGAATGCTTTCCTAATTTCTCTTTTTACTCTCTGTCTTTGTGTTCTGCATTTTCCTTACTTTTATTGTCAGAAACTCCAGAAAGTCAATCGTACTAATTTATCACGATTTGCTTTATTAATTTATACTTTGCTTATATGGAATTTTGCCCAGCAGACCTCATTACAATTTCTAACCTGTTTTATTTTGTTTTTTTTTTCTGAGACAGGGTCTCCCTCTGTTGTCCAAGGCTGGAGTGTAGTAGTGCCATCGCAGCTGACTGCAGCCTCAACCTTCCAGGCTGAAGCGATCCTCCCACCTCAACCTCCCACGTGGCTGAGACTACAGGTGCTTGCCACTATGCCCAACTAACATTTGGAATTTTCGTATACGTGGATTCCAGAGGGGTGACAGCGAAACGTGAGTAAGCATGGATTTTGGTATATGCAGAGATGGGGGGCTGGAACTAATTCTGTATACTGAGGGACGACGACTATATGTTTTTACAATGACGCTGTGGGATACATACTGTTGCATAGCCTTGAAAATAATAATTTTTAATTGAGTGGAATAAGAATAATATTGATAAAAGTAGCAGCTGGCCAGGTGTGGTGGCTCACACTGGTAATCGCAACACTTTGGGAGGCTGAGGCAGGAGGATGGCTTGAGGCCAAGAGTTTGCGATAGGCCTTGGAAACAAAGGGGGAGTCACCATCCCTACAGAAAAATACATGAATTAGCCTAGTGTGGTGGCATGTTCCTGTAGTCCCAGCTACTTGGGAGGCTGAGGTGGGAGGATCACTTGAGCCCAGGGAGGCTGAGACTGCAGTGAGTCATGATCAGGCCTCTGCACTCCAGCCTGGGTGACAGAGTGAGACCCTGTCTCAAAACAACAAAAAAGCAGCAGCAACATCAACTGACCTTTTACCAGGTGCCTATTGATACCATAGTTTAATTTCTTATAACTGTTTCTTATTTCACTTACCAACTCTGTCTTCAGTTACTCCCAGATTTTTACTGTGTGTGTACAGATGACCTTTTGCTTAGATTGAATTGTCTCCCCAGAAGTAAGATTACTGTGAGTCATGGTGAATGGACATTCTCCTTACCCTTGATGTAAATTGACAGGGTTTTGGGTGCCTCCCAGCTATAATCTTAGCACTTTGGGAGGCTAAGAGAGGAGGATTGCTTGAGGCCAAGAGTTGGAGGAGGCAGTATGGCAGTATGGTGAGACCCTGTCTCCATTATTTTAAAAAATTGACAGGCTTTACCCGGGAAGGCTTATACACAATTTAAACACCCCTCATAGTATAAGAAGGTGCCCATTTCACTGCACCTTTGCCAGCACAGGGTATTATAATTTAGTAAGTCATTTTTTGTTTGATTATTTTACATAGACAAAAGAACTCATATTACTTTACTTGTCACATTTCAACATCTTTCCTCAGCTTATTAGCTCTATTTCTTTTCTGTCTGTAAATGGTTGTTGTGGTTTTGTTCTTTGAGACAGGGTCTTGCTCTGTCACCAGGCTGGACTGTAGTGGCATAATCATGCCTCACTGCAGCCTTGACCTCCCAGGCTCAAACTTCAGCATTCCGAGTAGCTGGGACTACAAGTGTGCACTACCACCACCAGCTAACTTTTTTCTTCCTTTGGATAGAGACAGGGTCTCACTCTGTTGTCCAGACCGGTCTCTAGCTCCTGGCCTTAAGCAATCCTCCTGCATTAGCTTCTCAAATTGCTGGAATTTCAGGCCTGAGCCACCATGCCTGGCCTGGGCTAGTCCTATATTCTCTAGAGTTCTCTTTACTTTGTGCTAGCCAATCTCTCATTATGCTGTTCACCTGTTATAATGAATAATTCTCTGTATTAAATTTTACCACTTTAAACTTTTGAGTGGTTTATGCTTCCTGATTGGACTCTGACTAATATGTTAGGAAGGGTCCCAGGAGATACACCCACACAGATGGGATTTGGGCATAGGTTTGGTTTACCAGGGGGCAGTGCTGAGCTCTTTGCCAGTGGGAAATGGGATGCTGGTGATTTCCAGTAGGTGACCTCACAGTGACTCAAGCTACCACTTACTGTTGATTGTGACGAAATGCCAGCTGAGGCACATGCCTTGGGAGCTAAGTGGTTGCTGCCCTTGACCACTGTGAAGACTGGTGTGGGAAGGGTCGCTTTGGATGCACTTGAGCAGGGGTCCCCAACCCCTGAGCCATGTAGCCGCAAGGAGCCACACAGCAGGAGGTGAGCGGTGTCGAGTGAGGGAGTGAGGGAAGCTTCGTCTGTATTTACAGCCACTCCCCTTTGCTCACATTCCCGCCTGAGCTCCACCTTCTCAGATGAGCAGCAGCGTTAGATTCTCATAGGAGAACGCACCCTGTTGTGAACCGTGCATGTGAGGGATCTAGGTTGCGCTGTCCTTATGAGAATCTAATACCTATTGATCTGTCACTTTCTCCCATCACGCTCAGGTGGGACCATCCAGTTGCAGGAAAACAAGCTTAACACGCCCACTGATTCTACATTATGGTGAGTTCTATAATTATTTTATTATATATTACAGTGTAATAATGGAAATAAAGTGCCTAATAAATGCAAATGTGCTTACATCTTTTGGCCCAGCTCCTACCTCCCGGCAGCCTCTCCAGGCCCAGAACTTTCTCCAGTCAGCCTCTACAGACCAAGCTCATGACTCTCAATGGCCTATTTAGGCCCATACCCTACGTCACGGCAGCCTCCGCAGATGAGGCTACTGCCTCACAACAGCCTCCACGGGCACAGCTCCATCGTTACAATGGCCTCTTTAGACCCAGCTCCTGCCTCCCAGCCTTCTCTCCAGGCTCTGAACTTTCTCAGTAAGTTCAGGTAGCTGGGACTGTAGGTATACATGACGATACTTGGCTAATTTTTAAATTGTTTTGTAGACACGGGGTCTCACTTTGTTGGCCAGGCTGGTGTCAAACTAATGGCCTCAAGTGACCCTTCCACCCCTGCCTCCCATCCTTGAGGTATGTGCCACCACAGGGAGCACTTGTTCAATTTTCTAAAAAAGAAATTTCTAAAGTAAGGCTGTGGGATGATGGCAGGAAGATAAAAGAAAAACAGAAGAATAAGTTAAAATGACTTATTCACACATATTCTTTTGACAGCAAGAAGAACTTTTAGTATATACATTCCTTACAAACAAACAAAAGGCAGATAAACAATGTTGTATAGGAACTTCAACACACACTGTACAATATTCCCACTTTGCTGACATAAGTTATGGAAATTTCATGGTTTACTTGAGTGTCGCTACCAGTATTTTGCTTCTCTGATGATTTTTATCAACTTCCTCATCTGTTAACTTCTCTCCAAGGTATGTCATGTCACGACATACTGCCGCTGCACGAACATGGCCAGTGTCTTCCTATTCAACATGTAGAATGCTTTCCTAATTTCTCTTTTTACTCTCTGTCTTTGTGTTCTGCATTTTCCTTACTTTTATTGTCAGAAACTCCAGAAAGTCAATCGTACTGATTTATCACGATTTGCTTTATTAATTTATACTTTGCTTATATGGAATTTTGCCCAACAGACCTCATCACAGTTTCTAACCTGTTTTATTTTTTATTTATTTATTTTTTTTGTTCTGAGACAGGGTCTCCCTCTGTTGTCCAAGGCTGGAGTGTAGTAGTGCTATTGCAGCTGACTGCAGCCTCAACCTTCCAGGCTGAAGCGATCCTCCCACCTCAACCTCCCACGTGGCTGAGACTACAGGTGCTTGCCACTATGCCCAACTAACATTTGGAATTTTCGTATACGTGGATTCTAGAGGGGTGACAGCGAAACGTGAGTAAGCATGGATTTTGGTATATGCAGAGATGGGGGGCTGGAACTAATTCTGTATACTGAGGGATGAGGACTGTGTATGTTTTTACAATTACGCTGTAGGATACATACTGTTGCATAGCCTTGAAAATAATAATTTTTAATTGAGTGGAATAAGAATAATATTGATAAAAGTAGCAGCTGGCCAGATGTGGTGGCTCACACTGGTAATTGCAACACTTTGGGAGGCTGAGGCAGGAGGATGGCTTGAGGCCAAGAGTTTGCGATAGGCCTTGGAAACAAAGGGGGAGTCACCATCCCTACAGAAAAATACATGAATTAGCCTAGTGTGGTGGCATGTTCCTGTAGTCCCAGCTACTTGGGAGGCTGAGGTGGGAGGATCACTTGAGCCCAGGGAGGCTGAGACTGCAGTGAGTCATGATCAGGCCTCTGCACTCCAGCCTGGGTGACAGAGTGAGACCCTGTCTCAAAACAACAAAAAAGCAGCAGCAACATCAACTGACCTTTTACCAGGTGCCTATTGATACCATAGTTTAATTTCTTATAACTGTTTCTTATTTCACTTACCAACTCTGTCTTCAGTTACTCCCAGATTTTTACTGTGTGTGTACAGATGACCTTTTGCTTAGATTGAATTGTCTCCCCAGAAGTAAGATTACTGTGAGTCATGGTGAATGGACATTCTCCTTACCCTTGATGTAAATTGACAGGGTTTTGGGTGCCTCCCAGCTATAATCTTAGCACTTTGGGAGGCTAAGAGAGGAGGATTGCTTGAGGCCAAGAGTTGGAGGAGGCAGTATGGCAGTATGGTGAGACCCTGTCTCCATTATTTTAAAAAATTGACAGGCTTTACCCGGGAAGGCTTATACACAATTTAACCACCCCTCATAGTATAAGAAAGTGCCCATTTCACTGCACCTTTGCCAGCACAGGGTATTATAATTTCGTAAGCCATTTTTTGTTTGATTATTTTAAATAGACAAAAGACCTCATATTACTTTACTTGTCACATTTCAACATCTTTCCTCAGCTTATTAGCTCTATTTCTTTTCTGTCTGTAAATGGTTGTTGTGGTTTTGTTCTTTGAGACAGGGTCTTGCTCTGTCATCCGGCTGGACTGTAGTGGCATAATCATGCCTCACTGCAGCCTTGACCTCCCAGGCTCAAACTTCAGCATTCCGAGTAGCTGGGACTACAAGTGTGCAGCACCACCCCCAGCTAACTTTTTTCTCCTTTTGGATAGAGACAGGGTCTCACTGTGTCGTCCAGAGCGGTCTCTAGCTCCTGGCCTTAAGCAGTCCTCCTGCATTAGCTTCTGTAATGGCTGGAATTTCAGGCATGAGCCACCATGCCTGGCCTGGGCTAGTCCCATATTCTCTAGAGTTCTCTTTACTCTGTGCTAGCCAATCTCTCATTATGCTGTTCACCTGTTATAATGAATAATTCTCTGTATTAAATTTTACCACTTTAAACTTTTGAGTGGTTTATGCTTCCTGATTGGACTCTGACTAATATGTTAGGAAGGGTCCCAGGAGGTAAACCCACACAGATGGGATTTGGGCATAGGTGTGGTTTCCCAGGGGGTAGTGCTGAGCTCTTTGCCAGTGGGAAATGGGGTGCTGGTGATTTCCAGTAGGTGACCTCACAGTGACTCAAGCTACCACTTACTGTTGATTGTGACGAAATGCCAGCTGAGGCACATGCCTTGGGAGCTAAGTGGTTGCTGCCCTTGACCACTGTGAAGACTGGTGTGGGAAGGGTCGCTTTGGATGCACTTGAGCAGGGGTCCCCAACCCCTGAGCCATGGAGCCGCAAGGAGCCACACAGCAGGAGGTGAGTGGTGTCGAGTGAGGGAGTGAGGGAAGCTTCGTCTGTATTTACAGCCACTCCCCTTTGCTCACATTCCCGCCTGAGCTCCACCTTCTCAGATGAGCAGCAGCATTAGATGCTCATAGGAGAACGCACCCTGTTGTGAACCGTGCATGTGAGGGATCGAGGTTGCGCTGTCCTTATGAGAATCTAATACCTATTGATCTGTCACTTTCTCCCATCACGCTCAGGTGGGACCATCCAGTTGCAGGAAAACAAGCTTAACACGCCCACTGATTCTACATTATGGTGAGTTCTATAATTATTTTATTATATATTACAGTGTAATAATGGAAATAAAGTGCCTAATAAATACAAATGTGCTTACATCTTTTGGCCCAGCTCCTACCTCCCGGCAGCCTCTCCAGGCCCAGAACTTTCTCCAGTCAGCCTCTACAGACCAAGCTCATGACTCTCAATGGCCTATTTAGGCCCATACCCTACGTCACGGCAGCCTCCGCAGATGAGGCTACTGCCTCACAACAGCCTCCACAGGCACAGCTCCATCGTTACAATGGCCTCTTTAGACCCAGCTCCTGCCTCCCAGCCTTCTCTCCAGGCCCTGAACTTTCTCAAGTCAACCTCACCAGGCCCAGCTCATGCTTCTTTGCAGCCTCTCCAGGCCCAGCTCCTGCATCTTGGTGGCCCCTCCAGGCCCAGCCTCTGCCTCCCGTCAGCCTCTACAGTCCGAACGTCTGCCTCACAGCAGATTCTTTACGCCCAGCATCTACCTCACTGTGGATCCCCCAAGCCAAGCTCCCAACCTTTCAGCAGCTTCTACACACCCAGCTCCTGCCACCCAGTGGCCTCTTTAGGCCAAGCTCATGCTTCACAAGGGCCTTTCCAGGCCCAACTTTTGTCTCATGGCAACCTTCCCTGGCCAGATTCCTGCCTGTCTCCCAGCAGCCTAGACAGGCCCAGGTCTTGTCTCACACTGGCCTCTCTACATCCAGCTTATGCCTCACGGTGGCCTCTCCACGCCCAACTCCTGTCCCAGGACGTCATCTCCGGGCCCAAAACTTACTCAAGTCAGACTCTCTAGTCCCAACTGCTGCCTCCTGGTGGCCTATGAAGGCCCAAAATCTCCTCAAGTTGACCTGTCCAGGCCCACCTCCTGCCTCCTGTCAGCGTCTACAGGCCCAACCTCTGCCTCATGGGGGCTTCTCCAGGCCCACCTCTTCCTCTTGGCTGGGTCTACAGGCACAACTGCTGCCTCACAACAGCCTTTTTTGGCCCAGTTCCTGTCCAGCTCATGGCGGCCAATGTAGGCCCAAAACTTCCTCAAGTCAAACTCTCCAGGCCCACCTTCTGCTTCCCGGTGGCATCAACAGGCCCAGCTTTGACTTGAGAACAGCCTCTGCAGGCCCTGCTCTTGCCTCCCAGGGGCTTTTTCCAGGCCCAGCTCTTGCCTCATGGCGGCTGCCCCAGGCCAAATTTCTGCCTGCCTGCCAGCAGCCTCAACAGGCACAGCTCCTCCCTCACAGTGGCCCATTTAGGCCCAACTCATGACTGTGAGGCCATTTCCAGGCCTAGTGCCTGCCTCGTGGCTGACTCTTGAAGCCCAAAACTTCCTCAAATCAGCCTTTTGCCCAACTTCTGTCTACTGTCGGACTCTACAGGTCAGCCTCTGCCTCACAGTGGACCCTCCAGACCCAGATGGTGTCTCACTGTGGCATCCTCAGGCGAAGCTCCTGCCTTTCGGCAGCCTCTCCAGGCCCAGCTCCTCCGGCCTCCCAGTGGCCTCTTTCAGCCCAGCCCAGCTCATGCCTCCCGGCGGCCTTCCCAAGCCCCGCTTTTGACTTTCGGTGGCCTCTGCAGGCCTCGACAAGGCCCAGCCTCCTGCCTCCCGAAGGCCTGCACAGGCCCAGCCTCTGCCTCACAGCGGACTCTCCACGCCCAGCTAGCTGTTGCTTCACTGCGGCCTCCCGAGTCCAAAGCTCCTGCCTCTCGGCCGCTTCGGCAGGCCCAGCTCCCGCCTGCCAGTGGCCTCTTCAGGCCCATGGGGCTCATTCCTGACAACGGCCTTTCCAGGCCCAGTTTTCCCTTCCGGCGGCCTCTCCGGGCCCAGAACCTCCTCAAGTCGGCCTCTCCAGACCCACTTGCACCCTCCGGGCATCCTCTCCGGGCCCAGCTCTTCTTCCTGGTTGGGTCTCCAGGCCCGATTCCTGCCTCTCAACAACCTCTTTGGACTCAGTGCCTACCCATCTCCTGGCGGCCTTGGTCGGCCCACAGCTTCCTCAAGCCAAGCTCCCCAGGCCCAGGTCAGGCCTCACGGTGGCCTCTCCAGGATGAGCTCCTGCCCTCCTATGGCATCTCCAGGCCCCAAATGGTCTCCGGTCGGTGGGCTCCTCCACGCCAAGGTTGGGCCTCCCGGCGACCGCCGCAGGCCCAAGTTGTCCTGAAGTCGGGCTCTCCCGGCCCTGCCTCCCAGCAAGTAAGCAAGCTCTTTTGGCTCAACTCCTGCCCAGCTCCCAACCGCCTTTGTAGGCCCTGAACTTTCTCCAGCCAAGCTCTGAGGGCCCACCTCCTGCCTCCTGGTGGCCTGTACAGTTCTAGCACTGGTTGGAGAACAGCCTCTGCAGGCCCCGCCCTTGCCTCCCAGGGGCCTCTCCAGGCCCAGCTCTTGCCCCCACGGCGGCCTCCCGGGGCCAAGTCCCTGCCTGCCTCCCAGCAGCCCGCGTGCGGCCCAGCTCCTCCCTCACGGTGGCCTGTTGATGCCCAACTCATGCCTCTGGTACCCTGCCCAGAGGCGTGAGCCCCTGCCTCACACTGGCTCCTCCCACGCTGAGAGAGGTCAGTGTGAGCCCTTGCCTCACACCAGCCCCTCCCACGCGGACAGAGGTCAGCGTGAGCCCCTTGCCTCACCCCGGCCCCTCCCACGTGGACAGAGGTCAGCGTGAGCCCCTTGCCTCACACCGGCCCCTCCCACGCTGAGAGAGGTCAGTGTGAGCCCTTGCCTCACACCGGCCCCTCCCACGCGGACAGAGGTCAGCGTGAGCCCCTTGCCTCACACCGGCCCCTCCCACGCTGAGAGAGGTCAGTGTGAGCCCTTGCCTCACACCGGCCCCTCCCACGCGGACAGAGGTCAGCGTGACCCCCTGCCTCAACAGGCCACCGTGAGGGAGGAACAGGATCGCACTCGGGCTGCTGGGAGGTAGGCAGGGACTTGGGCCTGGGAGGTCGCGGTGGGGCGAGAGCTGGGCCTGGAGACTCCCCTGGGAGGCAACAGCGGGGTCTGCAGACGCCCTTCTCCAGCCGGAGCTGGGACTGTTCAGTCACTGGGAGAAGGGATGTGGGTCTGAAGAGCTTGGTTGCAGAAACTTCGGGGTCTACAAAGGCAGGCGGGAGCTGAGCCAAAAGAGCTTGTTTGCTGGGAGGTGGGAGATGCAGCCAGGAGGAACAGCTGGGCAATGCGGGAGGCAGAGGCCAGGCCTCCTCAAGTTGGCCTCTCAGACCCACTTGCAGCCTCCCGGCGCCCCCTCCGGGCCCAGCTCTTCCTCCTGGCTGCATCTCCAGGCCGGACTCTGGCCCGACTCCAGGTCCCAACAACGTCTTTGGACTCAGCTCCTGCCCAGCTCCCAGCGGCCCTGGTAGGCCCACAACTTCCCTAAGCCAAGCTCCCCAGGCCCAGCTCAGGCCTCGCGGTGGCCTCTCCAGGCTCAGCTCCTGGCCCTCCGATGACATCTGCAGGCCCCAAATGGCCTCCGGTCGGTGGGCTCCTCTAGGCCCAGCTTGGGCCTCCCGGCGGCCTCTGCAGGCCCAAATCGTCCCGAAGTCAGTCTCTCCAGGCTTAGCTCCAGCCTCCCGGCGGCCTCTGCAGGCCCAAGTCGTCCTCAAGTCGGCCTGGAAGTGGGCCTGGAAGAGCAGCAAGTCGGCCTCCCTGGGCCCAGCTCCGTCCTCTCGACGGCCTCTCCAGGTGCAAAACTTCCTCGAGTCAGCCTCTCCAGGCCCAGCTCCTCCTGCCTCCCAGTGGCCTCTTTCGGCCCAGCCCAGCTCATGGCTCTCGGCGGCCTTCCCAGGCCCCGCTTTTGACTTTTGGCAGCCTCTTCAGGCGCAGAACTTGATCTCCAGGCGGCCTTTGCAGGCCCGGCCTCCTGCCTCTCGAAGGCCTGCACGGGCCCGGCCTCGGCCTCGGCCTCACAGCGGACTCTCCACGCCCAGCTAGCTCTCGTCTCACTGCGGCCTCCCCAGTCCAAAGCTCCTGCCTTTCGGCCACTTCGGCAGGTCCAGCTCCTGCCTGCCAGTGGCCTCTTTAGGCCCAGCTCATTCCTCACGTCGGCCATTCCAGGCCCCGTTTTTCCCTTCCGGCAGCCTCTTGGCCTCTAATTTGTTTATCTTTTGTGTATAAATCCCAAAATATTGAATTTTGGAATATTTCCACCATTATGTAAATATTTTGGTAGGTAATTTATTTGGAGTGAGTTTCTGCGCCAAGCCCGAATTTTTTATTTTATTTTCCTTATTATTTGGTGTTAAACAGGTTTAATGACGGTCATGGCAACTTTTTGGCACAATGAAAAATATCGCCCACGATCAACGTGTTCTGTTCTGGGGAAGGGGGCAAAGGCAGGGTGAATCACTTTCTTAAAAAGTATAGCTCAAGTTGGGAGTGCAGAGGGAATGGGGAGAAAACCCTCCCGCTGCCTGTGTCGAAGTGTAGGAGCCCCCACCCCCATACTCACCTGAGTCCAGCCCCTCTGGGGAAAGAAGGGGTGCATGAACTCCCCCTAGTCCACAGGCGCCTCCCTGTGGCCCAAGGCCCTCTTCACACTCCATCTTGTAGCCCCAGCAGGAGCTATTTTCTGAAAAGTGAAAAGCTCTGAAGGTCCCACAATTCATGGTATGTACAGGGGCTCGGAGGAGGGAAACTGCCCAGCTTTCCCCCGGCACAGCTGCAGGGGTAGGGGGTATAGATAAGAGGAGCAGGCCTTGGCCAGGCGTGGTGGCTCACGCCTGTAATCCCAGCACTTTGGGAGGGGGAGGCAGGCAGATCACGATGTCAGGAGATCGAAATCAGCCTGGCCAAGATGATGAAGCCCCGTCTGTACTAAAAATACAAAAATTAGCCGGACGTGGTAGCGTCCACCTGTAATCCTAGCTACCCGGAAGGCTGAGGCAGGAGAATGGCGTGAACCCGGCGGGAAGAGGTTGCAGTGAGCCAAGATCGCACCACTGCACTCCAGCCTGGGTGACAGAGCAAGACTCGGTCTCAAAAAAAAAAAAAAAAAAAAAAAGAGGAAGGCCTTACTCCGTCCCAAACTGAAAGGATTAAATGGCTTCACCTGGGAGAAGATAACCATCCTGCCCTCCATTTCTACCCCCACATACTGTCCATGTTCTCAGGGGGTACTGTGAGTCCTGGGATCTTTGGGGTTGCCCACCTGCCTGTGGTAGTTATGGAGACCCCCAGGTGTTGAGGCAGGGCTGGGGTGTCCCCTTCCAACCAGGTTGTCAAGGCCCCAACTCTGGGGCAGAGGCAGTGGCAGGGCAGCCAGGGTTGCGCCAGAGCCTGAGCAGGTTGAGGTGGGGTCAGGCAGGGCTGGGAGTCAGGGCAGGGGCAGCAGCAGTGGACCTGCTATGCACACATCTTCTTCTCCAAGGTTTGTGTGCAGAACATCCTGCCCATGCTGCCCCAGCAGCTTCAGTTGGCACCTGCCCCAGTCCAGCCTCTGGGAACCATGCAGCAGCTCCCAGCGGCCCTGCACCCACCACCAGCATCCGTTTCACCTGCAGTTGAAGATCCGTGAGGTGCCCAGAAGATCATGCAGTCATCAGTCCCACGGAGCAGCCCGCGAGGCTGAGGCTCCTCCCACTGGACCGCCCCCCAACTGGCACCACTGCTGCCCCTGCCCCTACTCTCAGCCTCACGTGACTCTCGGGCAGAAGCAGTGGTGGGGCAGCCAGGGCAGCGTCAAGAGTCTGAGCCAGGTGAGGTGCGGTCAGGACCCCCACAGGGCTGGGAGTCAGGGCAGGGGCAGAACAAACCTTGGAGGGGAAGATGTGTGCATAGTGGGCCTGGAGGGCGGCTGTGGCCTAGTGGACAGGAAGAAGCAGTGGGCCTGGAAGAGCTGCATGATC